>NC_000005.10:82231019-82534049 GCF_000001405.40 Homo sapiens
TCTGAAGCGTTCATGAACTTCGTTGAGTGTTGCTGGCCTGAAGAGCCACTGGGGAGAAAATGACGGTAAACTCAGAGCTCAACCTTTAAATCAAGGTTCATCTCATGAGTTCATGTAGAAATCTTTGGTACTAGTTTTCTTTTTGGGTCTTAGACTCTCTTTTTGGGTCATAGACTTTCTTGTCTAGAAAATACTGAACTAGATCCAAACTATTAAAAACACAATTCTTAAAATTTCAGCAGAAGTTGGGGAAATGTAAGAAATTGATATGATCAGGAAGTGGGATTAGACTATACTTTTTAAAAATCTTGACATTATTAAGTTGCTTAAAGTTTTAATAAAACACTTTTTAAAAATAAGAAGTTGTCATTCTTGTCCATATGTATCAGTTTATTTGTCTCCCCTAATACCTTACTTGCAAAACACCATAATACAATGGTTGTCTGAAAAGCTCTATTACTATGTTTATTTGTAGGAGCGTATGATTTCTCAATACGGCAGCCTATTAGTAGCATAGTTTTTTGTTATTTAGTTTTAAATTATTAGTATTCTAGAAAGTGGGGAAAATGCCTCATAGTAGCCAGGTTTTTATAGGGCAGATCTTTAACATTTTTCGTTATGAGAAGGAGAATCACATATTTTGTAATGGGATTATCGCATGCTTATGAGTTTTCTTCATGGAGTCTCTTTGGAGAGAGCTAAAGAGAAAAACTAATTTTAGCTTAATGAAATCACTGGGAAATCTGCTTCTGGGTATAAAAGGAATCCTTATATTTTCAAAGTTGGGTAAGAAGCAGAAAGGAAAAAAACTGTCAGGAGCTATAGCTGTAACTGGAGTATTAGAAATTTATACTGATTATATTTATCTAAAGAGAAGCATTATAGTATTTTAAAAATCATCTTGAAGATTCATCTCTTTTCTGTTGCTTTAAAATAATATTTGGCACCATTCTAAAAAGTAATGATAGGTAATAGATTGCTATTTTATTTTGTGTTGCTCATAAAATATCTTCCTGTGCGATAGTTGCCAGACATAAGTATCTGGTTATCAATAAATTAGGCTGGTTTTGTGAATGTATTCTTGGAAATCTTTGAATTTTCTGGTTGCTGATTTACAGGGGTGTGCCGCAACACACCTAGCTCAAAAGTGGTGTCCTTGGTTTAGTGTGTGTCTCAGAAATAGACTTAAGTCAAAAATTGTCACCATTCTGTAATGTAATGGAAGAAAAAAAGTAAAGAATTAATGCTTGGAAAGTGCAGGCTTCCAATTGTTTTACTTTAAGATAAAAATAGAATAAACGTACCACCTGAAAGTTGTTTCATACTGAAGTTCTGTATTTAGTCTTAGCAGGCTTGGCATTGGAAAAACTCAATTTTGTTCTTAGATCTGGACATAAGTCTTGGCTCAATCATTTATACATTCCACGACCTTGGATAAGCCATTCCTCCAAATAAATTTCTACAAAATGGGAAGAATACCTACTTTATAGAATTGTGAAAATATAGTTGGGTAATATATATTAATGCATAGCTTGGATTTTTTCTTAATCCCAATCTAATAGCAATCCCTGGAACTTCTAGTCACCAATATATCTCAAATCCATTTATTTTTCTCCATCTTTACTGTCTTCACCCTAATCAAGCCCCTTCTTTCTTGATACAGTAGCTTTCATGGTAGCTTCCTTCCTGCCTCTTTTGCTTTCTTTTCTCTTCTTGTCTTCATTCTCCACCCAGCAGCCAACATTTTTTTTTAAGTGAATAACAGATTCTGTCATAAAGCACTTAAAACTTTCTGTTGTATTTAAAGTAAGTGCAGGAGGGCAGCTTCCTTCTCTCCCCAGGGCTATCAAGCCACTGGACTCTGCCTTCCTTTCTAGCTTCAGGGTTTCTGCTGTCTTCTCTCTCTCCCAATATTCCAGCCTTACAGCCTCCTTTCTGCTCTTGAACACATCTAGTTCACTCCCTTCTAATGGTCTTTACTCTTATATCTTTCTGCCTGAAATGTTCTTCTTCAGGTTTAAAATATGACTTTGAAAGTATTAAAAATATACAAAAAGAATTAGGGCTGATGTCTTTACATAAGACTAATTAGGAAATATATCACTTGTTTTGGTAGTATTTTTCAGGTATATTTTCTTCATTTTATACATTCACTTTCTAGTTTTTCAGTCACTTGTGTAACATCTAACTAGATAATATTTTTCCTATCACATTAGACACCTATGTTATACCTGACTGAACCTGTACCTCTACTGTCTGACACCATCACCAATGTTCTGATCTGAGCCTAAAAATGACTAACGAATTGCCCTTTCAACACATTTCTTCCTTTAATAACCCAGAAGCAGTCTATTATCTGTTAATTTAAACTGAAAAATAAAAATTTCTGACTTCTGATTATCCCAGGAATATATTGTTCCTTCGTTTATATTATATTTGTGTGGCTCCAATTTTAAAATGTGCCTCTGAGGTCTTGTTTACCCTCTTACAGCATCTTAATCATCACTGCTTTAAACGAAAGAGTGAGAGTTTGAACCCATAATCACATGATGGCATTGCCAGCCCATGGGACTATCCCTCATGGACCTTCTAAGTTAAATGAACCAGTGCCATGTTTGAATTCCAGGTACAGATGCTCCATCATTTTGCAGTTAACATAGAGCAGTTCCAGAGAAGGCCCAGGCCCCTCTGCCCTCAACTTCCTTACCTGTCATCTCTCTGTCCCCAACTTTCTTACTATATAGGGGAGAGAAAAAAAACTTTTCTGTCTACCCTCTAATTGACTGCCTAGGGCCTGCAAATTAAATTGACAAAAAACAGATTAGCAGGAGAAAAGCCATACAAATTTTACTTGATTTAACATTTTAGTTTTTACGTGCCCTTACAGAAAAGGCATGGAGACTCAGAGGAGCAGTTAGACCCTGCAGCTTATACACCATTTTAACAAAGGGTGATACATTTGTGGAGAAGTCACAAGAGGAAGCAAAAGGGATTTGGGCTTCCAGGGGCACAGATTATAAGAATGTAAATATGAGGAGAAACTAATGGAAGATAAGGGCGATTTTAGTAAGATTTGTTTGTGCAGACCCATCTCAGTGCCAACATTCTGTGTCCGGTGATACCTGGATGATCTGTTCCAGGTATGGGAGACGGGAGGGGAACACCTTCACAAAGAGAAGTTTATGTCATACTTTTAGGCAGATGGGGGAGGGTAAAGAGCTCTTTCTGAATTTGCTGCGTTTGAATTACCTTTAGCTCAAAATAGTCCTTAAACTAAAGTAGCATATTGGGGGAGAGACCCTTCATCTGCTCTGTTTCCCACAGCCCTCAGCACTGAGCAGGTATCAGGGCCCACCCTGCAGAAGCAGGGCTTAGGGTACCTGGTGTGCAGGACCACTGCTGGGCTCATCCGTAAAACCCTGCCCTAGATTCGTACCTTGAACCCCATTGCCCATGTGTGCATCTCACACCCCAGACTACCTCAGGAAAGGGACAGGTAGAGAGACATGCTAGAAATTGAGTGTCATTTCCTCTGTGTATATTTGAAGGTCACGCTAGCTCTGAAAAGATTTGGAAAGTAAATCAGGGACTTTGAAATCAAACCTCCAAGTTAAATGACCTTGGGCAAGTTAATTGGCATCTCTAAACCCCAGTTTCCTTATCTTTACAATAATTATATGTCAACCTCTTAGTATTATTATTAGAATTTAGGGAGAATCCTAGTAAATGTTCAGTTCATACACTTGTTTGTGTGATTCCCTTTTAGAGGGAATACCCAGTCTAGCTCAGACTCACCTTCCCTGATAAGCTTATCACCCACACATTAGGTGCTTTGCTGCCTAATTCTTTCCTGCATTCTTTTTTGACAACAAAGTATTACTGGAGAAAAATGCAGCATTTATAATTTAAACTAATTATAAACATGTAATTTGTAGCCCATAGTATGTTTGTGCTGTTCCACTTTAATTACGCCCATCAGTTCTTCTCTCTGCTTTCCTGGCACGCCCCTGGAGTATGCATCACACACGTGAATTACCTGATCTGCACAGACTCCTAGGGGATGGGTGTGCCTCCTATTTTGCAGTGGCGGGGAGGGTGCTGTCAGAAACCACGTGCCTTGTGTTTCCTTCTGGAATCAGCTATCATTATGACTCTCTTCTTTCCTTTCCTCTATTCATGCTGGAGAAAGCTAGCCTTTTCCCCTAGGGAAGCAGGTGGTGCTCAATCTTTAGTGAGCATGAGCATTGCCTTGGGAGTTGATCACAGATTTGGAGTGGGTTCCAGGAAATGACATGGTCAACAAGCAACCCCAAATGATTCTGATGGTCCTGGGATCACACTGAGAAATCTGCTCTGCTTTTGTATTGCTTACTTCTCCTCAGACTTTACTCCCACTGTTTTCTTCTCTGTCTCTTTATCTTTAATCTGACATCCTTCTTGGGATTCTTCTCTATATCTTTGGACTAGGTTTTTTATTCTCAAAACAAACAAACAAAATAATTGTTTTTTCCATTGACATGGAGAAAAATGATTGTGGTCCTCTATTCTCCATTATCCACCACACTGTCACCCTCAGGTGAGGGCCGAATAAACATTCTTCTTTCTGCCCTTCTGCACTTGCAGGGGTTTGACTAGAGAGACAGAGAAATTGACAGTATCCTCTACTGACAGCACCTCCTGTCAGGCATTTTTTTAAAGTGGATGTTTTTACTGGAACAAAACATTTTAATGAAAACATTGACTTGGAACATAACAAGGCTTTTAAATAGAGACTTGGAATCCTTTTTGTATTCACTTAAATCTGTTTTATTTTTCTCTCTATGACGCTATATAAAATCTCATCAATATACAAAATCATTCTGAGCCTCAGATTTTCTCATTTTCTCTGGATGAGAGCTTTGATTAGCTTTTTACAAGTTCTTCATTAGTAATTGGCTTGCTTTTTTGTTTTGTTTTTGGCTGTTGACTCTAATAAGTTTATGTTCTATCAAAGAATTATTTGAGGATGGTCTGAAAGATGCTACTCTTGTTGTGTTAGGGAATATTACAATTTAAGACTCTTTATAAAACGCAACAAGTGCTATTAGGACTAAATGTTCATTTCTTCTTCTTGAGGCTGGTGGCTGGGGTGGGTTGTTCAGTCTTATCATCATGCCTGACCTAGTTGTGCAGCCGTGACTGTTTAATTAATAGACATTTACATAAGCTCCTGATTTTCCCCCAGCAAGCTTTATAATGGTCTTGGTGGTTATCTCCTTTTCACCCTGTGAAGTATCAGCAGTGCATTTTCCATTTTGCATATCAAAATACAGAGAGATTAAATTATGTACAACAAATTGATAATTGAATAAGTTTGGGAACTCGGAGTTCTGGCATATTAATAGTCTTGCTTAAAGCAACAATCTATATAGACTCTATAAATATATTCAGACACTGCTCTCTAATCCAGGAGCTGGAGTGGAGACTGTCAGAAGCCCAGGGAGGGAGCCCTTTGTAGATTTATGCAGGTGTGGGAGAATTAGTTTCTGGCCTCTCTATGGAGCCATGAAAGAAGGTTTTGTTAGTAGAGGAGGTGGTATCTGAGAATTATTGCTATGATGTCTGTAATTTTTAATAAAAATTCTAGAAAGCCTGGTGGTGTCTGTGTAGTATATGAATTTGATGAACTGTCTTTCTTTGGTTTTGTTTGTTTGTTGTTGTTGTTTAAACCACCTTCCTAAACACCATTAGACATTTCTTCCTAATTAACAGGCCAAAAATGTCAACAGGGGCAGCTAGAGTAAAGTGTGGCTCACTTGTCTTCCTCTGTTCATCCTAGAAATGAGGAGAAACTTGCTGATCTTTCTGGGTACTTAGGTGAGACTTTGGTTTCTTTCCCACATATTTTTTTTCTTAACATTTTCTCACATTTTTTTCTATGTATATTCTCATATACCTATGAGAGATGGAAATCTGAACTGGTATTTCTTCTTTCCCCCCTTTTTTTCCCCTTTTTTAAAACTATAAAGTACGATTGCTTGGTGTTCAAACCTTGCCTCTTTGTCTTGACTACTTTCAGAAAATTATTGGATCATAAAGGGATTGCCTTAATCATTTAACACCAACATCAACAAAACCAAACAAACAAAAATAGGCAATTTTTCTTCTCCAAACTTACCAAACTTCTCAGTCTTACCTAAAAGATGGAAGTTGGTACATCTCTCTTAACTCCTTTCCCATTAAACTTGGAGTAGGCTGTTTCTGGCTTATATTCTACGGCCACACTTTGCTTTTCTCCTCCCTGAGTTCTGCCCGTCCTTTAAGGTCTGGGCAAGATTAAATACCATATTTTTAAGAAGTCTTGGCCGGGTGTGGTGGCTCACACCTGTAATCTCAGCACTTTGGGAGGCCAAGGCAGGCGGATCACCTGAGGTCAGGAGTTCGAGACCAGCCTGACCAACATGATGAAACCCCGCCTCTACTAAAAATACAAAAATTAGCTGGACATGGTGGCGTGCACCTCTAGTCCCAACTACTCCGGAGGCTGAGGCAGGAGAATTGCTTGAACCAGGAGGCAGAGGTTGCAGTGAGCCGAGATCATGCCATTGCACTCCGGCCTGGATGACAGAGCGAGATTCCTTCTCAAAAAAAAAAAAAAAGTCTTTGCTGCCGTCTCTCTCCCCGAGTCAGAAGTGACCTCTCCTTTCTTTGAATTCCCATATTCCTGGATGTGTACCTTTGAGTAGCCAGGATCACAACCAGCCTATCATATATAACAGTTATTTCTGTAATCCTTGAATGGTAGATGCCCTAATGGAGTATGGGGAGGAGAGAGGAGATACCAAATTTCATTTGACTCAAGATCTCTCATAGCTCATGAAAATATACATCCTGCTATACAGACTTATGTTTCCAACCGTAGCCACACAACACAGTGTTACAGAAAGCATACGATTGAAGCCATACAGCAAGCATTAGATCTGCCTTAAGAAAATAGTGATTAAGTTTCAGGCAAGCAGGATCTTAAGGAGTATCATCCCAGGGAACAAGGTCTTTCCATCGATAGGGCCTCAGGCCTGGGCCACCTCTGCATCGAAGTTTTCCTTTATTTTACTGGTGAGCTCCTCTGTGGCCCTCAGGCACCTCAGATTGTCCTTGGAACACCCTCCACCTTATAGCAGGGAGTGTCTCATTTTTTGCTAGTGCCACTGTGATCCCTACATGGTCTTCTCTGGAAGTGTGAGGACTCCCCATGCCTTCCCTCCGAATGGTGAAATTAATTGCTGCCACAGAAGGAATCTTTCTTCGCAGCTTTTCCTGGTCGCAGTCCTATTACCACGCCCCACCCACCCGACCCCTAACCACTGCCCAGCCATCAGCCATCTCTGCTATTCTCACTAGGGATCTGCTTTTTCATTCAGGGGACAGGGCATGAGTATTTCACCTTTAGGAGTCTTTCTTCTAGAGGTGCAATTCAAGACTTGTAGTATTGCAGGTGCAGCTGGACTGTAAACCCCATGAATTAAGATAATTAGCTGCTGTTTTATGTATTTCTAGTACCTAAAACTAGAATGTAAATTCTATGAGAACAAATTTTGCGTCTGTATTTAGTGTGCAAATATTTGTAGTGCCTAGAAAAGTGCCTGGCATATAGAATGTGCTCCATAAATAAATGGATGGGCAGATGGATGGATATATGTATGAGTGTTTAGCATGGAATCTTACCCACAATAAGTATTCAGTGATGTTTACTGAATGCATAAGTAAAAAAACATATGGAGTAACAAAGGTGGGAGTAAAGTAGGAAGGCATATATTTTGGTAGTATTTGAGTCCGCTTCTTAGTCTGGGTAACATACCTTAGGGGGATACAGTGGTGTGGCAAGGAGTAGGCAAACTCACAGAATTAAAATATGCATCTTGGTGCATCAATTTTCCACAATGGTAAAATAAGATACTATTTTTTAATGTGGAAGCCAATAGATAAGAGTTTAGAATATATTGCATATTTGACATAATTTTTTAAAGTAAATTACATGTAGAGGGTTATCCTAACCATCTCCTCAAATCCTCTCCTTCGTTCTTAGATACACATTGGAAGAAATATTTGAGAAAACAGATACTGAAGTTTTTATCTTATGTTGGGACTTCTGCAATGTAAAGTAGGTTCTGTCTCCAGTTTTGTGCCAAGGAGAGAATGGTGTCCCTACAGTGACGTAGGGGCTATGGGTGCCCTCCACACAAATATTTCCCTTTATGGAACAGGCAGCATATGCCAGTAATAACTTACTTTGGCACATTAGGCTGTCTTTGTCTATGCGATAAATTCCACAAATATTTATTGAGTACCTACTAGATGAAAGGCACTAACCTGGATGCTAAGATGAAAATAGTAATCAGAATACTTCCTGTGCCCTCAAGGAATTAAAGAGTAGTAGAGGAAGACTTTTATAAACAGTCAGTTGCCTATATGGAACAGTGTGGAATTAGCAGTAGACTTAGGCATGGGGTACAGTGGGAACATAGATGGAGGAGACCTGATTGGTCAGGGATTAGTGGTGAAGGAGGGAGAGAGGATGTTCCAGGCAGAGAGAACAGCATGTGCAAAGGCCTGTAGGTAAGAAGAAGCAGTGTGTTTGGGGAACACCAAGTAGTTTAATGGTAAACTGTATATAAATATTGGGTCAAAAGCTTCTGCACAGCAAAGGAAAGATCAACAAAGTGAAGAGATATCCTACAGAATGGGAGAAAATATTTGCAAACTCTTCAATTGACAAGTGATTAATAATCAGAATATATAAGGAACTCAAGCCAATACCAAAAAAACCCCCAAATAATCCAATTTAAAAAATGGGTAAAAGATCTGAATAGACATTTTTAAAAAGAAGACATACAAATGGCTAAAAGATATATGAAAAAATTGCCCAACATCACTAATCCTCAGGGAAATACAAATCAAAACCACAATGAAATATCGTCTCACTCCAGTTAAAATGGCTATTATCAAAAAGATAGAAAATAGCAAATGCTGGCAAGGATGTAGAGAAAGGGGAATGTTCATACACTGTTGGTGGGAATGTAAGTTAGCACAGCCACTATGGAGAACAATATTGAGGCTCCTAAAAAAACTAAAAATAGAAATGCCATATGATCCAGCAATTCTATTGCTGGGTATATATCCAAAAGAAAGGAAATCAGCATGTGAAAGAGATATCTGCACTCCTATGTTTATTGCAGCACTATTCACAATAGTCAAGATAGAAAATCAACCTAAGTGTCCATAAAGAGAATGGATAAAGAATATGTGGTATGTATACACAATAGAATATTATTCAGCCATTAAAGAGATAAAATCTGTCATTTGCAATAACATGGATGGAACTGGAGGACATCATGTTAACTGAAATAAGCCAAGCACAGAAAGACAAATGTTGCATGTTCTCACTCATACGAGGAAGTTAAAATAATTGATCTCATGGAGGAAGTGAATATAGTGGTGGTTACTAGAGGCTGGGAAGGATAGTGAGGAGGGCAGATAAAGAGGGGCTGGTTAATGGGTATAAAAATAGATAGATGGAGTAAGATCTAATGTTTGTTAGAACAATAGGGTGACTTAAGAAATAATTTATTGGATAGTTCAAAATAACTGGAAGAGTAGATTTGGAATGTTCCCAACATAAAGAAATGATAAAGGTTTAAGATGATGGCTATACCAGTTACTCAGACTGACCATTACACATTGTATGTTTGTATCAAAATATCACAGGCACCCCATAAATATGTACAACTATTATATATCCATAAAACTTTTACAAAAGGAAATAACAAAGGAGAAAAGTTATAGATTTAATTATCTAACATTATATTCCACATTGCCAAGTCATCATGAACAAAATTTAAACACAAATAACAATCTGGAAAGAAAAAAAAAATTGGAGTATTTCAGCAACTTTCATGACAGCAGAGGTTATCTGTTTATTCATTGTGATATAACTAACATTTAACCCAGTGCATAGCCCACATTGATGGCTGAATGAATGAAAAAGATCAATATCCCAAAAGATGTTAAGTAGCTAATATAAATTGATAAGAAAATCTCCATAAAACCCGAATAGACAAATAGTCAAGAAAATGTGAAAAAGCATTCCACCTTAGTGTCATCCTTGGCTCTTCTCTTTTTCTTACACAGCATATCAAATCCTTTAGCAAATCTTGTTGGCTCTACCTTCAAAATAAATCCAAATCTGACTGTTCTTCCGCACACTACTGTTGCCTTTTACAAGTCATCATTATATTTTGTCTGGGCTACTACAGTAACCTCCTAACTGCTCTTTCTGCTTTCCCTCTTGCCCTTTTACAATATCAAGGTAACATTTTAAAATGTAAATCAGAATGTATCACTTTTTTGTTCAGAATCTTCCAAACTCTCCCCATCACACTCAGAATAAAATCCCAAGTCCTTTCCATGCATTATGAGATGCTACATGATCCTGCGTCTTGGCTAGCTCTCTGGTCTTACTTCCACTGTCATTCCTCTTCATTTCACCTGACCAACCACACTGGTCTTGTCATTCTTTGAACATTCCAAGCCCCCTTCTGCCCTAGGGTTTTAGGATCTTTGCAGCTGGTGTTCTCAAGGTGGAAATACTCTTTTCCCAAAGAAGTGCATGGCTTGCTCCTCTCTTGGTCAGGGGTCTGCTCAACTGTTACCTCTGCAATTAGGCCTTCCCTTACCAATTTACCTAAAATAGCCTCTCCCCCATCATTCTCTATATATTAAAATTTTTTTTCTCTCTCCTCCATTTGACTCTCTTTACCTTACTATGTACAAAACAGATAAAAAAAGAAAAAAAAACCTCCCCAGAAAATTTCTAAACACAGGCTTACCCTCAGGTCATGGAATTGGAACTCCTCCTAGGTACCAGGCAGAAGCATATATAAACTTCTTTGGTGGGATGCACTTTTAATGTTAAGCCTCAAAGAATTACCATATTTGTAGTCCTACTAAAAGGTCACAATAAAAAAAATACAGAATTCATAACGAGCCATTATGAATGAGGGCCAGCAGACCACAGACTAGTAGCAGACCCACAAATCCAGATACTGAAATTATTCAGTGCAAAAATATAAATATATTGAACATATTTTTAAAAATGGATAAAAATATTGAAAGTATGACATAGGAAGACGACTATGGAAAATGATCAGCAAATTTAAGAAATAATCAGATCTTTTAGAAAAGTATATAATGTCTATTCTAAAAAGCACATAAATACAGTTAAAGAGAGCATTAATGTATGAGAAGAATCTGAAGAATTGTATATATTGTAGCAAAAAACAAGAAAGAAATAGTAAATATGATAACAGGTTAAGAAAGACAAAGGATAGAGGAGGACTAACATGTCTAATAAGAGTTCCAGGAGGAGAGGCTAGAGAGAATGAAGGAGAGGCAATATTCAAAGAGCTGATGCTGAGAATTTTCCAGAATTGTTGAAAAGGCACTGATATTTAGGTTCAGGAAGCTCATTGAATCCCCCAGTGAAAAATGAAAAGAAATCCACACCTATGCACATTACAATGAAATAGTAGAGAGAAAGAGAAGATCTTAAAGCGAATGACAATTAGACTGATAGTCGACTTCTACCCAGAATAAATGGAAGCCAGAAGAAAATGGGATAATATAATCCAAGTGCTAAAAAAAATCATTGTAACCTAGAATTTTATACCTACAAAAACCTATTTTTCAAAAATGAGGGCAATATAAAGCATTCACAGGATTGGACAATTTACTACCTACAGATCTTCACCAAGAGGTGTTCAGAAGGACATATTTCAGTGACAAAGAATATTATCCCAGAATGAATGCTGACACATAGGGAAAAATGGTAAGCAAAAAGAATAGTAAAATGTGGGTAAATTTTAACAAACATTGAGCTATAAAGTACTAATAATACCTACTTTCTGGGGTTAAAAAATAGATACAGCGGAAATACTAGACAACAGTAGTACATAAATCAGTAAAGGGTGATCAGAGTATTAAGATACTTGAATTGTTTGGGAAAAAGATAAAGATACAGAATAATTGTACATTTTATTAAGTGAAATAGCTATTTTAAAATTTAAGAATAACCACTAAATGTTTAGGAATGTATTAATAGTATGTAATTTTTCAAGCTAATAAAAAGAGAAAAAGCAGTGAGAAAAAATTTTTAATCCTACGCTTAGTCAATCCAAAAGAAGGAAACAGAAGAGGAAAAAAGAAAAGGAAAGGAAGAAACATTAAAAATAGAATGAGTAAAATGTCTACAATAAGATGGAAAAAAAGTGAAATCAAATTATATCAGTAATCACAAAGCCTGTATGTGAACTAAACACCCCACTTATGAGACAGATTGTAAAGGTGGATATTTAAAAATCCGTCTATGTTCTTTTTATAGAAAATATCTTAAATATAAGGATGCAGAAAGCAAGAAGTCAAACAATTTTTTTAAATGAATAATATAAATAGAAAGCTGATGTGGCTATATTAATATCAGGTAAGAATCCTTTTTTGGCAGAAAGCATATTAGTGATAAACACCATCACTTCATATTAAAGTTTCAGTTCTCTAAGAAGATATACTTCTATGCATTTAAATATCACAGCTTCCGGATATATAAAGCAAAAACTGACAAACTGCAATTGACAAACAATAATGGACAAATCAACTGTTATAGGGGAGATTTAAATTTCTCTTAGAAATTAATAAGTCAAGCAAACCAGGATATACATATGGACAACACAAATAACTAGCTTAATCTAATGAAACATGTAGAACAGTGTAGCCAACACTGAAGATTACATATACTTTATGTATAGCCTTTTAAGTACTTATGGAAATATAAAAAATTAAGAAAAACAAAATAAGCCCAAACAAAAATATATGGAAGCAAATAATAAAGGTAAATGCAGAAATTAGTAAAACAGAGGACAAAGATACCTAAAGAGGATCAACAAAAGACACATATGGTAGGGACTATCACATAGTAGGGCCAACAATTAAATATCTGTTCAGTGAATAACAAGCAACTGAAAGTATAAATGTGTGTATAAAAAGGTCTGAAAGGAAATTCACCAGTGATTAAATCTGAGTTGGGCTGTTTGGGATTAGCTCGCTTTTATTCTTTATTCTTGGTATTGTCTGAACTCCCTGTGTGTATTGCTCTTATAATTTTATGAAAACACATGATTTTAAAATCAATAAATAGATTTTTGAAGGAGTAGACTAGAGGTTGGAAGTCAGGAACTATCTTAGACACCAGTTCTGGTCAGAGGGCATGAGGAGGTGCAGTGTAAGTGTGTGGTCTTAGGAGATATGGAGGTGCTCTGCCCCTCACTACATGGATGACCTTAAGCATAATCTCTCTAAGCCTGTTCTTTTAAGTGGCAATAATAAAGCCTGTCTCAAAGAGTTACTGTGGTAGGTGGCCATGTAAAGCGCTTAATACGGTGCCTGATACTGCAGATGCTGGGTAGTCATTTTCCTTCCCCTGCTTGAGGGGTTAGCATGAGGGAGATACCTGTCTCCATTTCTAAGGAATGTGCCCAGCGTGGAAGGCAAATTTGATCAGTCTGGAATATGAAACTGGATGAAAGCTTAATATGTGAAATTACATTTGTGCCCTCCCAAAGAACCAAGAAAATTAAGAAATGAACCAAGTAACTCATCATATTTATTACATGTAAGAATGAAGGTGCAGTATTATCATTTCCTTGTGATAGTCATATCTAATAGTTCTAAAACCAATTCACAGTATTCTTGTCAGACTTATTTTATGAGACATTTAACCATTGCTAAATTAAATTTCATGAGGAAATATGCCTATATAACTTCTCTGGAGTTACAGAGATAGAAATCTGACCCATCATTTCTATTTTCATGGAAAACCATTTAGCAGAACTTTGTTCCAGTAGAAGTGTTTATTAAGTTGTAAGCCTAACACAGTTCATTGCCTGTGTGCATTTCCACACGGACATTTTTCTCAGTGCAGATTTGCTCAGTTCATTACTACTGACAGCAGATGGTAGCACTTTCACATGAATTTACCTCCTGAATCGATCTAAGAAATGTCACTAAAAGGATCCCAATAGTTTTGATGTTCTTCCATCTCTGAAAAGGGTACGTTAAACAAATAAGGAGTAGAGTTTAGATTTTTTAAAAAACTCTAACACATAATTCCTAAACCAACTAATGACTGCTTTCATCTTTGATTCTGGCTGTCTGAAGGAAAAACGGTAGAAAATACAGATAATCTTTCTTGATAGCATAAGCCTTACAAAATCTCCATTGGAAAATAATGGCTTTTGGAGAATATTATCCACATTGATTGTCTGCACCGTTAACATGCCTCAAATTACTTGTAAATTCTCTACTCTACTTTCCGTGAATACAAATTGCTGGGCTTGCAGAATCAGCTGATTGAATGTGACTGAAAAAATAGTATTGGCTCAGGTTACTATGCTAACTTTGAATTCTGTGATTTCTGTGGCATTAAGATCTCCACAAGATTAACCACATTTTTCACTTACAGACCTATTGCCTTGATTTAGGCTTAAATCAATTTAAAATTATCAGAAGATTTAATGTTTGATAAATGAGTGAATGATATAATATATGAATTCTAGTCACATAAAGGAAACTTGTTATTTTTCTATATCATATGATCATTATTGCATTCTTCATAACTCAAGGGTTTATATTCAGTAGTCCTATATATTTAGAAACAAGGATTTATTTAGAATATTCTAAAAATTAATTTTCCATTTGTGTTTGAAAAGTAATTAATGATTTGGCTAATTTCGCCACAACTAAAAGAAACTGATACATTTTAGAAAGCATTGAGTGTTGAAGCATGTACAATTTAACCGTGTAAATTAATTATGGATGCTTCTGACACATTGCTAGAAGAGTGCTCATGATTAACAACATACTTAAAGGATTTGCTTCACAACAAGAAAAAGCTTTTGGGTTTCACATGCTCTCAAAAACATGCTTACTAATATTCTAACAACAGAGGCACAACTTAATACTGACCTTTTTTTTTTTTTTTTTTGAAACAGAGTCTTACTCTGTTGCCCAGGCTGAGTGCAGTGGCACAATCTCCACTTACTGCTACCTCTGCCTTCTGGGTTCAAGCGATTCTCCTGCCTCAGCCTCCCAAGTATCTGGGACTACAGGCGCCTGCCACCACACCCAGCTAATTTTTGTACTTTTAGTAGAGACAGGTTTTTGCCATGTTAGCCAGGCTGGTCTTGAACTCCTGGCCTCAAGTGATCTGCCTACCTCAGCCTCCCAAAGTGCTGGGATTACAGGTGTGAGCCACCATGCTCGGCCAATCTGACTTAATTCTGCTAAAAGATAGCAACTTTGGGCCAGGTACGGGGGCTTATGCCTATAATCCCAGCACTTTGGGAGATTAAGGTGGAAGGATCGATGAGTTCAGAGTTCAAGACTAGTCTGGCAACATAGTGAGACTTTATCTCTTAAAAAAAAAAAAAGAAAAAAAGAAAAAAAATTATTTAAAAAATAAAATACAGCAACTTTGTTCAATATGCTTTCATTTCTTTCCCCTTCCTTTGTACCATTATTGTCATGTATGTTACATTTATGTTATAAACTCAACACTAGAGTGTTCATGATTTTTGCTTATATAATCTTATGTCTTTTTTAAAAAATTAAGAAAAGAGAAAGTACTTAGTCTTTTTTATTCACCATTTATGACACTTTTCATTTTTCCCTGTAGATTTGAGTTACACTCTGGTATTATTTCCTGAAGGACTTTTTTTAGTATATCTTATAAGGCAAATCTGCTAGCAAGGAATTCTCTCAGTCTGTTTCCCTGGGAATATATTTATATTACTTTCATTTCTGAAGAATGTAGTAATTCTTGGTTGACAGTTAAGGTTTTTTCCCTCATTACTCTGAATATGTCATTCTGCTCCTATCTGGACTGATAAGAAGTCAGCTGTTTTTGAATTGTTATTCCTCTTTATGTGATGAGTCCTAAAGGACTCTCTTGCTGTTTTTAAGATTTTCTCCTTGTCTTTGGCTGTCAGCTATTGGACTATGATGTGTCTAGGTGTGGGTTTTTTTATATTTCTCCTTAGAGTTTGTTGAGCTTCTGGGATCTGTAGATTAATGTATTTCATCAAAGTTTGAAATTTTTAGCCAATATTTCTTCAGCTATTTTGCCTGCCCTTTTCTCTCCTTCTCTTTTTCAGATTGCGATTATCTGTATTCTGGTACAGTTGATGTTATCCCACAGATGTCTAAGGCTCATTTTTCTTCAATTTTTTTTCTCTTTTCTTCACATTGAATACTTTCTATTAATATACTTTCAAATCCACTAATTCTTTCTACTGCTGTCTCATATTTACTATTGAGTCCATCTAGTGAATTTTTTATTTCTGGTATTGTACTTTTCAACTCTAGAATTTCTATTTAGTTCTTTTTATAGTTTGTATTCCTCTCTTGAGATTAGCTATTTGCAGAGCCATTGTCATAATTTTTCTGTTTTAATTCTAGTTTTCTTTAATTCACTGAACATATTTATAATAGCTGCTTTGAATTATTTGTAAATCCAACATGTGAGTCTACACTCAGAGTCAGTTTTTAATAATGAATTTTCCCCCTGGTATGAACCACACTTTTTGGTTTCTTTGCATGTCACATAAATTCCTTTGAAAACTAGACATTTTAGATAATATATTGCAGCAATTCTGGATTCCAATATTTTTTCCTGAGGGTTGTCTTTTTCTTGTTGTTGCTGTTGTTTTTGTTTGGTTTAGTAATTTTCCTAGGCTTTATCTGCAGATTTTTTTTCCCTGTAAGTGTGGCCACTGATGTCTTTGCTACTGGTTTTTTAATTCTTATTTTTATTTTTTAGACTGCCTTCCTCAGGGTTATCCAGCTATGTCTGTAAAGCTTGCAGGTTGGCCAATGATTGGACAGAAATTATGCTCAAATACCTCAAGCCTATAATGCTTTTTTCTTTTGCCAATGGATGTGTACGTGGATTGGGAACACGCTAAAAACTCAAGTAGTATTCATATTGGCCTTAGCTCTTACTTCCTATCAGGCCTTCTTGTGACTCCACTGAACATCCCCTTCCCATCAGCTAGTGATGCCTGGAGAACTTATCTACCCCTTCTGTGGCTGTCTTATTTCCAGAATGTCCCCATTAAATTACTGGTAGTTTGCTGCTTGCCTCAACTGGGACTGCAACCTCTGGCTAGCAGAGCTGCAGCTTTTTTCTTTTCATTTAGTACCTATTTTGCTATTTTTATTGACAGTGCTGCTGAGCAATAGTTTTAGCTATCTGTTGGAAATCAGGCCAGCCCCTCTGGCTACACAGTTATTGGCTCTTATGGCCAGATTGCTCTGGTAAAACTTCTGTTGATGGAGTGTCTGGGGACATTGGGGAAGAGGAGGAGGGGATATGGAAGTACTTCCAGGCAAGAAGGCTTCAGATTCCCTCTGTTTCTAACTTGAAGTTTAGCAGATTATCATGAACTAAACACGTCTCAGATTTTATATTTGCCCTTGGTTGATTTCCAGGACCCAAAAATGGTTAGTTTTTGACAATTTTGTTCATTTTTATATTTAATTTCTGGGGAGAGGATTTGCTGACCTCTTTATTCTATCACAGCTGGAAGTCCACTTCTGTTGTTATTAATTTATAAAATTCTTCTAAAAGATTACATATCTTATAATTCCTATTTTAAGCTGATCAGCATATTATAGGCTTGATTCTTTTGAACCAAAAGCATTTTGCCAAAACAATATAATTTTTATTTTAAAATCCAATTTATTAATAAATTTAAACTTTTAATTTTTAAAGACCATCATTCATTTTAATATATTCTATTTAATTATATAAATATAAGGTCTCAGTATAGTAAAGGATAAAGAATTTTTTAAAGATGGCCAAACCTGCATTAAAGAAATGCTTAAGCTATTCTAAAAGCTCTTCAAAGGCATGAAAGTCTCAATTATTTTAAAAAGTGTTTTAAATGACATTGCCATGCATTTTATTCTATTAGAACATAACCTTAAATGCTAATATGACTGTTTTATGTTCTTTGAGGAAAAATGAATATTAAAATGTTGTAGATTACTGAAGTGTTTTTGAAGTACCTAAACTTTTATTTTAATTTAAATTCATTTAAATTATTTTTCATTAATTTGGTTTTAAACCTGAATACAAATATAGTGATAGTTCTAGTTGCCATATAGACCTAGACCTTTTACTAATTCAGACCTTTCTTCCTTTCACTTATAAACAGTTGTCAAATATTCCTAAACACTTAGATACTGGTCAGTGATGCTTTTAATATGCTACTTAATTTACAGGAACGTCCTATTTTTAGATTGAAATTTGGCTTTATTATAGGGTACCATAAGACTACTTTCTGAATGTCTGGCTGTTATTCTTTTCTGTTTAGATATTAATGGGTTAAATACTAATAGCCAACTAAGTGTCTGCTATGTGTCAGGTACTGTTCTATGTACTTCTGTGGTATTATCTCATTGAAGGGTCACAGTCAATCTCTGAGACAGATACTATCATTAGCCACAGTTACCAGATGAGGAAACAGAGACGTAAAATGGTTAAGTGACTTTCCCAATAGCTCACAGCTACCAAGTGGTAGAGCAGGACTTGATCTCAAACAGTCTTAACCATAGAGCTCATGCATGTGCTTACCCACTTGCTATGTGGAATGAAAAAAAGATGACTTATAGAAGTAAAGTCCATGTCTTTACAAAGCAGCATCAAATGAGCAGAGCTGCAGTGTGCCATGGTCCTAAGACTCCTCTAAGAAAATGGTCCCCTGAACTGTAAGTGCCTATCCACCTCTTAGATAAGAAAGAGATGCCAAAGGGAAAGTGAGTCTTGGAGAGAGTGGAGGCTGCGTGATTGAACTGATCCTCCCTATTAGGAGTGTTTCCGTCTAGTGGAAATTTGTAACTGTAGGTTTCATTTCATTAAAGTCAACATGTACTTTACATCAATAAGATTGGATTATACCTCTTTATTCCTTCCATTGGCAACTATGTAAGTCATCCCAAAAGAATTTAGACTACATTTATCTTTTTTAAATCCCAGCTTTCTAAACAGTCATTGTTTTAGTCCAGGATAATTCTAAATTTTTTTGCATTTTTCCTGCATATTTTCTATGCTCATTTCCCCCATAGGGTCATCTGCCCCCACATTCTGTTCCCAAATCTCTGCATGGTTGTTTTTTTCCTTGTCGTTCTGATCTTTGATTAAGTTTCACCTTATTTTAGTCCATTTAGGCTGTCATAACAAAAATACCATAGACTGGGTGGCTCAAGAACCAACACTTATTTCTCCCAGTTCTGAAGGCTACAGGATCCAGGATGAGGGCACTGGAAGATCCAGTGTCTGGTGAGGACCCGTTTCCTATTTCATAGATGCCATCTTCTCACTGTATCCCCACATGATAGGAAAAGAGTGAGAGTTACACCTCTTAGGGTGTAACCCTAAGAGGGATACACACATTCAGTCCATTGTATTACCTCTTCCTTCAGGCCTTCCCTTTCCAAGTCTAATGTCACCACAATCCCTCCAGAATCATGTTACCCTGTTGTGTTTCCTTTGTAGGGCTTATAATTATCTGGATTATCTTATTTATTCGTTCTGTGTGTTTATTGGCTGTCTCCTGCACTGAAATCTAAGTTCCATGGGATCAGGAACATTGTTTATCTAAGAGATGCAGTGGTCTCTATAACTATAGCTAGAAGTATTCTGGCAGACACATAAAAAAGATGATTGATTAATATATGTTGAATTGCTAAATATTAGTTTAAGGCAGGTAAGGGAAACCAGATTCAAGTTGGACAGGAGGACTTGGCATAGGCCCAACACATCAGGGCTTTGAGCCCAGGGCCCAGTTAGGGATGGGAATGAAGGTTGGGAAGAGAGCTGTAGAGAGGAAGCTGATGCCTTGCTGGAAGAATCAGGCGACTGGTCAGAGTCACCTGGAGATGGCACTCAGGGAGAAACAAATGCCAGGTGGTGCTAAAAATGCCAGATACATGCAATAACCTATCACTAGTGGATAACTCATCCCTCACCACCACCACCCCAAATCTCCATACCCAGTGTCACCAATACAAGAGGAATTGTCCCTTCCAGTTCTTGTGAGTGGATATGTGCATAAGCATACAGACATGAATGTTTGGAGCTGAGGGGTAGAGGCAGCAAGGACAGCCACATAATTCATCCCATCAACAGCTCTGAGTTCAGCTTCCCCTTGGGTTGGCTGAGAGAAGAAGCCAAGAGAAGAAACTAGGCATCCCCTAGTCTAAATCCAGCCTACAAGCCTGTTTTACTTGTCCCACTCCATGTTTAAAAATAAATTATGCCAACACTTAAATGTAGGAGGTTTAACATAAACTTCAGCTTTTCTAGGTTAGTTTCACAAATAGGGAGGTCTGGCATGCTGAACCTGCATTCCCACATGGGACAGTTGGCTGGAGCAGAGTAGCCAGCATGGCCTTGGATGGGTGCACTCGGCAGTTTCTCACGGGCCCCGTCATCTGCTGGTGTATTTAGCTGGCATTATCCCCTTAGGTCACCTGCTTTGTCTTCATAGGTATTTGAGTTTGCAGTGTTGGTATAATGGTTAATCCACAATACAAATAATCAATAAATGTATCATCAATAATAGTGTTTTTGTTGGTAGAACTTGTGCACAGATTACCCACTACATAGAAACCTCCTAGGGCTCCCCATTGCTTGCCAAATGATGTCCACGTCCCTAACTTGGGTATGGTCTGACCTATATCTTATATCCAATTACTACCTTATAAAAGAAACAGAGTTACATTTCAGGCTTTTAACTTATAAAAACAGCCCTGTAGGCTTGGGAGAGACAGAAGGAGAGAAATGAGGAAAAAGAAAAACAAAAACTCAGAGACGGAAAGAGAGAGAGAGACAAACAGAAGTAGAACAATTTAAATAGTGCAGGCCATCTCCTCCCATCCCTGGTTCTACTCGTGGAACATGTGCCCACTGGCACTGGATACATGTAGGCTTGAAACAACATGTTGACAAAATTTGTGTAAAGAAATATGCAAATGATTTTGAGTCTCTTACCATTGACAAAGAGGTGAATAAAATGAATTGTTTAGGTTGTCAAACTACTGAGCTTTGTGAACATCCTTGAAGAAAAACTGAAGAATAATGATAGGCCAAAGAGAAACACTGGCCAACAGAGAGGGAACTGATAAAATGCAACTACAGTTTATATTGTGTAAACAAAAATGGGTGCCCTGCTATACTCGACCATACTGCTTTATCAATGAATAGTCCTTTCTCACCAACTTCTTCTGATGTTTGGATTATAAATTGTTTTTAAAAATAGAAAATAAACCTGTATATTAATTCAATAACTTGGAATTTGAGACAAACCTTTATTTTAAAGGAGTAAACCAGATAAATTATTTTAGCCTTTTCAAAGTAACTCACACTGATCCTGGACCAATTCTGATTCTTACAGGAACATCCAATACTTGGGCAACCCTTTTTTGTACTTCATCCCTGCAAGACGAATGAATTCATGACTCCTGTATTAAAGAATTCTCAGAAAATCAATAAGTAAGAAACACCATCAAGATACATTGGCTTCTACTCTGATTTTAAAAGTGTAAATCTTTTTATGTGACTCTAAATGCTAGGCTAAAAAAGAAATATTAATAATAATAATGGCTAACACAATGATTTTTAGGATATGCTAGATGCTGTTCTAAGAGTTTTAGATACAGTAAGACATTGGATTTTTGCAGCATTCCTATGTGCTAAGTACTATTATTTTGCCCAATTTACAGAGGAGGAAGTTACAGAACAGAGGAGTTAAGCCACTCAAACAAGGTCACACAGCTAGTTAAGTGGTGGGATTTGAATCTAAGCATTTTGGCCTCAGAACCATGCTCTTAATCACTGCACTCTGCTACCTTAGTAAGTGCTGTAAACTGTAAGGGTAAAATTTGAATCATCAAGGGAAGTCAGGAGCCAGTACCTTACCTCATTCTTCAACTACCCTAATGAGGGATCCTTACAGGCTCTCTGGACCTTAAATTCTTGTCAAGCAATGGGGCTGGCATTCAGAAATGCTGAGATTCCAGGTGGTAGGTACAAATCTTTGAAGAAAGCCTCACTTTTGTTATTGTTGGTGACCAACTGATGTTCTACCATTCATCCAAAAACTACAATGGAAACGTTAGCATGGCCTGTATTTCACTTGTTTCCTAGGAATGTCAACTATATCACATCATGGCTGAGCATTGTAGGGCCAGTTGTTGGGCTGAATCTACCTCTGAGTTATGCCAAAGCAACGTCTCAGGATGAACGAAATGTCCCTTAACAAGGTAAAAGAAAAGCCTGGATTTAATGTTTTGCCGTTACAAAGATCAATGTCTCCATTGCATTTAGACTCATCCCACCAAATGCAAAATTTGCTTTCATCTTTAGTGGGCAAACCCTGACTTAATTTTTAGTTTTCCAATCAGTCCCCTACCAAGTTATTTAGGACAGGGATCCCCAAATCCCAGGCCATGGACCGGAACCAGGCCTCACAGCAGGAGGTGAGCGGCAGCTGGGTGGGCAAGCAAGCGAGCATTACCACCTGAGCTCTTCCTCCTATCAGATCAGCTGCAGCATTGGATCTGCATAGGAATGTGAACCCTATTGTGAACTGCGCATCTGAGGGACCTAGGTTGCGCGCTCCTTATGAGATTCTAACCAATGCCTGATGATCTGAGGTGGAACAGTTTCATCCTGAAACCATCTCCCATTCGGTCTGTGAAAATGGTTTTCCCTGAAACTGGTGCCTGGTGCCAAAAAGGTTGGGGGCCACCAATTCAGGAAATATTTTACTTTGCTGTAAGTAGCATGCACTCAGTGACAGGAATGGATAGTTTTATTTTAGTACTGATATTCTTAAATAAGTCTTTACTGCTCAGTTATTTTTCTTTTATTCTCTTGGCTTTTGTTTTATGTTCTTCAGATTCTTCTATTGAGTTTAGGAATTGCGGCACGAAGAATGCCAAGAGTTTACCTGGCCAGCCCTGGCTTTAATAGGACTGATACCATGGAATATTTCATCTCACCAAGATGTGACATGGATTATTTTTCCCTTGGACACAAATGTCTACAGCAACTGGTGTTTGATAGGCTGAATGTTTAGAAGAAACACTTCAAAGGGATACATCATGGCCAGGCATGGTGGCTCACACCTGTAATCCAAGCACTTTGGGAGGCCAAGGTGGGAGCATCACTTGATCCTGGGAGTTCGAGACCAGCCTGGGCAACATGGTGAAACCCTGTCGGTACAAAAAAATACAAAAATTTGCCTGTTTATGGTGGTGTGTTCCTGTAGTCCCAGCTCCCCAGGAGGCTGAGGTGGGAGGTTGGCTTTAACCCAGGAGGCAGAGGTTGCAGTGAGCTGAGACTGTGCCACTGCAGTCCAGCCTGGGTGACAGAGCCAGACACTGTCTCGGGGAAAAAAAAAAAAAAAAAAAGACACATCACTATAAATAGCAAAAAAACAAATCTAACTTATTAATACTAGGAATACCAACATTATTAGGGCACTTGCAGGTTATTCTTTTCTAGGCCAAGTACTTCACTTCCATTTGTCTGACATGGAGATTGAGGGAGAAATGTATTTGTGTGTTCATTTTAATGTAAGATATATAAAAATTAAATTACTGGATTTACCTGTCCCTGAAACTGGTGTTATAAACATGACCTATCTTAAGTGATTTTCCCACAATCAAACTCAGGAACAATAGATTATTTCTGTTTTACTCCAAAAGAGAGAGAGAGAGTGAGTGTGAGTGTGTGTGTGTGTGTGTGTGTATGTGTGGGTGTTTGTGTAGATAGTTGTAAAACAAAGAAAAAACACAATATTTTACTGTGAGATAATATGTTTTACCAGCAAAGTGTGGCATAGTAATTAGAAGTTTTCTAAAAAGCTATAGGAGATATTTAAACATTAAAATTTCTTTTTGACCTATAGTAATAAAACAATGGTCATTTTACCCCTCTGCTTCTCAACCCCACAGCTGCTCTGCTGTACTCTTTGAGGGCTCTTGAGCGAGTCTTCATGTCCCTGAGACTTATTTTCCTCATCTTTAATTTGAAACTAACAAGCTACCTCATAGGGTTGCTGTGAGAACCACATGAGATCATTAATGCATGATAAGATATTGTAAAGTATTATACGAATATTCATTAAATGCTCACCTTTCTTGTATATAATTGGTATTCACTAAGGCTGTAAATAAGTTTCATAGCCAGTTAAGTATTAAGATAAACCTAACCTGGAACAATTTTTTTTTTGGTTGCTTGTTTTGTTTTTTGCTTTCATTTGCTAGGAGCTGAAACGAAGATTAAAATGTCATTGGCTTTTTAGAGAGTCTAGATTAGTGTGTCTTTGAATGAGGGATATACTTAAAATCACCTGAGGATCGTTTACAGCTACAGATGCTGGGGCCACCTGACACAGTCTCTCTGGGGGTGATTCTGCTCTGGAGAACCTCTGGTCTGGATATACCTTTATTGTGACATTGATTTGTATTGTTTTGCTCTACTGACAGGCCTTTTCCAATCCATACAAGCTGAACTTGCTTCCTAATGTTTGTCTAGGCCTTACATGGATAGTAAGGAAGCTTAGGAGACATGTACACAAGGCAGCCCACTTGTAGGAAACTGCTTCAGGTGAGGACATCATTCACCAGTGGATCACCGAGCACCGTGACAGCACCCTCAGTCCACGTCTGCAGATTAAGAGCTGAACTCTCACAGAGAAAGTGGAAGTAGAGAAAGGGTTAATTCAAACTGCTAGAAAAGCTAAAAGTAAATTTTAAAATGCTGAGCTGCCCATATTCATGCTAGGATGAGAGCCGGCTTAAATGCTTGCTGGGCATTTTGGTATTTACCACTTAGCATGTTTTCAACTTCTGTGAGGGATTTTCCCCCCAATCTCCCTAATGTAAACACAGATTTCTCAGCAAGTCATTTCTCAAGCCATGTCATTTCTAGTGTAAAATAAATTATAATAATGTGTCATCTGAATGGTGTTCTTGTCTGCAAACATTAGTTATCCTTTGCTAACAGATTCTGAGATGAGAGTCTATCAGTTTGGAGCCAATGTTTAGTTTTTTTTAAAAAAAGTTAAAAATACAACTTTTTCTCTGATCAACAAAGACCTAAAAATTCATCAGTGGCAGAAAAAAGTTCCAAGGAGCTCCTGTAGACTGGGGAGGCCTTTCTTCCCAGATAGATCCATCTCCTCAAGCAGCTTGATTTCTTTCTAGAATTTTTTTCACTTAAAAAACTTCTAATTTTTGGTTGATAACAATTTCCATTTTTATAAATGCAGTTATGCTAACAGAATGTTATCCTGACAGTTATTAAACATTAGAAGATATTTGGTTTTGTTGAAGTAACTGTTCTTTCTCGGCAATATGAGGATTTTTTCTCCCTGCTTCCTCAAATAATGTACAACATCTATCAGAAATAAGGCTGGGTAAAGTCGCTTCCAGCTCACCTCCTAAATTCTGCTTCTGTGTGACCTTGGAAAAATTTCTTCACCTCTGTGGTCCTCAGTTTCTTTATTTGTAAAATAGGGAAATTCAGCTATGTGTCTTTTGCGACAACCGTGAATTTTTAGGTCTGTGAAATAGAAGTCCAGAGATCTAAACTGTGAGGCTGGTTAACTGCTAGCTGTGTGACTTGGGCCAATTTTCTTATTTCCTTCTTAAACTATTTCTGAAAAATAAAGCCCACAGTATCTATGCTGCTTACCTGACAAGGGCATAGAGAAGATCAAAATGATACATAAAACTGAATGTGCTTTAACCAAGGCAGTGAGACATGGAGTGAGGGGTGACAGTGGATAATGACCTGCTCCTTCAGCGACACTAGCATCCCTACTCCTCTCCACCTCATTGTATGTCTGAGCCCTCCCCAGTGCCAAGCGCTCTCTGATCTGGGGAGTCTTTTCCTTCACACCCTTAGCTGACTGTTGCTTATGCTGGTGCCCACCTGGAAGTGCTTCCTTCCCCACAGGTCTACCCAATTCCCACCCTGGTGTTGGTGATTCACTGTCACAAAGCCACCTCTGACCACCACAGACCCCAATCAGTGCTCCCTTCATTACTCACCATCCTTAGTCACTATGAGCTTTTAGCTGCCTCTCTTCCGCTCTAATTTCTCCCCAACTTGATAAGTATTAATTAAGTCATTTCAGGTGTTGGCCACTGTCCTTGATTTGCTGTGTTGCAGCATACACAGAAGAATGTCTGTGTGTGCCACCTAAGTAGAAAGGCTCTTGGGTTGGGAATTTGAGAGGTGGGAAAACTCTTTGAGGGACCAGTGGAGGGAGCAGTGAGGGGAGCAGAGGCTGTGTTGCTCAGCAGGTACTAGCCTACGAGCTAGAGGTTAAAAAAACAAAATTCCCCTTCCCCCCAACAAAGGCTTATTAAAATCAAGAGAAAAAAGGCCAGAACTGGGTTTTTGCATGTATTTCTCCTATGATAGGTATAGTGGTTTTTATTCATACTCCCAAAATATTAGGAAATAGAGCTCTGCAATGTCAAAATCAGCTCTTACATAATCCAGAGATATTCCAGTGAGGTTTTTTTAGGGTTAAAATTTAAGAATGAGAATATGAAAATATTCACTTAAGCAGATTTCCTCTTACATACTGAATCCTAGGCCAGGTGCCACAGATAGCAAATGGGGAGACATAAGAATGCCATAGTCCAGTGGAGAGGACACACAAGAGGAAGCTTCAGGAACAGTAGGCTGCATGCTGTGGGCAAGCACATGCCAAGGAAGGCTTTGCAGAAGAGGAATGTGAGTGGAGTCTCGAAAACCTTATGACTTAGCCAGGTCAAGAGTGAAGGAAGAATCTTGAAGGTGCTTGTAGGGAAGTGGTGAAGAATCAAGCTGGCTAGAGCAGGACTGGGGCCAGCTCGGGAAGAGTCTTTACTGTCACACTGAGAATTTGTATTTGGCCCGAAAACCACAGCCACTGCTGGGATTCAAATAGAAAAGTTAAAGTGATCACATTTGCGTTTAAGAAAGAACCTGTATTTTTAAATGGCTGCTGCATATAACTAATCATCCATACACTTTGTCAGGTTTCGTTTTGTTTTGTTTTTACTGCAGTGTCTTAGCCACAGGATTTAGAAGGTTGAGGAGCACAGCAGGGGCTGAGATTGTGCCAAAGACACTTCAGTTTTTACCTAGGGTCTTCCAAAACAAAACCTGCCAGTGTCCTGAAAAGCCTTGAATTCTGACTACTGAGTTACCTGGGGCAAGTCACTGCACCTCTCTGGGCCTCTGTTTTCTGATATATTAACATAAGAAAGTGTATTTGATTGAGTAAAATCAATTTATTGTTTTGTAACAAGCTTTTTTTTTTTTTTTTTTTGAAATAAGGTCTTACTCTGTTGCCTAGGCTGGAGTGCAATGGCTTGATCTTGACTCACTCCAGCCTGACCTCCTGGGCTCAAGGGATCCTCTCATTGCAGTCTCCTGAGTAGCTAGGACTACAGGCGCATGCCACCACGCCTGGTTAATTTTGCTTATTTTTTGTAGAGATGAGGTCTCACTATGTTGCCCAGACTGTACTTGAACCCCTAGGCTCAAGAGATCCTCCTATCTCAGCCTCCCAAAGTACTGGGATTACACAGGTGTGAGCCGCTATGCCCAGCCAGTTTTTTTTTTTTTTTAATGAAATAGAATACATAAAAAAGAAAATATCAAAGTGCACTACACATAGTAAGGGCATTATTGTTTTGTGAAACTTTGGTTTCAACTATATGTTTTATATATATATTTATATATATATATATACACACACATATTTTATATATATACACACACATATATTTTATATATATATGAAATCTGTGTGTGTGTGTGTCCACACACGCACACATGCACGTGTGCACTGGGTTGTAACATAGACTGTATTTCTAGTGCCAGAAAATAGAAATCTGAAAACTGATGGACAAATAAGCTTCCTTCCTATTCTAAGACTTGATTCTCCTTATGCTGCTGACCAGTAAGTTGCTGAAGGCTATTCTATTAATAGAAGGGTATAGGAAGTACTTAACAATTATTGTTTCTGCGGCACTTCATGTGCACAAAGGTGTTTGAAGCTACTCCTCTGGATTTTTACAGGGCTTCTCTATGGAAGCATTTTCACATTTTTATTCCTAAATCTGGTAGTTCTTTACAGTAATCCTGTGATCTCAAGCCCTTGCTTTAACTTTTGTATTGTTAGTAGTGACATCTAGTGGTTCTGTTGCAAGTATCTTGCATTCTAGACCATTGGAGCTGAAAGTGATTTTAGTGACCACCAGGTCTCATTTTGTAAATTATTAAAAATAAACTGAAAACTCACATGTATTCCTACATTCAAATCAACTCTATATAATAATAAATAAAACCTATAGCTGTGTAATGCTTTCTTGGATTACTTTGAAGCTTTTCAAATACCCAGAAGTCACTGTTGGTTATAACCATGAGGCAGAAATTTAACAAAGCATGCCCTGATAAATTAAAAGGAAATCATAGTTCAGTATAGCTACAGCCTTTGGTGCATTGTTATTTACAGGTACATGCCAGAACCTCAGGCTTTCGCATGGTGCCTGGTGTTTGGTAGCACTCACTAAATCTTTGTTGAATGTTTGAATATGTGGGTGATCACGAAGCCCTGGAGAAGAATCACAGAAGATGTGGGACTTGAAGGACAGAGAATTTGATAAGAGGCTAGAAAGCTAAGCTTTTAAGTTAGGGGCCATGGAAGGCCAAAAAGGGAACCATGAGTAGGACCCAACAGGGCACCTTTCAAGGTTTTAACAGAGAAAGTTGACTATGTGTAGTTGTTGGAGGACTCATTTGGAAGTGGTAAATTGGATGGATTAGAAGGAAGAGAAACTGGATAGAGGCCAAGAAGCTAATGTAGTGGTGAAGTGATGAATTTCTAAGTTAGGAAGGTGACAGAGTAAAGAGAAAGAAATCAGTGTCAGAGACATTTTGAGAACCAGAACTTGATGTGAAGAGAATGAGAAGACACTTGTTATGACTTGGTTATGGCTTACATTCTATACTGGGAGTCCCTGTCCAGGCCTGGACCGTCTTCCTTGGTCTCTGTTCTGCAGGTATCAGGGATTGAACTTGCTTTCTTCTTTCAAGAAGTGCCACCCACCCTATCCTGTGAGCAGATTTCTTTCTCCCGACCAGCAGCAGAGTGAGATGTAGTCTCCTCGTGCTGTCCTTCAGTAGCTTCAAAGAAACAGTCCCCAGGCCCTTTCCTGCTTATCCATAGGGAAATGGCTAAGTAAAATGTTGTACTATGTAGCAGTTAAGGGGAATGAATTCAATCTCCATGTATCAAAATGGGCACATCTCAAGAAACATTACTGAGTTAAAACAGAAAACAAATAGTAGATGTTAACTATGAGCTGTGTTTGAAAGTGTCCCCCCAAAAAGCATGTATGTGTTGGAAAGCTAATCACTGTTCTAACAGTTATTAAGAGGTGGGACATTTAAGAGATGATTAGGCCATGAGGACTCTGCCTTTCTGAATGAAATAATGCCATTGTTGCAGGAGTGGTTCCTTTCAAAAGGATGGGTTTGGCACCCTCTTGCTTACTCTCTCTCACCCATGTGATGCCTTCTACCATGTTATGAAGCAGTAAAAAAGGCCTCACCAGATGCAACCCCTCGATCTTGGACTTCCCAGCCTCTAGAGCTGTGAGCCAATAAAGTTCTGTTCATTTTAAATTACCCAGTCTGTAGTGTTCCATTATAGCAGCACAAAATAGACTAAGAAGTCACTATGCATGCAGCTTGATACTGTTTATATTTTAAAATGCACTAATACCATGTATTTTCTATAGGTACATATACTGCAAGTGTATGAAAAATATAAAAAGTGATCTAGAAGGAAGGACACCAAACTTGTAAAAAAGGTGATCCAAGACTTCTTTGATCACTCTTTGCAGGTATAGAGTGGGAACTTGGTTTGGAAGTAATCAAAGAAGACTTTGGCTCTTTTTGTAATGCTAGACTTAATCTATCCATAGAATGTAAAACTAGAAATTCCTTTTTAAAAAAAGATTTGAGTCCTCATAGATAATTTGGGAAACACAGAAGAATTTGAAGGAGAATATTTAAAAATCACTGAAGTGTATATCATCTAGAATAACTGCTTTTAAATTTTTTATGTATTTCCTTGTGCTAGTTTAAACATATTTAATTAGGAGCATCCTGTATATGGTTTTACATCCTGCTTTTTTCCACTTAACAATATATCTGGAACATTTTCTCATGTCATTTAATGTTCTTTGAAAATACTATTTTAAATGACTAGCTAGGATTTCTTCTATTCCAAAATGTACCAAATAATTATCCTATTGTTTGAGTTTTGGTCTTTTCTAATTCCTCACTGTTTATTTAACATACATTCATTTCAGCACTTTTTCGTGTCAGGAACTGTTCTAGGAATATAGTGGTCAGTAGGGCAGACAAAGCCCCTACCCTCAAAGAGCTTTCAGAATGTAATGCAATGAGCCAGGCGCAGTGGCTCTCCTGTAATCCCAGCACTTTGGGAGGCCGAGGTGGGCAGATCACCTGAGGTCAGGAGTTCGAGAACAGCCTGGCCAACATGGCAAAACCCTGTCTCTACTAAAAATACAAAAAAAATTAGACGGGCATGGTGGCGTGTGCCTGTAGTCCCAGCTACTCGGGAGGCTGAGGCAGGAGAATTGCTTGAACCTGGGAGGCGGAGGTTGCAGTGAGCCGAGATCGTGCCACTGCACTCCAGCTTGGAGGACAGAGCAAGACTCTGTCTCAGAAAAAAAAAAAAAAAAAAAAATGTAATGCAATGAGAAATGTAGGCAGAAACCTGTGCTCACATTTTGTTTCTTTAGGTTACGCTGTTAATGGAATTAATGGATCAAAGGATATAGGATCATGTCACTAAATTGTTCCCCAGTAAGGATATAGCAATTTACATTCCCAGCAGCAGTCTGTGTTTTATCATTTTCTTAAATCTTTGAAAATTATTTTACTTTGCTTTAATCACTGAATTAAACATTTTTCTCTTGTCTTGCTAAGATTTCGTGGATCCTCAGCTTCATTTCTTCTTAATATGTTATATTTTTCTTAGCATGTTAAATTTCATTTTCTCACCTTCTTCTTGTGACTTCATTGCCCCTACATGTCCATTGTGCTCCTATAAGAGCAGATTGTCCATGTTCTGGTTCAGTTTAACCAGAGAATATGCAGTTAAACAATTGGAATATGTATGTAATTTTAAAAAAATATTATGGAAAATTTCAAATATATGCAAAAATAGTACAATTAACCTTCACATACCTATAAATTGGAATCAACAATTACCAAGATTTTGCCATATTTGTTTCACTTAACCCTTTTTTTCTTACTGTGCTCAAATACTTTTAAGCAGTAACAGACTTTATGTCATTTGTTTTTACAGGTGCATACTGAACATTTTTATTTGATTTATTCCTTCCATTCTTAGATGTTAAAAACATCTTTGGGTTTTTGTCCTCTGCTTTTATGCCTGAGGGTGAGGCTTTGTGCCCTCTTTCTAATTTTTACAAATAGCATGGGAACTTTTCCCTAAAATGACCATAATTAGGGCAGCCATGAAATAAAAGCAGAATGTAAAATGTGCATTTTGCAGGTTCTGCAGACTGGATCATCTACAGAACTGGACAACATTGGGAACACTCATAAACCATGTCAAACCACAGTCCACTTCTCTCAGTTGTTCTCAACTGTGATTAAAATGGAAAATTATGTAATATGTGACTAAATCCTCATTGTTGTACAGGTTGAAATAGTAGCTGGCTTCTTGTGTTAGGAACTCATATACACAAATATACACACATAATTGGAAAATTCTGCATATAGTTTCAGGCGTTCCTAGTCCCTCTAAAATCCACCTATGGGCCAAACCCTATCCATCTATGGGAATCCTGGCAAATAAATTCCACTCACAATGGCTTTCTTTCATTACACACACACACACACACACACACACACACGCAGGAGGAAGATGAGTATGTTGATAAGGAGAAAAGTATTTAATTATAAACATATAAGAAAATGTGTAAAATACAGAACAAACAAAATCAACTATTGTATACTATAATTAAGATCCTGGAGAAATACTTGGAACCTATTAGGAACTTGTGGGGGAAAAGTTGTCATACTACCTGCAAACACACACGAACAGAGTACCTAAAGTTGTCAAACTGTATAGAAAAAAGAATCTTATTATAAGCTGGATAAATTCATAAAGCTATTGGAGAAAAAAGATATGACAAAATCTATTTAATACCAGTTTCCAAAGCAAGAAATGAACAAGACACGTTTTAAAAAGTAACAGTTCTCTCTACTGTTCTCAGCTGTGATTGAAATGAAAAATTATTTAAAGCATGTCTTACTTTGCCCATTATTGTACAGATTTAAACATTAGCTGGTTGCTGAAAGAGGTAAGTAAGCATTATAATACATCTGTTAGCATATACACTTTGAAATTTGGGTTTGCTCTGTATGTCCTACACTTTTAGCACAGCCAAGCAATGTAGCCCCTTGTTCTATTTATTTTTTTCTTTTTCTTTCTTTCTTTTTTTTTTTTTTTTTTTTGGAGAGGGAGTCTCACTCTGTTACCCAGGCTGGAGTGCAGTGGTGCGATCTCGGCTGACCACACCCTCTGCCTCCTGGGTTCAAGTGATTCTCCCACCTGAGCCTCCCAGGTAGCTGGGACTACAGGTGTGCGCCACCACGCCCAGCTAATTTTTTGTATTTTTAGTAGAGACAGGGTTTTGCCATGTTGGCCAGGCTGGTCTCAAACTCCTGACCTCAGGTGATCCGCCCGCCTCAGCCTCCGAAAGTGCTGGGATTACAAGCGTGAGCCACTGTGCCCGGATTTCTATTTCTAATTAACTATAATAAAAGAGTTTTAGGCCAGGCACGGTGGCTCACACCTGTAATCCCAGCACTTTGGGAGGCCAAGGCAGGTGGATCATGAGGTCAGGAGATCGAGACCAGCCTGGCCAACACAGTGAAACCCCATCTCTACTAAAAATACAAAAAATTAGCCGAGTGTGGTGGCGGGCGCCTGTAGTCCCAGCTACTGGGGAGGCTGAGGCAGGAGAATGGTGTGAACCCAGGAGGTGGAGCTTTCAGTGAGCTGAGATCGCGCCACTGCACTCCAGCCTGGGTGACACAGTGAGACTCCGTCTCAAAAAAAAAGTTTTAGAAGGCTAGATTTAAAAATTTCTCCCACACTGTGACTAGATTAGAGAACAGAATTCATGCCAACAATAACTTATTACCACAAATAAGCAGAGTAAAAGGAGCTGGTACTTCTGTGGCTAGATCTGACTAGTGACCTGGGGACTTTGATTTCCTCCTTACCCTCCTTACCATCAGAATTGCTGTTTGCAAGCTTCAGGTCAGCTGGAAAGCAGAGTGCATTAAGGAAGGAATTTGTGATGGTGCTCATCGCACACATCTGAGAGCTGTGTGTGAGTGGCTCCCTTGTTTTTGAAGATACACATCATATATTAGAGGCTTAAGTGACCATCTGAATGAGGTGGCGACTGGGCATGTGCATATTTGAAAATATTAGTTATTTGTCACTCATGGTTCCCTTCAAATGTGTCACTCTAAAAAACTATTTTCTTCTATGAGACAATTTATGCTTTAAAACATTTAATTGTTAAATGTTTTAATGGTTTGCTCTACACCTTCTGTGGTGACATTAGTGTGACAATAAGCTATAAAAATCCACTTCTCTTCCTCCGGTACTAACAAACATAATATCACTTTACCAAACAATAAGGACAAGATTTGTGTTAGAAACGAAGACTGCTCAGTATAACCAGCAAAGACAGTCCCCCAACTACAGTAGCATGAGAATGTGAGTTAATGCTTAAATAATCCACTGACATAGATTTTATAGGTTAAAATAAAGATTACATAAGTTACTGTTAGTGAACATTTTATTGTAATATGGTAATTTATTATCGTAGTCTCTTTTCTTGGCTTTATGCAAAGCCAATAAAGAAAAACGCTAGCTACTTTGACAACCTTCCAACAGATTCCAGGAATATTATCCACAGCGTGACCATTATGACCAATCCTACAACTAGACATTTTCCTGGAATGAAATACAGGAATCCAATACACATACAGATACACATTCGAATTTTTATAGCTGTCATATTAGAACTGTGTCTCTCAGTGCTATCAAAAAATAACATGAAAAGGCCCACATTTATCTGAGGTGTTGTGTGTTTAGACCTTCAAAATTTTTTTTCAGAACATCAGTAACTGGAGTGTTTCAATATTTTCATACAAACACACAGAAAATTTACTCCCCTTCGCAAAACAGAAAACAAAAACTCTTACTAAATACCCGGATAAATTTGTGCCTGAGTTTACTAAGTAGCTACCTGTAAGGCAGTGTTTATCGTTTTGCGATGGGGTGTTTCTGACAGGAACAATTCCATTTGGAGAATAGACTATTGTTTTGACTTGAGCTGTGCCAATTACTTGGGCAAATTTATTTATAAAATACTTAACAGCTGCCTTATTTGGGCTTCCAACTTCTAAGATGAGAGCAGTAATAACCACAAATGGAGAAAACAGGGGGTAGCTACATAAGAACTACCTGACAGATTTCTCATGGATACCCTCAAGATGGTTTCCCAGGGGAATTCTGATGTCACTGGGTTTGGGAACCACAGAACTAAGTGATCTCCTGATTCTTTTTGCTATAACAATTTCTGATTGGTTTGGGCTTTGCTAGGCAAATAAAGAGAATACAGATTAAATAACAGACTAAATTAACTTACCCATTTGTAAATTTTATATATACATATATATAAATACATTACTTTTTATTTATAAATAATTTAAGGCACACAAGAAGTTGCAACAATAGAATAGTTTGTGTATACCCTTCATCCAGCTTTCCCAAATGATAGTATCTTTCATAACCAGAGTATATTTTCAAAAGTAGGAAATTGACATTAGTCCAAAACTATTAACTACAGAATTTACTCACTGACCAATTTTTACATGTTTTTATTGTGTGTATAGTACTATGAAATTCCACTGCAAGTATTGATTTCCATAAATATCACCAAGATAAAGACACAGAAGTGTTTCATTCCCACAAAGAAACTCCCTCGTACGATCCTTCCTTTTATTGTCAGACTCTGCCCCCATTCTGAATCCCTAGTGATCACTGGTCACTTCTCCATTGCTATAATTTTGTCATTTCAAGAGTGTTATATAAATGAATCCATACCAGATACAACTTTTTGAGATAGGCTTCTGGTATCCAGCATACTGCCCTAGAAATTCATAGAAGTTGTTTTATGTAACAATCTGGCTGAATAGTGTATCATTTATGGATATACCACAGTGTATATATTGGCCCATTGAAGGGTATTTAGGTTGTTTCTATTTCTTGGCTGTCCAAATAAAGTTGCCATGAATATTTATGTACAGGTTTTTGTGTGGACACTTATTTTCATTGCTGTATTTCAGTCCTGTACCCGGGACTACAATTTCTGGCTCATGTTGTTAAGTATCACTTTTTCAGAGTGACTGTACTATTTTTCCACCAACAATGCATGAGAGATGCAGTTGCCCTCCTTTCTCACCAGTACTTGGTATTCTCAGCATCTTTAGCCAGGTTATAGTGATAACTTGTTGTGGTTTTAATTTGCATTTGCCTGATGGCTAATGATTTGATCATCTTTTCATGTGCTTATTTGCCATCTCTTTTGTGAAGAGACGTATATTTGCCCATTTTGTAATGGGATTGTGTTTTCTCACTTTTTGTTTAGAGAATTCTGTTTTAGATGTAAGTCCTTTATTGGATAAGTGTTTTGCAAATATTTTCTCCCAATCTGTGGTTTGTCTTGTCATCCTATTAACAGGATTTTTTATTTTTTTATTTTTTTTATTTTTTAAGACAGGGTCTCACTGTGTTGCTCAAGCTGAATTGCAGTGGCACAATCAGAGGTCACTGCAGCCTCAAACCCTTGGGCTCAAGCGATCCTCTGACCCTCTCAAGTACCTGGGACTAGAGGTGCACACCACCATGCCAGGCGAATTTAAATTTTTTTTGTAGAGATAGTGTAGCAGGATGAGCCGCAGACAAAACCTCCCAGACACCGAGTTGTAGAAGGAAGGGCTTTATTCAGCTGGGAGCATCGGCAAGCTACTGCCTTAAAATCTGAGCTCCTCGAGTGCACAATTTCTGTTCCTTTTAAGGGCTCACAACACTAAAGATTTCATATGAAAGGGTCGTGATTGATTGAGCAATCTAGGGGCTACGTGACCGGGGTTTCATGCACTGGTAGTCAGAGTGAAACAGAACAGGGAGTTTCACAATGTTCTTTTATACAATGCCTGGAATCTATGGATAACATTGGGTTCGAAGTCATGAGTTGATTTTTAACTACTAGGTTTAGGCCAGGAAGGCCCAGGGCTGATTTTAGGCCTGGTGCCGGGCTGCCTGTCTTTGATTTCACTTCCTTGTTTTTTCTCTTATAACAAATACTGAGTATAAAACAATATAAAACAGTATGAGAGGGTCTCTCTCTTCCCTCATTTCCCCCCTTTGAGACTCTCACTTTTTATTAGTGGGAGTTCTCACTCTTATTTTTGCTACTTATGTCTTTTCGTGCAATAGATTGATAGTGATTTTTATAGTACACTTGTGCTGAAGCATTTTGGTGAACTAAGGTAGTGATGAAGCTTTTTATCATTTGAAGAAGTACAGGTAGCAAACAAGGGAGCAGTAAGTAGGTTTCTATTACTATTGTAACTCCTATTGTAAGAGTTTTAAATCCTCTTAGTGCTGGGAACTACCTTCTAAACATGGCTTTAGGGTTGAATCTGTGCTACACTTGTATGGACATATGTGCCAGTTTTGTCATATTTCTAACTATGCCTTTTAACTACTTGCCTTTGATTATCTATGTGTAGACAGTAATTAGTAAGGTTAAATTTCTTATAGACCATTATTTCAGCTGCTAGCAAGTAGTCAAGAGCTAATTTATTTTGATAGATAGCATTTCTTATCTGAGTTTTTTGCTGGGCCAGAATAGTCAAGGCTTGACCAGTTTTATTAGTGATGATTTTTAAAACAGCTTGCAACCGTATGATTTGGTTGAGCATGTAAATGGGGGTCCAGTATCCCCATGATCTGTCTTGTGTCTAAGTGGCAGGCCTATAGTATTGTATAATTTTTTTTAGGGGGCCATTTATCATCTTTTTAATTACCTATGGCTATGCTTCGTTTTCCACGGGAAGCACAGACAGGGAAGCCTAGGAGTTCTCCTGTTTTTATGGGCAGTAGGAAGAAAGATGGTTTAATGGTGCCAATTACACAACTACCTGTCCACTGATTAGGCAGCTTAGCATGGGCTCTATGTCTACATATCCAGTATTACCTGGTGGGGGCAGTCCAGTCCCGGTGGAATTCTGGGTAGGCCTAGACAGTCTGCAACCTTGGAAATTTACTGAACGGATCTCTTTCTGTGTGGTTTGAACTCCACCGTGTAACTGTTTTTGTGGTACTATTATACAGTTTTTGTCCTAGGCAACTAAGTCATCCTACAGAATGAGTGAATTTTTTCCTTTTTCTAGCTATGCAATATTGTCCAATAATTAAGACTTTTAGAACCTAGAAATGATCAGGGTGATTCTTTTGGGCTGGGAATTCATCAGGAACTGGGTCTGTAGGCACTAATTCTTGGGCTTTTTATGGCCATTGATCTCTCATTACAGTTTTTCTACAAAAATAACATGAAGTGACATCTAGAGACTGGGCTACCTGCTCGGCTAATTGCAAAAACAAATTTTTAGTTTTTCCTGGAATCCCAGGTACTGGCACATTTAGTTCATCATAGAAAATCTGAAAGACTGGTTCTGAAGAGCGTTCTTGAACCTCTCCTTTTATTAGGATGCTTACACTAGGATCTAGTCCTTTTCCATCAATGCCTAATGTTACATATTTTCCTTTATTCCACTTTGGGTCTGAGGGGTTTGTAATTATCAATTCTAAAAGGTTGCAGCTCCCACTCGTGCAGGAGGGGCTGACTTTTCCTTTTTGGAGCTAAACAGGATCTTTCTTATCTTCTTTCTAAGTAGCCTAAATGACACAAGACCAGTATTGACATATCTCACATAAATATGATTCTTGACAGATGTACTTATTTTATGCTGTGTAACTTTTTTCCTAATCTAGAGAACTGCATCCTATCCTATGCTGTTTACTATTAATAGCGGCACAGGCATCAAATTTTAAGGTTACATTTTTGGGGACCTTTCTTTCTTCTGTTCTAGCTATTATTTTACTTGTGTCCCTTAGAGAACGACCAGTTCTTAGTCTTACTTCAAAGACTGTGATCATGGGAAGTTCAAAGGGGTCATAGCACACATTGGGCTGGTCACTTCCTGGATTACATACTTTGTACTGGGTGTTATTATACAAATAGGTTCCTTTTGGAGTTCCTAGGCATTCATAATAACTATAAAATAATAGGACTGTAGCAATCTTTTGTCCTACCTCAGTGACTTGATGTAAATACTGGGAACAGCCTTCAGTCTGAGAAAGGTCAGTTGAAGTCCTTACTGTACAACTCTAAATTTTAAGGAAAATGAGTCCCGCGATGCATTTCCTCATGCTTCGGCCGTGTGTGGACCAGTCAGCTTCCGGGTGTGACTGGGGCAGGGCTTGTCGTCTTCTTCAGAGTCACTTTGCAGGGGTTGGCGAAGCTGCTTCCATCCACGTACAGCTCCCAGTCTACTGATGTTTAAGGGTGGTCTTGGAGGTTGGGCCTACTAGAATAAACTAAGTCCAACACCTCTACACAGTTTATGTTTAACTGGGCTCTCTGATACCAGGAGTAAGATGGCAGGGTTAGGGTGTTGCAAACTTCAATCGTTATGTGGGGATTTTCACAGAGCAAGCTTTGGTATCTAGTTAGTCTAGCATTCATTAGCTAATGGTGTCCTTTGGTATTTATTAAAATCACCACAGCATGGGGGGACTTTAGGTTTTGTCTAAGAGTTAGCTTATCTGCTTCTTGTGCTAACAGGGCCGTTGCTACCAGGGCCCTTGGACATGGGGGCCAGCCTTTGGAAACCCTGTCTAGTTGTTTTGAGAGATAGGCCACTGGCTTTGGCCAGGGCCCCAAAGTCTGGGTTAAAACTCCAACTGCCATTTTTTTTTTCTTTCTGACACATAGAGTGTAAAGAGTTTTGTCAGGTCAGGTAGCCTCAGGGCTGGGACCGACATGAGTTTTTCTTTTTAACTCATGAAAAGCTCATTGCTGTTGGTTGTAATAGATGTAGTTTATCTAATCTACATTTTTATTGACTGTCATCTACTAAAATATTGACTTGAATCCTCTATTTGATTTCAAGCTTTAAATTGATCTGGTATTCCTTGCGGGGCTCTAATTGCATCTAAATAGATGTGAGAGTTGAAAGACCTATAAGGGGCTTCTCTCGCTTTATGATGTCTTATTTTTTGTTTTTCCTCTGGTTGATGAAATGCCAGGGTGAAAGGGATAGCCAAATGGACTAAAGCACAAGTGCCACTCTAGTTATTAGGCAGAGTGCCTAGTAAAGGTCCACCACAATACTACCATACATCTGCTAGGGGACGAACAAGGGCTGACTGATTGATAAGCTCTTGAAAATTCTTAAGCTCACTGCATCCCTTCAGGTCTCTAAGGAATGCTAAGTCTCTTCCTTGCTGTGACAGACACGAAGTGAACTTAGTGTTGGGAGATGGAAGCTGGATGGCCCTCAGGGGCTGACCCGCAGGGACTTCGGGATATAGCAGAGAGAGCTTGGCATGACTTTTTACTCCAGGCTATAGAGTCCCGGAAAAGAGCTACCATGCAGCCTATGCCTGGTCGACTAGAGGACCACCTTAGTGGAAGGGGGACAATCAGGGCCTCTGGCCTGCCATGTGCACAAGCATAACAATTGCTTTTGTTTAACGTGCAGATGGAATATTTGATCTATTTCAACCAGGCATTTGCATCTTGGTATGCTGTCTTAATTGCCAAAGTTTGTTTTAAGTCTTTAGCTTCTATGATCCTTTAGTAAAATGAATGTTTCCTGTAGCACCTATTTTTATTAGTTTTTAGACCAAAGAAAGCTAAACACCATTTTATATTTAATAATGCTTCTTGTATGATTTTTATACCACATAAGTTAAATTTTACCTTTATATTAGTGTTAATGTTAAACTTAATTTTAATAAAACCTTGTAGACATATTTATCCAATTTTTTATGTTTGACCATGTAAGATTTTATAGACTCTTTTTAACTTTTTATAATTTTTGTTAAAGAACAGGTTGATCCTTTAAGAAAAACCTGTTGCATTTTTAATGTCTAGTTCACAGAAAAACTGGATGACACCTTTTTAACTTTAGCTAATATGTTTACACACAGAATTTTCTTTACAATTAATGTTTTAAAACTTGCTTAAACTTTTAAAACAATTTTTTTAACTTTTTAATGTAGGTAAAAATCCACATTTTTATGCCCTTTTATAATCTTTTTTACCAAAGGTATATTTTACTTTTCTTATACACCTTGCACATAAACTGTTTTTTTAAAATAGTACTCAGGAGGCCTTATTACTTTTAAATTATACAACTTTTTTGCATAAATACTTTTTATAACTTTTTCTTTCACGACTTTTGCAGACAATTTTTCAACATGTCTTAACTTTCTGACTTATTACATTTTTTTTTTAAACAACCAGTTAATTTATTTCAGGACAAGAATTTACCATGTAACACTCTTTTTACATAAATTCTGCCTCTCCCCGTTTTTTTCCTTTTTTTTTTTTCTTTTTGAAGATAACCATTCCTTTTTTTTTTTTTTAAAGCGAACTTTCTTTATGTCTTTGAACTAGATTGTCTAAGGCCACAAGATTAGAAGTTACCATAATACATGTTACACTGTTAACTTTTAGCAAACTTCACTTTTGTTGAAAACCTTGTCAGTTTGGGATTTCAATTATCCTTTGCTATTAATAAGACTTTGTTTAGTCTAAATTAACTTAGAATTGGTATAGATGGTCTCTTTTTCTCTCTGCTGGTCTTTCCTTGCCTCTGCCAGCTGCTTATGCTGCTGTTCTCTTAACTACTGTGGTGGGGAAGGGGGTCTAAAACCAGCTGTAACTGTCTATGTATGGAAACTGGTCTGGGTGCCTTGGCTTACCAGTTACCTTGTGTCATACCTTTGAAACAAGAGACCTGTCCAGGCTTCCTTCTGATGGCCAACCTACTTCTAATGCTGGCCAGTCTATTTCACACAAAGTTCTAAGTTTTCCTGGTGTCATAGTAACACTGTAATCTCCCTTAAATCCTTTCTTGAAATTTTTCAAGATAGTTCCTAGTGGGGTGGGCTTACTTTGCACCTGACCTATGTTTGTTTGTTTTTTTTCCTGAGACAAAATACCACGCTCACACCACACACACACACCAGAAGACAAAGAACGGGTAAAGAGGGCACACACACACTGTTACCGTTTATACCAAACCAAAATCACGAAATTCAAAATCCGAGTACCAAAAAATTCAAGCCAAGTCAAAACCAAAACCACAGTATCCAGCAATTCAAGTCAAGTCAAAACCAGAACAAAAGTGCCAATGCAGGCACACCGTGGGTGATCAGGCCACGCTTCCACTCAGATGGAGTGGGGCAAGTTCCAAAGACTAGTTTTACCAAGTCAAGCCAAGTCAAAACCAGAACAAAAGTGCCAATACAGGCACACCATGGGTGATCAGGCCACGCTTCCACTCAGATGGAGTGGGGCAAGTTCCAAAAACTAGTCTTACCAAGTTTCAGATGTCTGGACTCCAAGTGCCAGTTCCTTCCCGGTTCCCGGTGTTCAGCCACTGTGTTAATCCTCCGCAGGGGCCTGCTATGTGCTGCTCTGGCGAGGCGTTCCACCGGGGCAACTGCCTACCCAGGAGCACTCTTTGGATGGCATCACTCAGGCTGGCCGGAGTCCCCCGCAGGGACGCTCCACGGGGCAGGCCTAAGTTGCCTAAGGGGCTGTCTCAGCCGTCCGTCAGTCACCTCGTTTCCTGGTCAGGGAACCAAGAAATGTAGCAGGACGAGCCGCAGACAAAACCTCTCAGAGTTGTAGAAGGAAGGGCTTTATTCAGCTGGGAGCATCGGCAAGCTACAGCCTTAAAATCTGAGCTCCTCAAGTGCACAATTTCTGTCCCTTTTAAGGGCTCACAACACTAAAGATTTCACATGAAAGGGTCGTGATTGATTGAGCAATCTAGGGGATATGTGACAGGGGTTTCATGCACTGGTACAGAACACAACAGGGAGTTTCACAATTTTTTTATACAATGCTTGGAATCTACGGATAACATCAGGTTCTAAGTCGTAAGTTGATTTTTAACTACTAGGTTTAGGCCAGGCAGGCCCAGGGCTGGTTTCAGGCCTGGTGCCGGGCTGCCTGTCTTTGATTTCACTTCCTTGTTTTTTTCTTAAAACAGGTACTGAGTATAAAACAATATAAAACAATATGAGAAGGTCTCTCTCTTCCCTCAAGAGTGTATGACTTTGCTGCCCAGGATGATCTTGAACTCCTGGCCTCAAGCTATTAATTTCTTCCCAACTCAGCCTCCCAAAGTGCTGGGATTACAGGCATGAACCACAGCGCCCAGCTTAACAGGATTTTTCAGAGAGAAAAAGTTTTTTAATTTTAATGAAATCCACCAATTTATCTATTTTTTCTTTTACGGCATGTGCTTTTGGTGTAATGTCTAAAAACTATACCTACGCCTAGGTTGTAAAGATAGTCTGTTTTCAGTTTTATAGCTTTCCATTTTACATTTAGATATATGATCCATTTTGAGTTAAGTTTGTATTACATGTAAGGTTGGGGTTCCTTTGTTTTGGTCTTTGACAAATGGAAGTCCACAACATTTATTGAAACTCTTCTTCCTCCATTGGTTTTAAGATAAATCCGTTGGCCATACTTCTGAATGTCTATTTATGGATTCCCTATCTTATTTTATTGATGTGTATTTTTGTCTCTCCTCCATGGATACATGAAGGAAAGGGCCTTGGACACAAGGCAGTGGGGAAAGGGGCTGGGGGGCCACACAGAGAAAGGAGAAGGCACTAAGATCAGGCTCAGCAGCTTCTGGATCTGAGGCGCCGGAGATTATTTATGGGTCAATCTGGCAGCCCCTGGGCCTCAGGTAGGACTGCTTAGCAGTGAAAAGGGCGTCCTGGGTGCAGCCAACAGGGTACAGCTGCAAGCCATTGTTGAAGGTGTCTTGACGTATCAGAGAAGGCAGGTAACCAGGCCACATCCCTGGGCGCCCGCGCTGTCCCACTCCCTTCCTGGTGCGCCCCGCCTCGCGGTCACAAGGGCCCCACCGCCCGGGGAGAGCTGCCCACCCCGCGCCTGACGCCCAGGGCCTGGAATCGCGCTGCAACCGCGGCCTCTTTCCCTGGTTCTGGCCAGGTGAGCGAGGCCTAGCAATCTCTCCCGCATCACAAAGGATTGGGTCAGTTAAGGCTCATCCGAAAGCATCTGTTGAGCCCCTGGGAACAGCTTAGCCAAATACTGACTGCAGCTACACGTTAGGAAACACTGGTACAAACCAACAGGCAGCCTTTCCGCCCTTGCGGAGGGAGAGACTAGCATCATCATCAAGAGATAAACCGAAGTGTGCTGGAAAACACACGAGCTCTTTAGTAAGAGCAGGCGACATGCAAGGAACCATAGTAACAGGAACAGAGGTCCTGAGGCTGGATATGGAACCCAAGTTTGAGGATGACCAACTGAGACCAGTGTTGCTGGAGCACAAAGTGCCAAGGAGAGAAATGGCAGGCTAAGGCTGGAATATGCAGGTATGAAGCGCAACCTGGGTTCTTCTGTGCCATGTGAAAGGTTCTGCTCTTGATCCTACGGAAAGTGGGCAACCAAACCAATTGTTTTCCAAAGATCCTAAACAATGTAAAGCTAGGCTTTGATCAAAGGGCTAATTAACCCATACTTACTATTTGTTAACAGGAGTTTCTTACATCAGATTTAAAGCAGAAGGCTCACAGCTTCATTTCAACCATGCCACTGTATCCATGAAAACTCTGAAACAAGTATTTGTGGACAGCAAAATCCACATGTACTCAATACCTAGCTTAAATTATCAAAACACAACCAATCTTGTCTCTACACTAAACCACTTCATTTGCTGACTAGTCTTTGAAGACATGAAGGTCTCTGACAACCTCATGAGAAGATACTGAAAACATCAGTCTTGTCGTATACCTTATCTCCCTTGCCTGGCATATACTTCCATCAACTAAATGATCCAATGCCTGTATTCTCCTAAACACATTAATGTAGACACATTACAACACAGATCCTGACACCTTTAAATAATAAACAGAGTGGGGAGCAATTTTGAGTTTACTATTTATCATCTTGGGCCCCTGTAAGATGGATACAAGAATGTGCATTTCCAAGGGTACCTAAGATAATCTATGTGCAATGAAATTTGGTAACTGAAGTGTTGCACCCGATATGGAAAATACCAAGAATAAAAAAGAAAGTATCTCACTAGAATTTCAGTGAGTTTTTGAAGTTCCCTTAAAGTTCTTAAAGTAATACTACAATACTGCACATTTATTCCAGATCTATCCCATTTTCTTATTCCACAGGATGAGGGAAACTGTGCCAGGTTACAAATGTTATTAACTCTAGAGAATCCTGAAACAACCCTGTCTTATTGTCTCCTAAAATTGGTACAGGTCCTGCGTTTGCTGGTTTAGGATAAAAAAAATAAGGGGGGGTGGTGGTGGTAATGAACATGATCTTCGTGGTGAGAACAGGGGACAGTAAGATACAAACATTTTTTGGCATATGAAAATTTATTACTACAGTGTTTTCACCATTAATATTTATGATCTTGGTCTTTCCTTCTTGCCTTTGTATAGGGCCAAAAGAGAAACATTGGCTACTTTGACAACCTTAAAGCGGACTCCAGGAATATCACCAACAGCATGACCTTTGCGACCAAATCCAGCAACCAGAACTTCATCATTTTCCTGGAATAAAATAAGAAGTTTATTTCTGGTGTTGGTGGCGATCACAAAAATACTTTCATGTGAGGAAACTCCCTTGCATCAGATAAAAATGTGAGGGAGGCCACCCCAAGAACAGAAGGTACGATAGAGTTGAAATACTCACCTCAATAAAGTTCAAGCAACCGTCATTGGGTACAAAGGCTGTGATTTTCTTGCCATTCTTGATCAGCTGGACCCTTACACACTTCCTAATGGCAGAATTTGGCTGTTTGGCTTCAACTCCTCTGAAATACAAAAGGCACAGCACTGTGAGCTGGCTTTCTGAAAAAGATTATCTTTTCATATTAACTAGAGAACTAATGAGAAACTGTTTCTATCTTTTCAATCTAACCTCAAATGGCTGAGCTGAAGTCCTGTGATGTCAACCTAGTTTTCTGCCAGTCTTAATTTCATTAGCACAATGGGGGAAATTTCTAGACCTTTTACAGTTATAAAAGTAGACTGGAGTGGCAGCGTGGGCCTGTAGTCCCAACTACTTGCGAGGCTGACGTGGGAGGATCTATGCCTAGAACGTCAAGATGGCCAGCCTGTGTGACAAGGGACCCTATCTCAAAAAAAAAAAAAGAAAAAAGAAAAAAGGTATCTGAGGTAAGAATTAGAAAGTCTGGGCCGGACACAGTGGCTCACGCCTGTAATTCCAGCACTTTCGGAGGCCGAAGCAGGCATTATCACCTGAGGTCAGGAGTTTGAGACTAGCCTGGTCAACATGGTGAAACCCCATCACTACTGAAAATACAAAATATTAGCTGGTGTGGTAGTGGGCGCCTGTAATCCCAGCTACCTGGGAGGCTGAGGCAGGAGAAATGCTTGAACCTGGGAGGCTAAGGTTGCAGGGAGTCTTGCGCTACTGCACACCAGCCTGGGTGACAGAGCTAGACTGTCTCAAAAAAAAAAAAAAAAAAAAAAAAAGTCTGGGTTAAAATGGCTCTACCATCAAATATGATAGAACTATATGAAATTATTATTTTAAAAAGTCAAAACCAGTCAAATACTGGCAGTTTCATGTCTCAATCTTAGGTGTATGACCTCAATTAATTCTGATGCAAGTCACTTCTCTTCACCTTAGTTTTATCAAGTCGATAAAGTTCAATAGCTGACACGTGCCATTTACTTATAACAACTCCCACAGTAAAGGTGTTTGTGTCCTTTACTTCATCATTGCTAGTATCTTCTCCAATTCCTTCCAGGCCAACGTTAAATTAAAACCTTAACTACCTAATTCCCAAAAACTAATTTTACCAACTTTTAAATAGAACAAACGCTTTGCAATTTTACCCCACAATGCCCAAATGAATACTACTACACAAAAACCTGCAATTACTTTCAAAACAAGAATTCGTAAGTTCATGTCTCGAATTCCTATAATAAACTAAAACTTGACGGGAGCAATGGACTTACACTTTTTCCAGCACGATTCCTTTTGCATGAGAAGCACCTCCAAAAGGGTTGGCCTTTAGGGCTGTGCCCAAATGAGCTTTCTTATACTGTTTATCATGCCACTTCTGGTCTCGTCGGTGACTACGGAGCTTCCTAGCAGTACGAAGTCCACGACACTTGCCTAAAAATTAAATATTTTAGTTCTTCCGTAAAAACACGCCATCTACGTGTTTCCCATCTTCTAAGACACTCGCCTCACCTGGAATAAACCCTTAAGCCGATTGGCTCTCGTACTATTTATTGGCCTGTGGGCCAAACATTTGGCCTTCAAGTTGCCCTGAACCGACTAATAAACGTTCGAAGAGGGCTCCGGAGAATGTGTTCTCCCGAAGGACGAGGCCCCGCTCGAATGCCCGGGAGGAAGCGCTGGCCTCCCTGCGTCCCTCGGTACCCCGACCTCGGCGGCCTCCACGCCTCATGGGCCCCTTCCGCGCCGGACCACGTGCCTCCTGGAGCGGCGCTTCCCCGGCCCTCCCCCATGGAGCCTCTCCATGGCATCCCCCGCCCTACTCTATTCGCATCCGCCCGCCCGTCCCCAAGACCCCAAGTCCCGCTTGCAGCGCCCTTAAACCGGCCACAACAGCTCACCCATCCTGTCGGCGCCACGGGCCTGAGCGAAAGAGAGAAGCACCGCAGGAAGGAGCCACAAGCCACCGCGAGCAAGCCCCGCCCAGCCAAGGACCCCGCGCCGCTGTCTGCGCCGCGCCTGACCCGAGGCTGGGGTCTCTCCTTTGAAAACGACGCGTTTGCATCACTTTCCTGAGCCAGAATCTGCGTCTTATTTAATTTGCAAGAAATTCAGAGATATCTAATTTGCATGGTTTTTTTTCCCCCTTTTTCTTTTGAATGCTGGAGACCGGAGGAACATGGACTACCAATCCCAGAATGCGTTTTATGGGACCCGCTCACCGCGCAGGCGCTCTTGCCCAAGCCACTGAGAGCGGGACGCGGGGCTAGGTCAGAGTAGGAAGGAGTCGCTGAGCTGAATCTTTGTGGAGTGGAGTGGGGCGAGAGTCCTCCGAGTAGTCTGGAAAATTAGACTTCTGAGCCTTAATTCATACTTATAAGCAGCTAGTAAATTGTAAAATATAGTGAAGCAATGTAGTGTAGTAACTAAAACCCCAAGCTTTGGAGCCAGATTGGGCCTTTAACCCTAAAGTTGCCGTTTATTTTGACTGGCGAGTCATTTACTTATAGATTTATTTATTTTTATTTTTATTTTTTTCTGAGACAGGGTCTCACTCTGTCTTCTAGGCTGTTGTGCAGTGGTGCGATCTTGGCTCACTACAACCTCCGCCTCCCGGGTTCAAGCGATTGTCCCACCTCAGCCTCCTGAGTAGCTGGGATTACAGGCTTCCACCATCACGCCTGGCTGATGTTTGTATTTTCAGTAGAGAGGGGGTTTCACCATGTTGGCCAGGCTGGTGTCGATCTCCTGACCTCGAGTGATCCGCCCGCCTCGGCCTCCCAATGTGCTGGGATTACAGGCGTGAGCCACCGCGCCTGGCCATTTAATTAACTCTTTAATACTGTTTCTCCTGTAAGATGAACTAGCTGTGAGAGGTTTCTGGGATATTGGTTCACTCAGCAAGGATGTTTAAAAATGCCTTCTATGTGCCAGACGCTGTTGTAGGTACCGGGAATATGGCGGTTAAATTAAGAGGGTGAAGGTTTCTGCTCTGATACAGTTTATATTCTAAATGTGAGAGGACAGACCAGTTAGATAGATGTAAATTAAATAATTAAATAGATGATTTTTACATACTGTAGAGCTATAGAGAAAATATAGCTGGATGGGTGATAGTGACTTGGGGATGGGGGTGGCTACTCTGGATAGGGTAGTTTAAGGTGACATCTCTGTGCAGATGTAGAATGGGCTAGTGCTTTCTAAGAACTGAAAGATCAGTGAAGAAGGGGAGCATAGTGACTGAGGAGTAGTGTGGCATTAGATGGGGTCTGAGAGTTACACAGGAACATGTGGAGCCTGTAGGCCATGGTAAAGCCTTTTTCTACTCTTCTGGTGATTTAAAGCCATTGTAAAGTTTTGAGCTTGGGAGTAGGTAGCAAAATAAGATTTATATTTTTATGGGGTTACTCTGGCTGTTGAGAGGAGAAAAAGACATGAATCTGGGAGGCCACTTGGGAAGGTATTGCAATAGTTCAGATGAGAGATGGTGATAGCTTGGACCCTCAGTGGAGACAGTAAAAAGTGGTTGGGTCAGATACACTGTTTGGTGGTAGAATGAACAGAATTTGCTCAGGACTGTAGGATGTGAGAGAGGAGTTAATTACAGCACTATGATTTTTGACCTCAGCACTTGGGTGAGTTGTAGAGTTGTGAGTTGTGAGTTGGGTGAGTTCCAAAGTGGGAAATACGAGGAGAGGAGCAAATTTCAAAGGAGGAAATGAAGAGTTCTGGTTTGGATGTGTTAAGTTTGAACTGTCAAACATCCAGGGATGTGAAGTGGACAGTTGGATATATGATAAGAAGCTGAGGAGTAATCAATGAATAAATAGTATTAAAACTGTGGCTCTAGTTGAGATAGCTTAGGTGATGACTGTAGGTAGAACAGAGATTAGAGTCCTGAGCACACCAAAGTTTAGTGGTACAGAAGAGAAGGCAGGTGAAGCAAAACAGATGAAGAAAGAGTGGCCAATGTTACACTCTGTTCAAAGCCAAGTGAAGAAGGGAGTGAGAAAGTGTGAAAAGAGATAAGATGAGGACTGAGAATTGCCTTTTGGACTTGAAAATGTGGAGATTACTGGTCACTTTGTCAAATGGGGACTCCATGGAGTACTGAAAGTGAAAGGCGATGGGATCGGAGTGAAGAGAATATGGGAGGGAAGGAAGTCTAGACAGCAACTATAGACAATTTTTGAAAGACATTTTTTATGTGCAGAGAAATGGCACCCTATTTGGAGGGGAATGTGGAGTTGGAGGGTTTTATTTTTAAGATGGCAACTTTTATGACATTTTTGTATGCTGATCAGGTTGAGAAAATTAAAAATGGGTTATTCAGCAGAGAAGGGATAATTGCAGGAGCAACTCCTTAAGTAGACTAGAAGGGTACCCAAGTGGAGGAGTTAACTGTAGGAACAATAACAGTTTATGTATGGTAGTAGAGTGACAGGTACAGCTGCAAGTAAATTGGAAGATTTGATGATAGGAAGTTGTGGAACTTCTTCACTTTTGACTTACTTTTTCAATTTTTTCAATGAAATAAAAAGCAAGGCCATCAGTGAAGAGAAAGAGTGGGAGAAAAAGGTTTGAGGAGAGAAGGTAAGATGTGAAATCATCATCAATGATAACAATATAAGCATTAGATAGTATTTACTATGTGCCAGATTCTATTTTTGGCTTATATTTATTAACTCATTTTATTCTCATAAGGAATTTTACTGAGGGACAGATAACGATAATTTTACTGAGGGATAGATATACAAAAACTGAGGCTTTGGTGAGTTTAACTTCCCCAAGATCACGTATTTAGTAAGTGGTAGAAGTAAGATTTTAACCCAGGTAATCTGGTTTTAGAATCTTGTATTTGACCCCTCTTATACTGCCTCCTAATCTAGAATGGTAGGAAAATGCATTGACAAGAAAATAGGTTTTTTGAGCAGTTCTGAGAGCCCATTTGAAATCTGTGTTTATGAAGTGACATCAGTGAGTTATGTGTATTTCTTCAGATTCACAAATACTGCATGTTTACACTTATATGTGGAATCTAAAAATTTTGAACGGATAGAAGCAGTGAGTAGAATGGTGGGCGTGGGAGTTTGGGGGATCTGGGGAGCTGTTGGTCAAAGGATACAAAGGTTTAGTTTGACAGGAGGAGAAAATTTTCGAGAGACTTGTTGAATAACATGGTGACTCCAGTTGACCCACAAACAATATGGGTTTGAATTGTGTGGGTCCACATACAGGCAGATTTTCTTCTGCCTCTGACACCCCGAGAAAGCAAAAACTCCTCTTCCTCTTCCTCCTCCTCAGCCTACTCAATGTGATGACCTTTATGATGATCCATTTCCATTTAATGAGTAGTAAATAAATTTTCTCTTCTTTCTAATTTTGTTATTAACATTCATTTCTGTGGCTTAATTTATTGTAAGAATATGGTATGTAATACACGTAACATGAAATATGTGTTAATAGGCTGTTTATGTTATCAGTAAGAGTTCCAGTCAACAGTAGGCTATTAGTAGTTAAGTTTTCGGAAAGTCGGAAGTTATACACAGATTTTCTACTGTGTGGGGAGGTCAGCATCCCTAACCCCCATGTTGTTCAAGGGTCAACTGTATAAATAACAAAGTTTATATTGAAAATTGCTAAAAGAATAGATTTTAAGTGTTCTCACCACAGAAAAATGATACAAAAGTATTTGAGGTAATGCATATGTTAGTTAGCTCTATTTAACCATTGTACAATGTACATATATATTTAAAATATGTTGTAAACCATAAATATACACAGATTTTGTTAAAGAATAAATAATTTAAAAATAATATTTAAAAAAGATGGAGCCACACAAAAAGTGATTACTCAATGAAATTGTGTCACTGTCTTACACTGAAAGCATAAATCAACTCTGGATAAATTAAGGGCTTAAATATCAACAAGAAAACTTTGAAATTCTTAATAGAGAACAAAGGTGAATATCTTTTTGAACTTAGGAAAGGAAAATGTTTCTACACATGACAAGAATGATAAATTTGATCATATTAAAATTAAGACCCTCTATTCATCAAAAACATCTGAAAGAAAGTGAAAAGACAAGTTCCATACTGAGAATTGCTATTCATAGCCACAAAACTTACAAAGGATTAATATTTTAAAAAATTTCTGGCCGGGCGTGGTGGCTCACACCTGTAATCCCAGCACTTTGGGAGGCCGAGGCAGGGGGATCACGTGAGGTCAGGAATTCGAGACCAGCCTGGCCAACATGGTGAAACCCCCTCTCTACTGAAAATACAAAAATTAGCCGGGTGTGGTGGCGCATGCCTGTAATCCCAGTTACTCAGGAGGCTGAGGCAGGAAAATCGCTTGAACTGAGGAGGCAGAGGTTGCAGTGAGCCGAGATCGCTCCATTGCACTCCAGCCTGGGCAACAAAGTGAGACTCTGTCTCAAAAGAAACAAACAAAAAAATCCCTTCTACAGAATAATATAAAAGAACAAATAATACAGTGAGAAAACATGACAAAGGACAGGAATAGACCAGCCATGGTGGCTCACATCTGTAATCCTAGCACTTTCGGAGACTGAGGCAGGTGGATCACTTGAGGTCAGGAGTTCAAGACCAGCCTGGCCAACATAGTGAAACCCCATCTCTTTACTAAAAATACAAAGAAAAAAAGAATTAGCTGGGCATGGTCGCGTCTGCCTGTAGTCCCAGCTACTCGGGAGGCTGAGGCAGGAGAATCGCTTGAACCCGGGTGGCAGAGGTTGCAGTGAACCGAGATCACACTACTGCACTGTAGCCTGGGCAACAGAGCAAGACTCTGTCTCCAAAAAAAAAAAAAAAAAGAAAAAGACATGAATAGGCATATCATAAAGAAGGAAACGTGTATGACCCATAAATATTTGAAGAGGTATTCATCATGTCTGATTATGATATAAATGTTAAACTTACTTGAAATTAGTTGGGGGAATACTTCCTCTTTTTCTGTTGTCTCTAAGTGTTCATATAAAATTGGGATGATTTGTTCCTTGAAGGTGTAGTCAAACATCCTGTAAAACCATTGGGGCCTGGTGTTTTCTTTATGGGAAGATTATTAACCACAGCTTAAATCTCTTTAATAGTTAAAGAAATACTTGTAAAACTGTAGGTTTTTTTTTTGAGTCAGATCTGGTAAGTCATTTTTCTGGGAATGTATCCATTTCATCTAAGTTTTCAAAATTATTTCATAAAGCTGTTATGATATTCTATTATGGGTATGTATATATACATATGTGTATATATATGTATATATTATATATTTGTGTTGGAAGGTTCCAAACTATGACTTCAGTTTCTTTAGTAGATGTAGTGCTATTCAGGTTATTTTTTCTTGAGTGAGCTTTGATGGTATGTGCCTTTCTGGGAATTTGTCCATTTCATCTAATTTGTCTAACTTATGGCATGAAGCTATTTGTAATATTCTCCTATTATCTTTTTAATATCCATAGATTTATAGTGATTTCTCATCTTTCATTCCTGATTTTGGTGATTTGTGTCTTCTCTCTTTCCTCTCTTGTTTCTTGGTCAGTGTATTAGTCAAGGTTCTTCAGAAAAACAGAACCAATAGAATGTATACGCATGCACACACATGCACACACACACGGAGGATTTATTATGAGAAACTGGCTCATGCAGTTGTGGAGGCTAAGAAGTCCCACAATCTGCTGTCTGCAAGCTGGAGACCAAAGATATCAGTTGTTTAATTCAGTCTGAGTTTGAAGGCCTGAGAACTGGGGCTGCTAACTGTGTAAATCTTAGTGCAAGGGCCAGATGAGATGAGATGAGATGTCAGGGAGAAATAAGGGGCAAATTCCTTCTTCTTCTGCCTTTTGTTCTATTTCAAGCCCTCAATGGATTGGATGATGTCTACATTGGAGAGGGCAATCTGCTTTACTGAGTCCCATGACTCAAATGCCAATCTTATCCAGAAACATCTTCACAGATACACCCAGAAATAATGTTGAATCTGGCCATCCCTAGGGCCAGTCAAGTTGATACACAGAATTAACCATCACAGTCAGCTAGAAGTCTAGCAATCTTATTGATCTGTTCAAAGAACCAGCTTTTTGTTTCACTAATTTTCTGTTATTTTTATTTATTTATGTTACTTTTTTTCTTTCCTTCCTTTTTTTTCAGCATGAACTATCAAGCAATCTATTGGTTTTTTGTTTGTTTGTTTGTTTTCATGTCATTTGGCCTTTATTGTTTACTTTCTTCTGCTTGTTTTGGACTTAAATTTGCTCTTTCTCTTTTTTTTTTTTGGTTTATTAAAGTGGAAGCTTAGATATATTTTTTTTAATTCTTTCTAATTTGGTCTTGAGGTCTCTCTCTGGAAAGTGGCTATAAAATGCATCCTTGCTGTGATGGGACTCCCTGATGGTTACGGATGCTTACAATGTACATTTCATGGGACACTTCTTTATCCTGGGGGATGGATGGCCTAATGCCTAAGTGTCTGACCCATGCCCAGGTGTCCCTTTCACAGTATGCTTGTTTTACTGGCAGACACCCTGTGGTTCCTTGTTGGCCTGTGTCTAGTTTTTTCCTACCAAGATAGCCTTTCTCTAGGAGACCCCTGACCAGGAAAGAAGTCTGGGTTTGTCAGCAGATGAAACACAGAGGAGGCAGCACAACAAAACACATCACATAACAGAAGCAGTTTGATTCCTTGACAGAGCCCAGAAAGAACAGGGCAGCACACCTTGCAGGGCCGTTTGGGACACACATGCTCAACCAGTGGGTAGGGGCAAGAGAGAGGCAGAGACAGAGGACTTGTGGGATTAAAGCATTTATTGGGGTCCAAAGTATTATCCAAGCAGGTTTCCCATGGGGAGTTTTCATTGGTGGGTTTAAAGCAAGCAGGCATGAGTTCTGTGGGGCCACGCTGTGACTGAGAGATGGTTACTGTGATATTTCCGTGCAGTCCGTGTGGGGTGTGGGGGTCAGTGGGGCATGTCCATGGGGCTGTATCTAGCTTCCCCATAGGGAGGTTGTCAACCGGAGGCAATTGTATCGGGGGCTATCTAGATCGACCACATTGAGGAATGGGAAGAAGTAGAGAAATGGAAACTGTGTCAAGTGTGACTAAGCCCTGCTCTGGCATGAGAAAGTTCAACTTATATTCAGAATTGATGCTGAGGTAACATAGCATTATAGAATTCACTACAGTCATTGATTTGAAACCTTCAGTCTTTTCTAATATATTTAATGCTCTACATATCCCTCTAAGCACTGCTTGAGCTGCATGCCTCAGGTTTTGGTATGTTATGTTTTAGTTTTAATTCAATTCAAAATGTTTATTAATTTCTCTTTTGACTTCCTTTTGAACCATGGAATTAGAAGTATGTTACTTATTTTCAAATATTTGGGAATTTCCAAATATATGTGAATTTTCTATGAACATTTGAAAAGAGAGTATATTCTGCTGATGTTGGGTGGAGCATTCTATAAATATTAACTGGCCCAAGATGGTTGATAGAGCTATTCAGGTCTTCTGCATCCTGTATTCAGGATGATAGCGACATTAAGTGGAGGGAGGTGAGGATCATATTTGGATGGTGGATCATATTTGGATGTTGGATTATGGCTTTCAGTAATGAGCTTAATTATTACATTTTTATACATTTTAAAAATCCCACAAATAAGGCATGAACCAATGGTCAGAGTGTGTTATGAGCCAAGGATTATGATTGCTATTTCTCAGAAAAGAAAAAAAAAAAGGGATTTAATTTTTGTTTCTTGGTGCATTAAATTTTGAATTTTTCACTTTGTGATGAACTTATTACTTAATTTGGAGCCGGAAAGGAGAAGGGACTATCCTTTGATATTGGACTCTAAAGTTCCCTACAAGAGTCCCCCAAAAGAATCTGCTTGGAGTTAGAGGAAAAAAAACAAGACCCCAGGGCTGCAGACTGGTGAGCCGGCAGGAAAGTAGAGGAAGGTGAAGTCAGAGAAGTGGGCAGGGCCAACTTGTGTCCAAACTGTAGGCTGGGATAAGAGATTGGGGTTTTATTCCAACTGTAATGAGAAGCACTGGAGGGGTTAAAGTAAGAGAGTGACAAGATCAAATCTACATCTTAAAATGCTCCCCGTGCCTGCTATAGAAGAACCATGACAGAGGGGCAAGGCCTCAGGTTATTTAAGGAGGGGGCTGCTACAATAGTCCAGGTGAGAGGGAGTAGGTAGTAATAACTTTGGAGGTGGAGAGATGTCATACTCTTCAGGATACATTTTGGAGTTAGGTCATGAACGAAAGAGCAAAAGAACTGACATCATCACTGTCACCATCACCACCATCACCTTTTCTAATATGTACTGAGTGTTATTTTGGTGCCAGACATAGGACTACTAAGCATTTCACATGCATAATATCTTTTAATCCTCAAAATAATCCCTATGTCATAGGTGCTATTAGCCCCATTTTACAAAGAGAAAAGGAGACTTACAGAAGTTAACTTGATTAACTTCTTTGTTTGTTGGTTTTCAGATTAGTAATAAGGCAGAATTTTGATTTTTAAGTTTAGAAAAAATTTTAATGAATGTGAACTAAATAAGGCACAAAATAGATGGAAACAGAATAGACAAACATCGGGAAAACTAGAGAGTTATCATTAAGATTAAAGTATTTTTATTGTAAGTTTCAACCTGCTATCTTTGGGTTACTATGGAGTATATGAAAACCAAGAGACACCATCACTAGAGAATCCTATTTGGTAGCTCTTGCAATGTGGGGGGAGTGGGAGCAGGAAGGAGAACAATTTTCCCTCTTTTCTGTTATCTTCCAAGTAGAAGGAGTTTAATTAATAAACTGGTTTCTGTCTGTCACTTTACTCATCCCATGCCAGGTAAGGATGTGTGACATCTGCATCACATTTAGAAAGAGTAGTCTAGGCATGTTCAGCTTTTCCTTTTTGAGACCCAGCCTGACCACAGAGCATGCATTTCTCCTTTTTTTTTTCCTAGGCAGGCCTTTTTCTCCCACCAACAGCCTAGTGCTGCCAGGATAGGCTGCCATGTCTGTCTTCTGCTGGGAGGTCTCAGTTACAATCCATTTTGCTCCTACTCTAAGCTTTCCTCCATTCTCTGTCCTGGCCTTGCACGCCAATAAAGGTGGCATTTGGGCCTCTGCTTGTCTTACCCCTTGTGCTATTTCTCATTTGGTTTAACATTTAGTTGGGGTAGAAAGGCATTTCTATTTGACTTCTCTCAGAGACACCCCACTCTCTCCAACCAAGAAGAAAGGTAGGTCTTCATGTATTAGATCAGTTGATGAGGAGATTTAGGTCAAGAGTGATCATGATTCTTAATAGCACCCTGGGCAGAGCTAGCCATTTTGGGAGAAGAGCCAAAGGTTTTTACAATGTTGACGATGAATACTGGAACATTTAGGGGGGTTGGGAATGATTCCTAGTACTTTAGCTAGAAAAAGGGAGGCAGCAGTTGCTATGGAAATGTGACAAATTAAAATAACAGCTTTAAGTGAGCATGAAGAAGCAGTGAGGGTAACACCGATGATTACGTGCTCTGTGTAACTACTCATGATGAATGTTGAGTGCTTCATTTTCCTGATTAAATTATTAAACACAATTTTTTCTTTATCCAAAATGAATGATATTTCTTTTCTTTTTTTTTTTTTGAGACGAAGTCTCGCTCTTGTCACCCAGGCTGGAGTGCAATGGCGTGATCTTGGCTCACTGCAACCTCCGCCTTCCAGGTTCAAGCCATTCTCCTGCCTCAGCCTCCCGAGTAGCTGGGATTACAGGCACCACCACCATGCCCGGCTAATTTTTTGTATTTTTAGTAGAGATGGGGTTTCACTATGTTGGCCAGGCTGGTCTCGAACTCCTGACCTCGTGATCCACCCACCTCGGCCTCCCAAAGTGGTGGGATTACAGGCGTGAGCCACTGCGCCTGGCCTGAATGAGATTTCTTATCCTCTCATTCTAGCTACTGCTTGGTGCAGTGATTATTTCTTCTCACATCTATTCCAAGGTAGAACTAAAGAAATAAGTCTGTGTTGCCATATGATCTTACTAATATTCAGAGCTGATCTTTAAAATCTGGTTATTATAATTAAACCTCTGTGCAGGATCTAGGGGGAGTTGACAAAGCTGTTCTTTGATGCTCTTTGTAAAATTCCTGGAAGGGAGGTATAATTTTAAGATGCATATTAAAAGTTATTCTCCAGGTGTTCTTGAGCTTGGCTGAGAACCAAGCAAAGGGAAATAAGCTTCTATTTCAGTAGAGACCTTTGAGTTCTAAGCAAAGAAAGATAATTTTTCTTACTAGGAAAAGAAAGATAATTTTTCTCACTGCAATGTGAGAAATGTGTTAGAATCTCCTTCCCTGGAGAGATTTCAGAACTGGGTAGATGGACCAGATCTGGGTTGTCTATGAGTTCAGTGGGGAAACAGTTGATCTTTGGTGATGGAGCATGGTAGAAGTGACTCTTGCAGCCCTTGCATTCCACAGTAAAATGAAAAATCATCAGGATTATTTCAAGATTATTCAAATATAATATGTAAATGAGTATAATATATAAATATAAAAATTCCTACCAAAATAAGCATGCAAAATGTCAGACACTTTATATTATTAAGACTTTGTCGCTTAAAGGGCTTTACTGTAAAACAGTTTTTTCCTTTAAAAAAAAAGAACAAGAGAGAAAAGGAAGGAAATAGAGGAAGAAAAAAGAAAAGAAGAAGAGAGGGGGTTCTGGGTTTGTATTGCTGTACAAAAGAACAGAAGCAATTTTTCTATGGATTTAAAAATTGCTTTTTGATCTCGTTGGTTCTAGCAATCATTACTAATTATGAGGATAGCCAAAATGAATGACTCTGTAGCCAGTTCATAGATACAGCCATTTCGCATACTATGGAATAGTGTGCTCATGTATGTGTGAATTTTAAAATTACTTAGATGGGTTTTAAGTTAGAATTCACAAACATATTTAATTATTTAGAAAATAATATCTTGGAGTTGTTACCAAGTAGTTGTATATAATACTCCCTTTGAAACTAAGTGTGCATGGCTGGGCGTGGTGGCTCATACCTGTAATCCCAGCACTTTGGGAGGCCGAGGCAGGTAGATCACCTGAGGTCAGGAGTTTGAGACCAGCCTGGCCAACATGGTGAAACCCCATCTCTAATAAAATTACAAAAATGATCCAGGTGCAGTGGCTCACGCATGTAGAGTCCCAAGCTACTCAGGAGGCTGAGGCATGAGAATCGCTTGAACCAGGGAGGTGGAGACTGCAGTGAGCTGAGATCATGCCATTGCACTCCGGTCTGGGCAACAGAGTGAGACTCCGTCTCAAAAAAAAAAAAAAAAAAAAAAAAAAGGGAAACTAAGTGTGCTGGCTAATTTATATCCAAATAATTCATTTTGCCCTTGTTATAAATGTGACTTCAAGGATAAGGCAACATCACATGGCACATATTCTCAACCTGAGTTTCATCTCAGTGTCTCTGTCAAGGTGGACACCACAGGTGCCTGGTGAGAGCATGTTTTGAGGCTAGTGGAGGCCTTTTCCTTTCCTGGGACCCAGGTCTGTGAGGCTCAAGCGTCTCTTCCTAGTCTTGCCTTGATTACCACACTAAAAGTGTCATTTAGCAAATCCTTCTAATAAAGGCTCTTTTGTACTTTAGGTAAAGAAACCCATATGAGAGTGTCTTGTCTATTATGTACCTACCACTTTGTCTCCTTCATTTAATCAGCCATTGCCTGGGGAAGAGGTGGGGCTGACCTCAAGAAAGGTCACTGGTTTGCTGGGTGAATATCCCAAAGGTGTTTACATTTCTGCATGTTACTGGGCTGGGAGGATTTTGGGGGCAAGGACTGTATTTTTCACTTTGTATTCCTGGTAAAGAATGTAGCACGGTGACAGTCAGTATTTCTTGAATGCACAAATTTGTTTCAAGAGCAGGCCTCCTGTCTTAGTTTAGCTTGAGCAGCCCAGAACACAATTAAGTGCTATTAATCTGGCATATCATCTGTGTTCCAAGAAGTCAAAGGGAAACCTAAAGTGAGAAACATGAACATTTAAATTAAAAGCACTTACAACTATTTAATGTAGCATCCTGATTCTAATTAATGCAGAAGTTAATTTGATGAAAATTGGCAGAAATCATGGCAGCAATTTTGCTCTGAAATTGATAAAGGGTTATACAGTACCTCCTGCTCCTTGGGGAATGGAGGGTGCTATGAACTGATGTAACCTGGATTTTGTGTGTTCCCATTTTCAAGTGGCAGAATTCTATGGAATACTTGAATTAATTGATTTTCCCATTATAATTGCCTAAAGACTCAGGCCTTGGGAGTCATAACCATGTGGCACAAAGTGGGAATTAATTATGTGGCATTTTTTGATAGGATCATTCATTCATTCCGTATATTTTACTGAGCACCAACCTGGGCTCCAGGTATGTATCAGTCAAATAGACATAGTATCTACCCTCATGGAGCGTGCCTTGTGATGAAGAAACAGCATCAATAAGTACATGAGAAAATAAATCTCTCAGTGCAAATTGTGATATGTGTTATGATGAAAGTGAATAGAATACACGGAGAGCTAGAGAGGTGTGAGGTGACTTCACAGAGAGAATAGTATGTGCAAGGTCACTTGGGTGCAATGGAGCTTGGCATGTTGAGGGTGCTGAGAAGCTGAGTGCGAGCCAGTGTGCCTGGAACATGTTCAGGATGAGGAGCTGGTGTTAAATGAGGCAAGAGAGACCAGCAGGGGCCACGCCATGCTGGGCTTTGTAGGAGTTACGTGGATTTGGATTTTGAATCACTATGCAAAGACCATTATAATTGATTGAAACATTTATGCAAGTTTTGGTCTGAGAGCGTTGAATGAATAGAGACTGTGCACCTGTTAGTCTTCTTAAGGTAAATATTAGAATTCTTAAGTTAGATCCATTTTTGTTCCTGTGGGAACACAATTCTATATGGTCATATGTGATTATGGGAAGATAGATTTTTGATATTCAAATATTCAGGTAACATATCATTTAGTTATATATAGTAAATAAAAAAATGAAGCAAACCCAAGTTGTGTCCAGTTGTAAAGAAGGCAGCATGGCTGTACAACTTCCTGTTCTCCTGTGGAGACAGTAGAGGGGAAATTTTCCATGTGCCTCTGCATTTTCTGCCTGTATTGTGAGCTAGTCCCTAACTGCTCTTTGTTCTGAATACCTTTTCTAGGATGTTTGTATAGGGAGAAGCCTTGAACGGTAGAAATCATGTCCCCTTTGTAGCAAAGGACAGGCTTGCTTATAGCATTGGAAAGTAGAGGTAGTATTTCCCCTCAGAGCAAAGGGCAGATAGGTTTACTACTCACTATAAAAAAATTGGGGCTCCGTAAGCTCAGGGTTTCTCTCCTGAGATGAAGCCCACTGTGTGTGCAAGTATCCATCTGGGCCTACCTACATTATTCCGAGGGGAAGGGGAGCTGACCAAATATACTGATGCTTGTGTCACTTGCTGTGCGGTGAGTAATAAAGTCCTTTTCTCTGACCCAGGAGTCTGTGTCTTCTGTCAGCCTCCATAAAACTGTCAGGGTAACTAGTTAGCTTCTAAGTGAATAAAATCTCAGACCCTTCACAGTTCTTCACAGAGGCTCCTCAGCAGTCCGAGCAGGAAGGTACAATGCCAGGCAGGTGACACCCTAGAGCTTTGCAGCCTCTAAGATGTCCAGTGAGCATTTCTTGTCACTGTGTGAAACCTACATGTGTGAAACCTACTGGCTACTAATTATTATGCCTTGAATATTCTTAACCAAGTGGGAGAATGTTTCAACAACAGAAAGAATACTATGTTACAATTTTAGGATCAGGACATAAAATCTATTAAAATGATACTTTATTTAAATTGAAAATATTGTGTGTGTGTCTGAAAATGTAACCCAAGCATATTTCCATGAAAGATTCTTTTTTTTTTTTTTTTTTTTTTTTTGAGATGGAGTCTTGCTCTGTTGTCCAGGCTGGAGTGCAGTGGCATGGTCTTGGCTCACTGCAACCTCCGCCTCCTGGGTTCAAGCGATTCTCCTGCCCCAGCCTCCCAAGTAGCTGGGATTACAGGCACCTGCCACCATGCCTGGCTACTTTTTTGTATTTTTAGTAGAGACGGGGTTTCACCATGTTGGCCAGACTGGTCTCGAGCTCCTGTCCTCGTGATCTGCCCGCCTCGGCCTCCTAAATGCTGGGATTACAGGCGTGAGCCACTGTGCCCAGCCGAAAGATTATTATGTAATAACTAGTAAGGGACTAACACTGTCCTTTCTCAGGGTTCACAGAACCATTATTGTCACAATGCAGGATCATCATTGGCTTGGGCTCTCACTTTCTCCTGACCAGGGCCTTGAGGAGTAGGCACTGCCACTGCTCCCATAAGAGAATACCAAGTACTGCTCTGGCAGCTGCAGGAGATGTTCTGTATCTTGCCTGTCCAATACAGGGGGCACTAGCCACAAGTGTCCACTGAACGCTTCAAATTTGGCTTGTTTGAATTGAGATATAAGTAGCATGGTGGCTCATGCCTGTAATTCCAGCACTTTTGGAGGCTGAGGCAGGAGGGCTGCTGGAGCCCAGGAGTTTGAGACCGGCCTAGGTAACATAACAAGACCCCCATCTCTACAAAATATAGAAATAAATAAATTTTTAAAATTATACGCTAGAGTTCAGATTTAGGGCAGAAAAAGAACATAAAATGTTTCACTAATAATCCTTAAAATTGAGTATGTTTGAAATGATAGTATTTTAGACAGGTTAAATAAAAATACTGTTAAAATTAGTTTCACCTGTTTATTTTTACTTCTTTTTAATGTGACTAGAAAATTTTAAATTCCATATGTAGCTCTCATTCTATTTCTATTGAACAATGCTGTTCTAGATCCTTGCTACTCAAAGGGCGGTTCTCAGGCAAGCAGCATCACCATCATCATCATCTGGGAGCTGGTTAGGAATGTGGTATCCTACACCCCACTCCAGACCTACTGGGTCAAAATTTGCATTTTAACGGAATCTCATGTGATTTGTATGCACTTTACACTTTGAGTAGCTGAGCTTCCCTAAGACTAGGACTGGCTGGTTTAGCAAACTAAAAATATAAGATGCCCAGTTAAACTTAATTTTCAAATAAACAATTAATACATTTTAAATATAGTATGTCCCAAATATTGCATGGAACATACTTATATTAAAATCATTTGTTATGTTTCTGACATTCCACTTTAACAGGTTATCCTATAGGTTATCTGTCAACATTACCTAAAACTAAACTTCTCTTATCCAGACCTGCTTGTTACTTGAAATTCCACAGAATCAGGAAAAGAACAGAAAGAGAAAAGGAGAGGTGAAGAGTAGAAGCTGGGGGAAATGAAAACGGAGAAGAAAAGGGAGTATGAGGAGGCAGTAGGAATTAGATGGGGCACGGAAAGGCCACATTTAAGGCCAGCGACCCTTTTTATTTTACAATTTTTGTTAGCAACTTTCTTCCTTATTCCTGCATTCTCCCACTTCCTCTAGTCATTCTGCTTTATTCTCCTCTTCTTATTTTCCGTTGGGGTCCCCTGAACTATGTTGGAAGAAAGTGGTGTGTGAGAGGAATAGGAATGTCTGCTCAGCGCCAAGACCCCAGCTTTCCTATAGTCTATCATCTCTGAAATTTTACTTACAAATAGCCCTTTTCCGCTACCAGTACTTTGTCTTTAAGCCATCAAGGTTCCTAAGTGCCCCCAAATGGTGGCACTTGACACTTTCGTTTTGGAGGATTTTCTTTATTGTGGCATTTTAATTGTATTTTTAAAAAATGTAAAACAACTCTTAGGAATTTTGTCGTTTGTTTTGTTTTTCAGGCTTTTTAGGGGAGTGAGGTGAAAGGAGAGGCCAGCAGGGAAGGAATAACAATAGGCACTCTATTTAGCTAAGCACTGAGTTAAGAAGAGGCTTTCATGGCCTGGCGCGGTCGTGGCTCACGCCTGTAATCCCAGCATTCTGCGGGGCCGAGGCGGGCAGACCACCTGAGGTCAGTAGTACGTGACCAGCCTGGCCAACATGGCGAAACCCCATCTCTACTAAAAATACAAAAATTAACTGGGCGTGGTGGTGCATGCCTGTAATCCCAGCTACTCGGGAGGTTGAGGCAAGAGAATCACTTGAACTCAGGAGGTTGAGATTGCAGTGAGCCGAGATCGCGCCACTGCACTCCAGCCTGACAGAGCGAGACTGGCTTAAAAAAAAAAAAAAAAAAAAAAAAAAAAAAAAGCCTTTCATCCATGATCCCATTTAATCTTCACAACAATTAAGTGTGCCTGTCCCCACTCTGCAGATGAGGAAACAAGGCTCTAGAGGGAAAATAACCTGCCTGGTGTCAGCTTGCTCACTGGTAAGCAGCTGGCCAGGCACTTCAGCTTCTGACTCCAAAGCCAGTGCTCCTCACCATTGCTATCCACACCTCTTGGCAAATGGAGCCTTATGAATTCAACAGGAAACTGTGAACTAGGACATATATGTAACTTTAGGGAAGTTCCCGAGATTTTTATTTATTCACTTGAAAAATATATGTAAAAATATATACTTCATAGATTTTGGGGAGAAATTAATAGCTTCCTGAAGTGTAGTATGAAATATATAATAGTATGACATATATGTAGTATGAAGTATATAAAATAAAGAGTCTTAAGAGTTACATGACAGTATCAAAACAATGCAAATTTCTAAAATGAGCTTAAGTGGCAAATATATTTTCTTTAAAAATTGGCTCCTTAATAATCTTTCCATGAGATGAATAATTAAAAACCTAAATATTTGTTTCACTCTATACTCTCAGCATTATCAGACCCCTCCCTTCCTCCCCTCACCATGGAATACATTCTGAGAAAGCTGCCCTGTTATTGGTTAAATATGCTGTCAGTCACATGGCATGAAAAGTACTGCCTCTGCTCTGTTTGCATTTATGAATTAACAGATTTGCTTGCTTTGAAGAAACTGATTCTTTTCTTGATGGGAAAAAAAAATCTTGTTTAGTTTTTCACTGATTTTTTTAGGTATAGGACTTTCACTAACCTTGGACCATATATTTGCCAGGAAGAATGTAAGGTGAGTAACTGCACATCTTTTAAAGCAATGTGTTTGTGAACTTAAATGCAAGTATGAAATTAGGTGGCTCTGTGATTTCTTTATGTTGTTTCATATCGACATTTACTTGTGATTCAAAATGAATAGGCTAGATCATACAGGTAGCTACAAAAATTATTGACCAGAGTTTATGCTTGAGGTAAAAATATAAGCTTTTTTATAAGAGGCAAGGGTTACTTGTTCAAAATATCCAAGAAACTTTTGTAGTATGTATCAAAGTATTTATCTGTGAGAAAATGACTCCTCAAATCAGTTTTCAGATTTCTTTTATACTTACAAGTGAATGTTAATTCCACAGTATCCCCTGCCATTATTATGTGAGAAAAGAGTAAGAAAAAAATTGAAAACCTCAGAAATATATATCCTGTCCTTCAAAGAAAAGGTGTTAAATTGTTTTAACTGTTAAGAGATGGCAATTAAATTCCTGTTTCTATTTCTGTTGTCCCTTTGGCTTCTTTATACGTCATATAAGGAACACTTAGAGGTTTTTCTATAAAAAAGAATATTCAAAATCTGAATAGCAATTAAGGTATGTCATGTCCCCCACTGACTCATTGTGTGCCATCTCAACAAATGCTTCAGGGAATTTAGTGTGAACATAGCAGACAGCAGCAAGCAGGAGAATATGGCAAAACTCGGGTTAAAGACTCCTTAGTCCACAACTGATAAAATCTATACATATAGACATTAACAATTTTTTTCTTCCATTGTTTCTGAGTCAATTGGTGCTTTCCTGCAGGTTCACTTTTGAATAGTGACTTCTATTCTTTAGTGGTTAAAGCCTAGTTCTGTTTCCCCACCTGGGTTACACAGAAATGCCTGATTTGTGTATTACACTAGTAAAATGTACACCAAGAATTAGAAAAATCCTAGTTCTGTTTTTAAGACAAAGTTAATGGGCTTAATTTTAGCTTCAGAAGCTTTAGATCTTAGAAATCACATAAGTCAATGATCATTTGAATCTAATATTATGGCTCATTAATTCATTATGAAGGAAACAACAGTTGTTGTTTTGTGTGTTCTTTCAAATAATGGATCTGAAATTTAAAATATCTTTCAACTCCCTGGGGCTATTCAATATTCTGTCTGTAGGAAGGAGGATTGTAGTTTAAGCTCGATACACGGTTTCTAAACATAGAGTGAGTAGGGGTCATTATTCTCACTTTGCACATTTCTTCCTCAAGTTGGGTTTATTCTTGATCCAAAAAGAAATCCTGTGTGACCTCCCATTTTCCACTTTGATTTCAGAGTATTTTCATCAATTTCTTAGTTCATTTGTGCATGCAACACATTTTAAAAATAATTGGTGCTTTTAAGTAGCAAGGCCCCATGCTAGATGCTGGGTCTACAATGGTGAGCACAACAGGGATAGTCCCTGGCCTCACGGACTAAGTCTAATAGGGAAGCCCTTGTTAATCAAATGATATATATTATTCCAAATAAACTTTGAAATGTGTTGTGAAAGAAAAGTATAGGAAGCAATGAGCACATACAACAGGGGGATTGGAACTTGCACAAGTTAGGGATTGTGTTCCTGAGGAAGTGACACTTACGCCATCATCTGGAGGAGATGTAGAAAATAACTAGGAGGATGGAGAACATTCCAGGTGGAGGGACCAGCAGGTGCTAAGGGAAAAATGGACCATGAAGTGTTCAAGGAACTGAATAATGCTAGAGTAGCGGAAGCAGAGAGAGAAGGGAAGAGGTGAAATAAGGCAAGCACAGCTGGCAGGCCGAAGTCTGCCTGGGTAATGTCTGGGTATTCGTGCCTCTTTCATATATTGTATTCAGTTACGTTTTAACCTGTACTACAAAGTCTGGAGTTTAGGTAGGTTAGATGATTTGGCTAAAGCATATCTCTATTATAATTTCATTATTACTTGGATGGGAACCTCACTTTTGTTGCTCAGGAAATTAAACTTGTACTCACAAGAGACTTAATATAAACCGTAATGCTAATTTATAAATTTCTAAAGGAAGACATCTTTTTAAAAAATTAAAATAGAAAAATTTATCAAAGTAATACATGTACATGGTTTCAAAAAATCAAAAGGTGACAAGACACATTAAAGGAAAAATTGTCTTCTAGTTACTTCTATAGGCAAACATTTTCAAATTTTTAGTTGTTTCTTCTGTTGGCCACTGCTTGTATTAGTCACCTTTTTTCTAGAAACAAAACAACCCCTACATTGCAGAAGTTTGCAGCCTCAAACATTTCTTTCTTGCTCCTCTTACTTCTGACAGCTACAGGCGGGCTGCTGTGACCCTGCTTTAGCTCTGTTTCCACTTCTCATTCCAAGTCCCAGACTGAAAGAGCAGCCCCTATTTGGGCATGCCATTCTTATGACAGAGGGAGTGGGGCAAGAGATGGCAGGCACATGCAGACACTCGCAACTTCTGCAGAACTGCCACACTGTTGCTTCTGCCCATATTCCATTGGTCTAATTAAGATGTATAGCTGAAACTGGAGAGTTCCGTGACCCCCCTTGCAGGACATGCAACAGGGGTGTGGTGCATCTGTTTGGCCACTGCCACATGTGCTCAAACCTTTTACAAGAAGGGGAGCATGCAGATGGGCAGGTGCAGGAACCAGGGCAAGTGATTTTGGGTTCTGGCCTCATGGTAGCATCTAGGCTTGGGTTCCTGTGACTCTCAAAGCCCCAGTGGGTGTGCTACAGTGCTCTTTTAGCTCTGCCATCTTCAGACAGCTTAAGTGTTAACCAGCTTAGTGCCCTCTTGGACCCCGGGTTTTTGTTTGGCATCCAGGAAGAATCAGGTCACACAGGGCTGGAAGGATGGTGAATGTGGGGGTTATACTGAGTGGTGGAGGTGGCTTTCAGCAGGCTGGATGGGGAGCTGGAAGGGTGATGGATTGGGGGATGATCTTCCCCTGGAGTTTGGCTGTTCAGCAGCTGATCTCCTCTCTGACTGTCCCCAGCCAAACTCCTCTAGATGTTCAGATGCTGCTTCTCGTCTCTCTTCTCTGTCATGCTGTTCTGCTGCTCTTCTGTTCACCTGTTCATCTGCTCATCTGCTTGTGGAGCCTGGGGTTTGGGGTTTATATGGGTACTGGATAGGGGGCCCTGGTGGGCCAAAAGGCAACATTGGGGTGCAGAAACAGGAATGCCTGTTCCCATTTAGGGCCGTGGGTTTCCAGGCTTAAGGGTGGGGCCTTTGCCAGGAACTGCCCCCTTCTATCCAGTATTTCCTCGTCTGCTGTTCATATAATAGCTAAGCCTGATGATGGGGCAGGAAGTATTTTCCACCCACAGGGAGGAACTGCAAGTCATATGCCCTAGGGGGATGCAAAATCCTCTCCCAGAGAAGGAAACAAAGACTGGGTAACAATCATACAATTCACCATACTGCCATAATATCAAAATAATATGCATAGGTGATTTCTCCATTTATACATGTTAGATTTTATAACAAGTTCCTTTATTATTGACAAAGTTCCTGTCTTCAATGTCCTCATCTTTCTTTCCTCCACCCCCCATCCCTCCAATATAGTTACATTACTACTTTCAGTTCATCAGTGCTTGCGTCAATATGACTATGTATATTGTTCACAGACAAGCTAGTTAGTAGAGTGTAATTTTGTTTCTTTCTTTCTTTTTTTTTTTTTTTTTTTTTTTGTGCAACGTTTCTTTTTCCCTTGAGTTAAAAATGGCCTTTTTGTAGTTGCAATTTCAAAACATGCATAGTCTTAATTCTTTTCACATATTCTTTCCTCTAATATATAGTGGTCTCTCAAATTCCCCTTTCACTTAGAGATCTCTCTGTAGGTCTTCCTTTTATTGTCCTCTTGCTCCAATCTGGATTGATTCTATGTCTGATGTACAATGGGTAGTCTTAGGTTTTGCTTCACCACTCTTCTAGTGAGATCTGCTGTTTATGAGAGCCTGTGCTTTCTCTTTGTTGGCTTTTGCCCTTACGTTGTGGGAGCATGTCCTCCATTAGCTTCTGTGAAGGGGTGAGAGAGGTGCATTGGCTGAATCCTTGCATGATTCTTGTTTTTTACTTCTGCAAGCTTAATAGGACATTTTCTTTATCCTTAGCTCCAAAATGATACAAGTACCTTAGCTCACAAAAATGAACTCAAAATGGATCACAGACCTAAGTGTAAAAGTTAAAATTTAAAAACTAGGAGAAACACAAGAGAAAATCTTGGTGACCTTGTTGAGCAAATATTTCTTTTAGACACAAAAACATAGGCCATAACAGAGAAAAAGAATACATTGGACTTTATGAAAATTAGAACTATTGATCTTTGAAAAAACACCATTAAGAAAATGAAAAAGGAAGACAGAATGCAATAAAATATTTCCGGTGTGTATCTCTGACACAGGACTTGCATCCAGAACATATAAAGAGCACTTATGGAGGTCAATGAATTTAATTTTTAAAATGAGCTAAAGATTTAAGCACACTTCACAAAAGAAACTATATGAATGCTCTATAGGCATAAGAAAAGATGCTTAGCATCATTAATCATCAGAGAAATGGATATTAAAATTAAACTTAGAGAAAATGTGGCACGTATACACCATGGAATACTATGCAGCCATAAAAAATGATGAGTTCATGTCCTTTGTAGGGACATGGATGAAATTGGAAATCATCATTCTCAGTAAACTATCACAAGAACAAAAAACCAAACACCGCATATTCTCACTCATAGGTGGGAATTGAACAGTGAGAACACATGGACACAGGAAGGGGAACATCACACTCTGGGGACTGTTGTGGGGTGGGGGGAGGGGGGAGGGATAGCATTAGGAGATATACCTAATGCTAAATGACAAGTTAATGGGTGCAGCACACCAGCATGGCACATGTATGCATATGTAATTTGCACATTGTGCACATGTACCCTAAAACTTTATAATAATAATAAAAAAATAAAATAAAATAAAATTAAACTTAGCTAGCAACCCACACCCATTGGAATGGTTAAAATTAAATAGATTGATGATACCAAATGTCAGCAAGAATGTTGAACAACAGGGAAGCAAAATTGATTGACAGCTTTTCTAAAAAAGTTACTTCTATTATGTGACTTGGTCATTCTATTCCTGTTTATTTATTCAAGAGAAACAAAAACATATTCACACAAACTCCTATACATTAATGTTCTTAAATCTTTATTTATAGTAGCTCCAAACCAGAATCACCCCAAATATTCATGACTGTGTGCACAGACAGATAAAGTATGGCATATCCATACAATGAAATATTTCTTAACACTAAAGCAGAATGAACTACTGACATATGCAACAACAGGCATGAATTTTAAAGTCATTACGATGAGACAGAAAGAAGCCAAATGCTAAGGAATATGTATGATTCCATTTATACGCAATTGTAGAAAATGCTAACTAGGCTGGGTGTGGTGGCTCACACCTGTAATCCCAGCATTTTGGGAGGCCGAAGCGGGCGGATCACCTGAGGTCGAGAGTTTGAGACCAGCCTGATCAACATGGAGAAACCCTGTCTCTACTAAAAAACACAAAATTAGCCGGGCGTGGTGGTGCATGCCTTTAATCCCAGCTACTTGGGAGGCTGAGGCAGGAGAATCGCTTGAACCCAGGAGGTGGAGGTTGTGGTGAGCCGAGATCACGCCATTGCACTCCAGCCTGGGCAGCAAGAGCAAAACTCCATCTCAAAAAAGAAAAAAGAAAAAAGAAAATGCTAACTAATCTAAAGTGACAGAAGCAGGTCTGTAGTTGCCTGGGGTTGAGGGTGGAGGGAACAACTCAGCTGCAGAAATGCAAGCGGAAACTCTTTTGGGTGTTGTAAGTATTCTGTATTGTTATTATGGCAGTGGTGTCATGGGTATGTGCCTGTGCCAAAACTCATATAATTGTATAATTTGCATGAATGCAATTTACTGTACATAAATTATATACCTCAATAAAGTTGATGAAAATGAATTGCATGCATGCATAAATTTATTAATAGCAACTAGTAGACATCATGGTCACCAATTTGTCATCTTCAGAAATTCTTATTAGATAACAGGGATCATATTACAGAGAGAATGGTGCATTTAATTTGTAATTGGTTCCATATAATTAATTCTAAAGCACTTTACTATGATACAGATTTAGTAACTCTTCAGCTACAATTATGTTTTGTATACATATCATGTAATATATATCTTTCTCTAATTATAAAAATGTTGAGTTTATATGATAGTGACATATAGAGACCTTATATCACAGGAATTGTTAAGTATAGAGTTTGCTTTGCATTCTCATATACTGTAGGTAAAACTTATGGAAAACCTAAAATATGCAATAAACAAACTGTTAAATCCTTAGGACATGTATGACAAAACTGGAGATTTAAACACTAATTTTATGTTAAATAATTATCAGTATTTTCTAGATGTAATTGTGCTGTTATTTTTAAAAGTTATTATCTTTTAGAGATATATACTGAAATGATATAATTTTTGATATTTTATTCAAACTAATATCACACGGGGGAAGAGGGTGTGCTTGTAGGTGAAACAAGATTGGTTATAACCTGATAATTACTAAAGCTGAATGATGGGTCCAGGTACATGGGGGCTTATTATATTTTTCTGTTTATATTTGTGTATGTTTGAAATATCCTGTAATAAAAAATGTGTATATCTTCTAACTTAGAAATTTCACCTCAAGGAATTTATCTTAAGGAACTTCTCATGGGTGTGAACAAACAATCCACAGTAATGTTCAATGCAGTATTGTTATAATGCTAATAAAATTGAAAACAAATACTTAAGAGTAGAAATTTGGTTAAATATATTATGATACATTTTAATGATATAATACCACATACATTAAAATGTGTCAAAAGTATATAATTACATGGAAAATATTTGTGATATAGTTTTAATAAAAAATTGCAAACTCTAAAACAGTATGCCCACAAAAATCCATTTTTAAACTGTAAAAAGTAAATTATATACATATGTGCTGTGTGTGTGTGTTTGTGTTTGTATGCATATAGAGAGGATATATACACACACAAACTCAAGGATATATATAATAATTTATATGCTCATAAGTTTCCAATATAACTTTTTGGTAATTGAGTCAGTCTTTTTTTTGAAAGGCTGGATGTTTTGGCTTTGATAGGTTAACAATGCAATGTAGTATAAAATTTCACTGTAAAATGTTTTATATGCTTTATTACTTTGTTATTTTATATTTGTTATTGGTTAAACCTTAGCGTGTAGCACATTGCTTGGCACATAGTAGGCCCCCCCATAATATCATTCAATGAATAAGAATCAGGTTTGATTTAAAATAATTTTTCTGGCTGGGCATGATGGCTCACACCTGTAATTGCAGCACTTGGGGAGGCTGAGGTGGGTGGATCACCTGAGGTCAGGAGTTCAAGAGCAGCCTGGCCAACATGGTGAAACCCCATCTCTACAAAAAATACAAGAATTAATAGGGTGTGGTGGTGCATGCCTGTAATCCCGGCTACTCAGGAGGTTGAGGCGGGAGAATCACTTGAACCCAGGAGGCAGAGGTGGCAGGGAGCCGAGATCACACCACTGGACTCCAGCTTGGGTGACAGAGTGAGACTCCATCTCAAATAAAATAAAATAAAATAAAAATAAATAAAATAATTTTTCTTTCTAAAATTTTTCTTTATTTTTCATTTTCTTTTTTGAGGAACATATGTTACTTTCTCTCTCTGTTAAATGCAGAGACAGCAGGGGAGAGACATATTACTGTTTAAATGGGAAATTCACTGTTAAGAAATGAACAGTTTTGGCAGGCTGTTTCTGCTCCTCTATTCTGAGATGTAATAAAGTGAAATATACTTCTTAAAATTTCGTGTAACATCTAAATTATGGATATTTATTCAGCATCTTTTAATTTTTTTTTTTTTCTAATTTCAGTTCTCCAACATCTTCAAATAAAGAAGTGGTTATGAGGAATGGTAAGACTCCAGTTGCCCACATGATTCCTTGTGGGGTGGAGAAGGGCTTTTTCTGTGATAGAATTCCCTGACCAGTGGTGTCTGTACCAGGAGTCACTCATGTGAAATCTTTTATACTAGTGCATCATAAATTATGAGCCAAAAGGGGCTCAAGCTTGATATATGTGACAGTGCTTAGCATTGCTCCCAATTACATTAATAAATGACATTTAGCATTTGGTAACCACATCATCATTTATTTGACAGATCAGAATAATGGAGATATGAAACCATTCCAGAATTTCACAACAATACCAATCACACAGGTATGGCTATGTCAGGAAACCAGATTGTAATCTAGCTCTAAAAAACTTAAAAACACATTTCAATCATGTCTGTGCTCTGTGAAAATATAAATAATAATTGTATTAATAAGTAACATATTTTTGCTTCAAATTTGGGTGGGGAAACATATTGTGGAATCTCTTCTTTTTAAAAGTCAACTTTTATTTTGGATACAGAGGGTCCATGTGCAGATTTGTTACGTGAGAATAGTGCATAATGCTGGAGTTTGCGGTATGAATCCCATCACCCTGATAGTGAGTATAGTATCCCATAGGTGGTTTTTTAACCCACTCCACTCCCTCCATCCTCCAGTCATCCACAGTTTTGATGGTTTGCATATTTATGTCCATGTGTACTCAGTGCTTAGCTCCCACTTATAAGTGAGAACATGTGGTATTTGGTTTTCTGTTTATTATGGAATCTTATAGTTGGGAAAAACCTAAAATACTTAATTTTACTTGCTCTCTTATATTTTCATTACAATATTCAGCTTCACTTTTGTTGCTATAATAATAATAATCTTTAGTTACTGATAAGCTTAAGTTGCTGCTCTCTATTAACTAATTTTTCTTTTATCTGTATTTACACTAGAGTAATTGGTGCAAATTTCTTTCTTTGTATTGTACATTTTGTGGGTTTTAATAAATGTGTAATGGCATGTATTTATCGTTACAGGATGTGAATTAGCTCTTTCATTTCTAGGAAGCCTTTTGTAACATAGACACAAATTCATCTCTTATGTTCTTTTTATTTGGTTAATTAGGCTCTCAACTACAATCTGAGCAAAGAAGGGCATTTAGAAAAAGAACCTTGGAATGCATTCAGCCATCATGGCCCAGTTAATGTCTCCATCAATGGAATTCCTTGCATTCTCTTCTGGGCCAAAAGAATAATGATTAAATTTAAGAATCAAACCTGGCTGGACCTTACAGACGAGCCATTTGGTCAGAAGGTAACTGTGGACCCTGACAACTCAAATTGCAGTGAAGAAAGTGCTAGGTAAGTTGATCTCTCAGTTTGAGGAAGCCCCTAGGGCTATTGCGTTCTGTTAACTCTGCATTCAACTTTTTTTGTCATTTCAGAAAAAAAAAGTAGGCTCCTTTGTATAGGACCCTGACACACATCTTTGAGGAAGTATTTACTGTCTAAAATAAAGGAACAAGTCAGAAGTTAACTTCAAAAATTGTTGGCTGGGCATGGTGGCTCACGCCTGTAATCCCAGCACTTCGGGAGGCCAAGGGAGTGGATCACCTGAGGTCAGGAGTTGGAGACAAGCCTGGCCAACATGGTGAAACCTCGTCTCTACTAAAATACAAAAATTAGCCGGGCGTGGTGGCAGGTGCCTGTAATCCCAGCTACTCAGGAGGCTGAGACAGGAGAATTGCTTGAACCTGGGAGGTGGAGGTTGTGGTGAGCTGAGATCGCGCCATTGCTCTCCAGCTTGGGTGACAGAGTGAGTGAGACTCCATCTCAAAAAAAAAAAATTGTTATATTTTCCCGGCAGTTTTCTTCTGAACCTTTTTGCTAATTGTCGGAATAACTTGTAGAAAATGAGACTTTGGAAAGCAAGGGTTCTCAAACTCGTTTTGAAAACAGCAAAGGATTCCAGGCTTGGTCTCAACTCCAAATGGTAGGTGTCAAACTACTTTTATTCTATCAGGGAAGAGATCACATATCCCAGCAGGGTCATACACATTCTAGTGGGTGACACACTAGCCAGGACAAATGCTTGACTCTGCGGAGGTAGGGGGCCGGGGGGTGTCAGTGTGCAGAAATAGTGGAATATTGCCTGTTTGCAAATGCGCAAGGGTACTTTTTAATGGCTAAATTCCAGATAATTCTTAAGGACATTTCAAAATGATTGGAATAATTAGTTTTGATTTGAGATAAGCAGATTAAACAAATAACATGTTTGAAGGGCAAATCAATTTCCAATGCCTTTCTCTGCTTTTCAGTCATCCAAGCAAAAATTTTTGCTTTTATTTATTTTGGTCCAGGGAGAGGAAATCTGGCATGTCCTGCTTGCTTTCTATAAACCTTCTTTCAACATTTGTTGGTAAAATAGATCCTTTTGGAAGATTCTCTGCATTTGTTCTGGTTTGGCTTAGATGGGTAGGATGCTTTATATAAAGCATAACAGTGTGTGTGTGTGTGTGTGTGTGTGTGTGTGTGTGTGTTTGTGTGTATTCTTTTTCTACTTTATGTACTTTAGCTGGAAAGATCCTTTTATTCCTGAACTTTACTTCTCACTTAAAAATTCTTGACAATGGGTAAAAATGGATTCTATTAATATACAATTGAAAGTCATATTACAAATCTTAGTATCTTGCTGTTCAGAATGACAATCTTTTAATAGGGATTTAGGGAAATGTACGTGGAAGCATTTAGAGTCCTCTCAGATTTGTTTATCCTGTTATAGCTCAACTATCCAAGGCTATCAAAGAGACTACGGGAGGCTGAGAGCTCAGAACCTTTTCCTGGGGTGCTAATTAATTCCCCACAGGGCTCTTTATTTGTGGTCAGTTGCAAGGAGAAAGGCTGCCTGCTTGGGGATAATCTTGCCTGTCTATGGCTGACTGGCTCTCCTTGATTCCATTTATCCTGACCCTAGGGCATCTGTGGGAGAAAATCAGGGTCCTACAGTTGTTTGTTTGTTTATTTATTTATTTTATTTCATTTTATTTTATTTTTGACAGAGTTTCACTCTTGTTGCCCAAGCTGGAGTGCAATGGCATGATCTCAGCTCACTGCAACCTCTGCCTCCCAGGTTCAAGCGATTCTCCTCCCTCAGCCTCCTGAGTAGCTGGGATTACAGGCACGTGCCACCACGCCTGACTAGATTTTTGTATTTTTAGTAGAGATGGGGTTTCATCATGTTGGCCAGGCTGGTCTCGAACTCCTGACCTCAGGTGATCTGCCCACCTCGTTCTCTCAAAGTGCTGGGATTACAGGCTTGAGCTGCCATGCCCGGGCACCTACAGGTTTTTCTTTTTTTTTTGCTGGGTTTTAGAGATCTTGTGGTTACTGGGAACCTAGAGACGGAAAGAATGAAAACTTGGCTTCTAGGCCCAGTTCTGCCAGTGAGCTTTGTGATTTTACAGGCAGGACCTGTAGGATCATCATCTGTCAAATGGAGATGATGGCATCTATTCATTATAGCTATGAGGCCTTGAGCATTTACTGTGGGCCAGGCACGGTGTGAGGTCTTCATAGGCACATGTCTGTTATTCCTCACAGTAACTCTTAGAGTCACAGGCAGTTATCACAGAGGTTAGAAAACTTGCTAAAGTCATGGAGCATGTATGTTCATAGAGCTGGGGTTGAAAACATCTTTAAAAATGACCATTTATCTTCTTCCTCTTGGCCCTATCTGACAAGGTTGTGAAAAACACATGAGGAAATATATGCATAAGCACTTTGAGATCTTGTCAAGTGCTGTTCAAAGTATTAATAGTAGTAGCATTATTTTCCTTCCTGACATCCCAATGATAACTAGAGTGAAATAGTGTCTAATTTCTTCAGTAAGCTTCGGGTCTCACAGGACACAAATGAAAGATTGGGCAGAACCTGACTGTCTTTTTGGTCACTGCTTAGAATTCTATTCAGGTGTGAGCCCTGAGTGTGCAGTGTCCACCTGCTGGAGTCCTGCACACAGAGTGTGCAGGCATCCTGGACAGCCTGCCCAAAGAGGAGCAACAGGAGGCTTCCAGGAAGGGAGGTGTCAAGAACCAGCTGCTGAGACCTAGTGGCTGATTCCTGTGAATTGCATGGATGAGCCAGATGCCCTTGTGGTGCTGGCAAGGAAATCTTAAGATCTTAAGAAGGAGAATGGGAGTTGCTGAAATAACAAACCGAAACAAAGACATAACCATGTAAGGTCAAAAGCACAGATTAAAAAAAGGTGACCACGTTTTAGCTCTTGGAAACAAAATGTTTAGAGAGAGGCAAATTGTTGGCAGACAGATTTGCTACGGAAGTCTTTTTAAATAGTGAAAGCCCTGCAAATACAGCATAATCCCAGCATCTGTGTGTATTTGGAATTTAGGCAATTATAGCCTCAAGAATTCAGAATCCATTTTACATGTGTGAGAGTAGAACACTTGAAAGAGTAAAAAGAGCTCCTTTTTGAGCAGCTCTTGTTCCAGGTTGTATTTCTCCTTTGTGTTCCCAATTGATGTCACAGTGCCTGATACTTAAAGATCCTCATGGCTGAGCACAGTGGCTCACACCTGTAATCCCAGTACTTTGGGAGGCCAAGATGGGCAGATCACCAGAGGTCAGGAGTTAGGGACCAGCCTGGCCAACATGATGAAACCCTGTCTTTACTAAAAATACAAAAATTAGCCAGGTGTGGTGGTGCATGCCTGTAGTCCCAGCTACACAGGAGGCTGAGGTGGGAGGATTGCTTGAGCCCGGGAGGTGGAAGTTGCAGTGAGTGGAGATTATGCCACTGCCCCTGAGCCTGTGTGACAGAACAAGACCCTGTCTCAAAAAAAAAAAAAAAAAAAAAAAAAAAAGGCAACAAATATTTTCATCATGCCCCAAAGTTACTGTGTGTTTCTTTGTAATGCGTCTTTCCAACCACTGTCACATCTCCAGATAACCACTGATCTGCTATCATTATCAATTAGTTTCCATGTTCTAGAATTTTATATAATCACATGTGTGTACTCTTTTTTAGTGTAGCCACTGTCACTTAGCTTAATGATTTTGATAATCTTCCATGTTACTGCATCTGTTAATGGTATTTCCCTTTTCATTGCTGAGTAGTAGTCCATATTATAGATGTACCACAACTTATTTATCTATTCACCTGTTGATAGAAATTTGTTTTTTCCCTCACTTTTTGCATAACTTTCCAAGTACAGTCACTATGAACATTCATGTACAAGTCTTTGTGGCAGCAGGTATCTTCATTTCTCTTAACTGTCATTCCAACTAGGAGTAGAATGCCTGGATCATATGGTATGTGTATGTTTACCTTTTTAGAAAACAGCCAAACTGTTTTTTAAAGTGGCCGCATCATTTTTCCTTTTCTCAAGCATTGTATGAGAGTTCCAGTTGCTTCACATTCTCACTAACACTTCGTATGGTCAGAGTGAGACTAGAGAAAGCATTTTTATATTTCTGCATGTTTAGGAATTTCTGAACAAATTTTTACTGGGAACTGGGTTAAAAGATAAGTGTTAGAGTTAGTGAGAGATTTACCTCTTGAAAGGAATGTGTTGTGTTCATGTATCAAGGGGTAATGAAACTCAAGGCCATAGAGACGTTCCAGGGGTTAGAAACTCAGAGAGGCTTATCTTATCCTCCCCTCGGAGATATTTATTTACATACCATGGGTATGAGACCTGCAGCCATTTGTCTCCTTATGGTGAGCGATTTGCTTCCATCCAAAGGCTAATTAAAGTCTTTCATCCAAAGACTAATCATCCCTCTTCTCTTCCTAAGGAGAATTTATTGACACTAGAGGAGCAAATGTTTCTCTCCCTCTCTTGGGAGGTGAGAAGGAAACCACGGTCTCTCTCCTATATAAGCTCCCAGATTCATAATTTTGGTGTTGCTCATCTGTATTACAAATCTCAATATGTGTAGGATGACATCTGGCTCTTCTCCTGCTGCCTGGGTGGAGGAGAATTGGATTAGAAGGGGGAACCAATATGGTTGTTCCCATGAGTAAGTCAATTCATCTGTCTTTGCTCTGGGAAATCTTATGTTTACTCTTAGGAAAACAGGAATAAATGTAGGTATTAAAAGCTTAAGAGTCAGTTTAAAAAGTGTTTTAGCCATTCTGATTCCTGTACTGTGTTATCTTTATTGTGGTTTTATTTTACATTTTCCGAATGTCTAATGGTCCTAAGCATCTTTTCATGTACTTATTGACCATTTGTATATCTTTCTTTAAAACATGCTCGAGTCTTCTGACAATTTTTATGATTTTTACATTGGGCTGTCTTTTGTTGAGTTGTTAGTGTTATTTATTGTATTCTGGATAGAGTTCTTTATGTATACGTGTTGTGAGTATTTTCTCCTGTTGCGTGGCTTGCCTTTCTTGTTTTCTTAAACAGTGTTTTTTGAAGAGTAAAAGTTCTGGATTTTAGTAAAATGCAATTTATCAGTTGTTTCTTTTATGGTTCATGCCTTTGTACTTTTTTCAGGAAACCATTGCCTACCTCAAGATTAAAAAAAAGTTCTGTACATTTTGTGTGTTAGGTGTTACGTGATCCACCTTGAGGTAACTTTTGAGTACATATGAAGTCAGGGTCATTCCTATTTTCATAGACTGCGTTGTTTCCTTTTCTTAGGTTGTCTTTGAAGCTTGGTGATGCTGGAAACCCCAGAAGTCTTGCTATAAGGTAGGTAGGACACCACTTTGGAGTATCGCAGTTTCAGCACTTCAGATTAGCTCTATAGAATTTATTCATTCCACATGTGCGAAGCAAGGGCTTGCTATATGCCCAAGCACTGTGACACATTGCATGCCACATCAACCTAATTAAACGGAAAAGTTGGTGCTGTGATATGATGGGATCCTATACTAATGCTTTCTTTCTAAAAGTTTCTACCAAAATACCCATAGTTCTTCCCTCTCCCCCACCCCCATGCCGCCTGCATTAGGGACTTAGAAAACTCCCAATCCTGAGAATGTAATATCCTTTTCTTCTGAGAAAAGAAGACAAAAGAAAAAGCTCTAAGGGCTGGGGCTCTGGTTTGAACTTATTTTCTATAGCTTCTTATAATGAATCACACTTACCATTTAACTACAGTGAAAAAGCCTCGTTACGTGTATTCCCCAGCAGACAATCAACAGAGGCCTACAGTTTTTTGGTGTTTAGGTATGAAAGGATGCATCTGTCAACAGAGACTTTAGCCAAGCAGTTAGGAACTGCTCCTGAGGTAGGGGGAGCAATTTGAAGGCTTTTTTTTTTTCTTATAAAAATACAGTGCTTCCCTTCCTATAAGACAAACTTGTTAGTGGAGATAAGTAGTTGTGTCTTTAACATTATTTGGAAAACCAGCAGGATTGTGCTAGGGCAGTCTTTCTTAAGCTTTGCTCTATGGGACACTTCTGCTCTGTAAAAATATTTATAAGATTTTATGAAAAGGGGATTCTGTGGTCAAATGTGTCTGGGAACGACTCTAAACCATGTCTTCCTCTTGGCAATTCACAGTGTAAATTTGTATGTTAAAGTTTCTGAGAAAAAATAATCTTAAGGAAGACTATTGCACTTTGTAACTTTGACTAACTCAGTGTTTCCTGTGTTTAATTTTGGAGAACCTTCTTCCTCAGAACACTTGTCTACATATCATGGGAGACTAGAGTTTCACTGATCATAATTTAGAAAATATATGTCATCATCTTTCAGAGCAACTTTACAAGTAAATAGAATCCCACAAGGTGACCAAACACACATGTCTGTTTGATCTAGAAATGGAGACTATTTTTGATCTGTAATTCCACTTTTTTCCAAAATGAAAAATAGCTTTATTATTATTATTGTTATTATTATTTATTCTGATGATAAAGGTATGTAGCAGAAACTGTCAGTACCCCGTGAATATCTACATGGTCCTTTCCATTTGAGAGCACTGTAGCCTACCTGCTGAACTTTCAACTCCCCGCCTCTCTTTGCCTAAAAGCTTTCTCTGGCCCACTGCCCCCAGTCCCTGGCCCAGCAGCCTTCAACCAATGACTGGAGGACACATACACACACCTCAGCTCCCTCCCCGTCAGGTGAGATAACTCAGCAGCATGTGCTGTGCTCTGGCTCCCAGGTTCCATCACGGCCATGAAGCCCTGCTTGTCCACATTGGAAACTGGCTTAATAATGTACCTCTTTTAGCTGCCTTCCCTTCCTCTGTCATTTCTTTTCTCTCCATTTTACGTATTTTGAATGACTAAACTCCCCTGAATATTTCTTATATTCACACCTGTGTCTTAGAGACTGCTTGCAAAGAAGCCAAATAGAGACAAGAAAAACTAATGAAAACAGAAAAATCAGAAAATATTGAGCTACAGAAAGAAGAAAATGAAAATCATCAATAATCTAAACACCATTTGTAATCACTACTAATGTTTTAATCTCTATCCTTCCAGACATTTTTTTTTAATGCAGTCACTTTTTTTTTTAAATGGAAATAAAATGATAATGACAAGTAAATTATGACTTTTTTCATGGCTGGAAAACAGTCCATTCCAAAAGAGTTAAGATTGGATTTGAAGCCCAGCTCTGACACTTACTCTCCAAGTGAGCTTATTCAAGCCCTTTGTGTCTTAGATTCCTCAGCTGTGAAGTTAGAATAAGGACATTATCTATTACATGGTGTTGAAGTGAAGATTAAACACAATACACATACATAACACAGAAGTTATTAAGAGAGCTATTACTATTATTTTAAACCACAATTTAGCAAATTCTTCATTGATGTCCATTTAAGTTTTTCTCAAATTTTTTGAATAATAAACACATAATCAAGTGTTGATTCTAAAAAAGGAAAAACAAAACAAAACAAACCCAAACTTTGTGTGTTTTTTCTTTCGTAGGAATTTGCACTGTCCACTTTGGGTGCTGCCCTGTCATTTGCTCTTTTTCCATCCATCCAGGGAAGGCTCTGCAGCAAAAGTGAAGCCTTTCCCCAAGCCCGTTCTGCCGCCTGACAAAAGAGGGCGCCATTGTACTGTTCATAGACGATGCCTTGCGTCAGTAAACGTGGGAAAAGTTCTTTAGGAGTAATGCTGTTTTTATAACCATTTTCAGATTCATCCTTACCAATTACAACAAGTTGTCCATCCAGAGTTGGTTTAGTTTGCGCCGAGTCGAGATCATTTCCAACAATTCAATCCAAGCAGTCTTTAACCCAACTGGCGTATATGCTCCCTCTGGTTACTCCTACCGCTGCCAACGCGTGGGCAGCCTGCAGCAGGACCAGGCCCTCTTGCTGCCCAGCGACACGGATGATGGGTCGAGCCTGTGGGAGGTCACTTTTATTGATTTCCAGGTAATAAACTAAAACCTATGCTCAATGCACCTGCGTTTTTGGTACCAAAAGAGCTCAGTGTTTGTTTAAAAACACCTGAAACAAACCTAGATGCTTAAGGAAAAGAGAAGTAGATGCCTTTAAAAGAATATTGGTGGTTTTTTTCCTTTGTCTTTTAAGGTATGAAGTAGAATAGGATAGAGAATTTTATCTCCCTGTGTCCCCCACCTCCTACCCAGGGCTTGCTTTTACATTCAGCTTTATCCAGCACGAATAATTATCAGTGAGGAATGCCAGCCATCTAAGCCCTAGTGAAGCTGTGGGTGAAGCCAGGGACTGACACTTCCTGGACTGAGAGGCCCTTCTGGGGAGAGGCATTGGCGGACAATTATTTTATTTCCTTCAGGGAGTGGCGCAGTGATCTTATCAGGGAAGATAAGAAGTACATCGGCAGTGTGAGTGACAGCTTTGGCAGTTAGTAGGAAGGGACTCAGCGGGGAGTCAAAAATATCCCAAAGATCTTGAAAGTATTTGGAGTAAGGAATGGGGTGTAAGAGATTCCTTTTCACCACCAGAATCTTAGGCTGAGAGACATTCTGTCAAGTTCCTCTATCCTGTTTACCTGTGAATGAAGCTTAGCTTGTTCCTACCACTCCCTGAAATAGTAGGCAGGGCTTTGCATGTACCTCTTATGGGCACATTCCAACCTTTTCCAAATATATGTGGGCATTGGCATATATGCATATTCTTCCCTTTCATCCTTCCCAAGCTTAGAGAAGTGTCGTGTGGATGAAAGGCAGTTTGGGGTAGGGAAGGAGCTCACATTTTGGAGTCAGACAGACCTGGTTTCAAATTACTGCTCAGCCACCAGGGCAAGTTACTTAACCTCTCTCAATTTCTCACCTATCTTTATTAATGTAAAGAATACGTGGCCTAAGATATGTGGAAACACTCAGGAGTGTGCCAGGCGTGGATTAACAATAATTGCTACCTGTGAGTGACCCGTGTGTGTTGGTACTGTGGTCGTTACTTTATGTGCTTTGTCTTCAGAACTTACCATAATGCTGCAAGGTGGTTTTATGAATGAGGTGACTGAATCTCCGATAATCACATAATTTTTCTAAGGAGTATAACTGGTAAACGGTAGAGGCAGAACTCAAATTCTGGACAGTTTGGTTCCAAGGATTCTTTTGTGTGTGTGTGTGTGTGTGTGTGTGTGTGTATAAAATGTTTATAAATATTATTTATATTATGTATGTGTATGTCTATACATGTGTGTATGCATGTGTGTATGTATACATATAGAGGAATGGCAGTGAGGATATAATGACAACAAGGAATATTTTACATATAATTTCGCCTATTTAGACCGGGGGAATTGATTGATTTATACCTCTACCTTGTTCCAGAAATGACTTAGTTGACTTATGGAAATACTACTTATGAAAAATTACTTTCAAAAATAGGCAAATCACTTCACATCCATTAGGATGGCTATTATAAACAACAACAAGCAAACAGAAAATAACAAGTGTTGGCAAGGACAGGGAGAAGTTGGAACTCTTGTGCATTGCTGTTGGGAATGTAAAATGGTGTGGATGCTGCGGCAAATAGTATGGAGTTTCCTCAAGAAGTTAAACATACAATTATCAAGGGATCCAGCAACTCTGCTTCTGGCTATATACCCCAAATAATTGAAAACAGGGACTTGAACAGCTTTCACCTGTGTTTATACCTACGTTCATGGCAGCATTATTCACAATAACCAAAAGGTGCAAGCAACCCAAATGTCTATCAATGGATGAATGGATCAACAAATCTAGTGTATATGTACAATGGAATATTATTCAGCATTAAAAATGAAGAAAATTTGGGGATTGGGCGTGGTGGCTCATGCCTTTAAGCCCAGCACTTAGGGAGGCTGAGGCAGGAGGATCACTCTTGAGCCCAGGAGTTTGAGACCAGCCTAGGCAACATAGTGAGACCCCCATCTCTACAAACAATTTTTAAAAAAGAAATTAGCTGGGGTCGTAGTGGTGTCACCTGTAGTCCCAGCTACTTGGGAGGCTGAGGTGGGAGGATTGCTTGAGCCCAGGAGGTCGAGGCTTCAGTGAGCCAAGACTGTACCACTGCACTCCAGCCTGAGTGACAGATGTCTCAAAAAAAATTAAATTTAAAAAGAGGAAGGAAATTTGGATACATGCTACAACATGAATGAATGTTGAAGACATAATGCTAAGTGGAATAAGCCAGCCACAACAGGACAAATATTGCATCATTTCACTTATATGAGGTACTTACAGTTGTCAAACCCCGAGATGGAAAGGTAGAATAGTAGTTACCAGGGACTGAAGGGAGGAGGGAATGGGCAGTTAGTGTTTAATGGGAGTAATGTTTCAGTATTGCAAGATGTGAAAGCATTCTGGAGATGGATGGCGGCAATGGTTGCACAACAATGTGAATGTACTTAATATCCCTGAACTGTATACACTTAAAATGGTTAGATGATAAATTTTATATCATATATGTTTTATAATAAAAAAACAAAAAATTTAGCAAAGACTTGGGGGTAGAGAAACACAAAGGAAGAAAATGTCAGTTAGAGCCACCAGTGAGGTTAATATACAAAACCACGAGACCATCTGTCTGCACTGGCTGGAGGCGGCACAAGAATTTGGCTCTGAAGTTCTGGAGCAGCCAGTATGAGAAACACTCAGTTACATGTTCACAGGCTCCCTAAGACTACTGCCAATGTGCTTGGGATAAGCACATTCATCCCTGGTGGTGTGAGATGTATACATCCTCATCAGCATTCTTATTATAAACACAGCTTTCAGGGGGACAGATGGGCCTTGTTGAAACCCCCTTCATGTGAAGAGATGGCAGAACACAAGCTCAGTCCAGGGGAGAGGAGGTGATGGTGATGGTGGCTGAGGTATGTGTACAAAAGGCTGCTGTCCACATACACAGCTCTGCTGGCCTGGCTTATGGTGGGAATAGAGCATAGAGCAATGTGGCCGGTGCGGCAAACTCGAGTACTTGGGTAACTGGTGAGTTGGGCTGGGACCATGGCAAAGGGTAGCCTTCATCACAATGAGCATTTTACAAATTCAACTGCAGCTGATTTTTGCTTTGTAGGAATGCAGGGCTGGTGTTGCTGGATCTTTTCAATAGAAGCTAGAATGGTAGATTCTCACAGGAAATTTTCAGGATATTCCGAGTACTGGGTCAAACAAAACACACCTGTGGGCTAGAAACAGCATGTCTGTATAACCTCTAGTCCAGGAAATGGGTGGACAATGTATCCTTCAGGCATTCTCCACACTTACTGTTCTCAAACAAGTCTTGTTAAGAATTAAGTGGCAGTTGGCTGGGCGTGGTGGCTCACGCCTGTAATCCCAGCACTTTAGGAGGCCGAGATGGGTGGATCACCTGAGGTCAGGAGTTTGAGACTAGCCTGGCCAACATGGTGAAACCCTGTCTCTACTAAAAATACAAAAATTAGCAGGGCATGGTGGCAAGTGCCTGTAATCCCAGCTACTTGGGAGGCTGAGGCAGGAGAATCGCTTGAACCCTGGAGGTCGAGGTTGCAGTGAGCTGAAATCCTGTCATTGCACTCCAGCCTGGGCGACAAGAGCAAAACTCCATCTCAAGAAAGAAAAAAAAAAAAAAGAATTAAGTGTCAGTCAACCTCAGGACGTTCTCCTTGGCTGGAGTTGCAGAATCAAGTGAGGTCCTCTTTTGTCATGGAGGAGCTCGACTCTTCAGGCACCAGTCTCAAGAGAAGGTCACTTTGTCTCTTTATAGGAGGTGTGGGGCAGGGATCCCCGAAGCCAGGACAAGAGTCTCCTTCAGGATCTGCTTTGGGTTCAATCGAGTTGGGCGAGCAAGGCCCCTTGTGTCTATGGAGTGATGGGCGGCCTCAATAATTTTAGCATGGGACAATGCCAAAGTGCTCACTTAAGCCATCAAAGTGAATTTTCAGTAAAGCACTCATGGATAGTTCAGTTGTCTGATGTACTCTTTAAAAACTGAGTAGGTGTCTGAATGAGGAAATGCTGTGTAGGGTCATACTTTTAAAGCCGGCTGGACAGGGAGCTGTCTTCCACAAGCGATGGCTCTTGCTTTAAAGTAATTGCTCTATAGTCCTGTTTCATTTTGACAGTATTAGATATCAGTGCCAGTTCTCAATTTGAACCTCTCTTCCTTTCAAGTAATTATACCATTTCATCTGCACACAATGGAAGCTTTACTTTCTATTTGGTTGGTGCAAAAGTGATTGCGGTTTTTGCCATTAAACGTAATGGGTAGGATGCAAGGAGGGGCTGGTATCCACCTCTTCCAAAAATGGGACAAAGCCTGTATGATAAAACCAATAGAGAGAGAGAGAGAGGGTAGGGAGGAGGAAGAGACAGAACCCACCAGGAGCTATGGAGTATGAGTCTGACGCCCACTGCCCAGGTTTCAATTACACCATCACAGCATTTACTGTTATGTGACTCTGGGCAAGTTACTTAATTTTTCTGTGCCTCAGTTTCCTCATCCATAAAGTAGGAATAAAATAGTAACTTACTCATAGGCTCTTTGCCTACTAAACAAGGTAGTATATGGTGCACAAAAACCTTCAATACGTGTTAGCTTTTATGATTATTATTTATGTTTTACCTCATTAAGGATCATGACATCCCCCTTCAAAGACTCTTCCTCATTCCTGTCAATAGAATCAAAGGCAGAGGAACGGAGACTTAAAATCTTTGTGAAACTTATACTACCCTTATAAAATTTTGAGTGTGCTTTGAATTTTAGAGACACCACAGCAGTTGTGGTTTTTACATGAACTGGAATATTTCTAAGGATCAGATTAAAAGAACTTTTATCTCAGAGCCTTGAAATCAAGGTTTTATTTCAGAGTCTTGAATTTCATGAGCCTCCTAGTTATGACATCCATGCATCCCAGAATTTCTGGGTCAGTCTTGTTTTAAGATTGAGTTGCATTGTCCCCATAAGCACAATCACATTTGTCAAATTGTGTGGTTAAATTATTCAGCAAATATGGTGATAGTATATTAAATTTGGCTACCTAGGGGCCAGAACTGCCAGCCCAACTGGGAAGTAGATCCTAGGAGAGAAGGGATGTATCACTTCAGCTCCTTCCTTTCTCCTGCAGATCCAAGGTTTTGCCATCAAGGGGGGACGATTTACCAAAGCCCAAGACTGCGCCTCCTCCTTCTCGCCAGCTTTTCTGATCGGCCTGGCAATGTCCCTGATCCTGCTGCTGGTGTTGGCCTATGCCCTGCACATGCTCATCTACCTGCGGTATCTGGACCAACAATATGATCTCATCGCCTCTCCTGCCCACTTCTCGCAGCTGAAAGCTCGAGACACAGCCGAAGAGAAGGAGCTGCTGAGGAGCCAGGGGGCTGAATGCTATAAACTGAGAAGCCAACAGATCAGCAAAATCTATGTTTAGCAGCACAGGCTGGCCCCCACCATGTCCACAGTGGGCTCCGAAAGTTGTCTCTGTTCTGTGCTATTTGACTTGTGAATTACAGATTTTCACCAAATGGCTTGATTACAAAAAAAAAGAAAAAACACAAAAAGGAAATAGATAATGAATTCTTTTTGAACCATCCACTGGCCTACTTAGGTAGACTTGGGGCAATCAAAAAAGGCATCTCAGGGATCCCACAGAGACAAATATGACTGTTAGTTGCCTCAAAGTACCCTGAAAGCAAAGGGGTATTTCAAGTACGGAAAAAGAGAGAGAGAGAAGAAGAAGGAGGAGGAGGAGGAGGAGGAGAAGGAGAAGGAGGAGCAGGAGGAAGAGGAGGAGGAGGAGGAAAGGGAGGGAGGGAGGGAGAGGGAGAGAGAGAGAAAGATTGGCAACACAGAGAAGGGAAAACACACTTGGTCCTCCTTGCCTGTGCCAGTTTGGATGTGACAATTATAGAAATAATAAACCAAGATTATCTGGAAGTTCATAATTTAAACTATTTTGTAACATAATTTGCATTTCTAGATATTATGTCCCAATTTTGTTTTAAAAACAGTCTTTTTCTCTTTCATAGAAATGTTGAGGGAGGACTCAACATGTGGCAGAGCACTTTATTTAAGGACCTTCTTGTCCTTTACTGTGCTGTTCAGAAGCAGTACAGCTCCATCTGTGAAGTAGGGGTAATAGTCATGGCCATATTTTACCTTTCCATTTGGGAAGGGGCCAGGGTTGTCTCACTTGTCTGATTTAGACCTCCATGAGCTCTCATAGGTCCACTTGGAATAAACAGTAGAGCTAAGCAATAACAGTGTGCTTGCTATGCAAACACAGCTTTGAGACATTCCCCTGATCTTCCTTCCAATGAGATAGTGCCCTCTAAATGCTTCCTGAATAGAAATTCTGGAGCCACCACTGATGTTCTTACCATTGCTGTCTTTCATATGCATTCCTCATCATCCTTTTCAGCTCTTGGCAGATACTGAAGATTGATTCAACCTTCATCCTCACCAAAGCGTCTCTAATAATATACCTTCTGTCTTAAAGAGATCTTAAACATAAAGATGACATTGCATTTTCCCAGGTAGGGTTTGGTACAGGACCTAGGTTCTACTAAGAAGATACTCCTACACAAAACTTAGAATGCAGACAGGAAACATGTGCAGTGGAGGGTCACACACAGAGCAAGAAAATCTTCTGGGCAGCTGTCACGATGAGTCTGCTGTCTAGTCCCATCCTAGGTGGTAAGCAGTAGATGATAATGACAGTTTTCTGATGGGACAGTCTCATGTTGAGCATTTATTTTGGCTGCAATTTTCTTGGTTATGAATGTAGGTTTGGTTCTGGCCCTCTCAGAATTCTGTAAGATCCCATACTTTATAGTAAATTTCTTTCTGTTTTAATAACAGAGTTGATTCTGTAGTCTGCAGTGAAGAATCCTGATTTATGTAGTTGTTAGTACCAAGAGGATTGCAGGGAACAGACTCTCAAGAAAATGCAAATCTATGATTGATTATCCAACTCCATTTGGCTTTAAACCAGTGGAAACTGTCAGCCTTAGAGAATGGTATTCAATAATAAAACAGATTTTTATTGTGGTTCCCTTGAGCATCCACTGGTGTTATAAGTGGTTGTTTGCTAGGTTACATGTACGTGAAGGGTAAACATAATGTATTGCTCAAACTAGGACACTTTTGAAAGAGAAAACGAGTATAGTTAACAATTCTCAGATAGCAGACATAAATAGGATGGTGCCAAGCAAACTGGGATAGATAGTCACCATGGGTATGGATGATATGCTGCAGGTTAGACTGGCTCTTTCTAACTGTGCCCAGTGGCTTACAGTCTGGGAAGTTTCTATGACTCATCTAAAGAGATTCCTTATATCTTGTCAAAGGGCCGGCGTGGTGGAAAATCAGACACAGGTCAGATCCTGCAAACTGCTTACCTGCATTGCAGGTGAAATTCATAGCTTTGCTGGATCTCTTATATGAACACAAGCATAATGATCACAAAACAGAAGAACGCTGACAGGCTAAGAGCAGTGGCTCATGCCTGTATCCTCAGCACTTTGGGAAGCCAAGGCAGGAGGATCGCTTGATGCCAGGAGTTCAAGACCAGATTGAGCAACATAGTGAGACCCTGTCTATTCAAAAAAAATTCTAAAAAGTTAGGTAAGGTTGCTGGCATGCACCTATAGTTCTAGCTACTTAGGAGGCTAAAGCAGGAGCATTGCTTGAGCCCAGGAGTTTGAGGTTACGGTGGGCTATGATCATATCACTGCATTCCAGTCTGAGTGACAGAGTGAGACCTTGTCTCTAGAAATAATAAAATAAAATAGGCCAGACACAGTGGCTTATGCCTGTAATCCCAGTATTTTGGGAGGCTGAGGCAGGAGGATCACTTTTGCCCAGGAGTTCGAGATCAGCCTGGGCAACACAGCAAGATCCTGTCTCTACAAACAACAACAACAAAATTAGCTGGGCTTGGTGGCATAAGCGGTAGTCCTAGCTACTCAGGAGGCTGAGGCTGGAGGATCACTTGAGTTCAGAAATTTGAGGCTGTGGTAAGCTACGATTGTGCCACTGCATTCCAGCCTGAGTGACAGAGTAAGACCCTGTCTCAAAAATAAAATAAAATTTAAAATAAAAAAAGAGGGGAACGTTGAGAATAGAATAGTGACTTTTGGGAGGATTTAACTTTTTAAAAATACTGAACTCCCAAATTCCACTAATTTTTTTCTTGTTAGCAGAAGCAACCCCTGTGAGACAATGCTATTCCTGCCTTGCTTGAAGACACTGTGATGACCTCACCAGAAATAGTTGTCTTGCCAGGGGGTGTCAATTTTCCTCATTGCCTTTAGGCACTTAGAGTCACATTCTGGCATATACCAGGGAACCAATTGTAAAGTCAAATCTGTGATAATCAAATTGCAAAAATAGTTTTGCTAACTTACGCCACAAAAGATTTGGGAGATTATGTATGGTAATGGATCTGGAGTTGCCAGCCCAGGGAATGAGCTGTATAATTTTAGACTGGATGAATTTTTTGGATATGGGTTCTCTCACCAGGGATTTTGGATTAAATGTGCTGGTTTGAGCGGCTGGAAGTGTTCCTAACAGTTTGCTCTGTTTGTTGTTTAAAACCTAGATTCAACAGTGGCACACACTAAATGAAGTAGAGGGATCAGTCATTTCTTAGTATTAGATAGAGAAAGAAGAGAAGTGCAGTAACTTAAATGATTGGGATGTAGGAATGGATTTATCATGCATGAACAGCTCTCCCTCCCCATAACTATTTTTCTCTGTAAAGGCCCGGAGGACACTCCCTTTGTCATAGCACTGAGGAACACATTGGGAACGTGGCATCAGCACTTTTGAAAAGTGCTCTGGTGGCTGTCCTCTGTAGGCTATGGGTGGAGGTAGATATTACCTTTGAAACAGAATGCTTAGTTTCCATAGGGATGCTGAGACACTGGAGTGGCAGAGGGTGAGTAGCAGCCCAGTAACCTTAAAAGGCTGATGGGCAGGAGTGTTAATCAGATTAGATTAACTTTGTTAATGGTAAATTGGTCTTTGACATCTGTGGCTGCACAATCCACTGATGTACCCTTTGATCCGCATAATAACAGTGTTGATGATAGAATCTAGATCTGGTATAAAAAGCCTTACTCGAACCATCATGGTAGATTCCCAAAGCCGAGTCTGCTCATAACTTGAATCTCTTCAGTGAAAAAGAGACATCTTAAGACATCTTTATGTCTGATGTTGAGCATTATTATGAACAATTGTATGCTTATCCATTAGGTCTTCATCTTTTTGTATCACTTCTGGTATGTTCCGATCTTCAGGTAAAGAACCTACACTATTCATATGAATACCTTTACTATAAACCCATTAGATATGTGATTATTGCTCAGTAATTGTTGGTGCTGCAGAAACATAGCCTAAGAGCTGTCTCCTTGGAGATCTGTAACAAAATGGCAAAAAAAGTGATGTTTGACACAAGTTGGAGTTGAAGGAAAGATGAAAGCATGGCAGAAGGAAACACATATGCAAAGTCTAGGCTCTGTCATGTGTGGAGAACTATGAACACATGTGTGTGGGTAGGTAGATAGAATGTGTTTAGAGGAGTTAAGAAGGAGAAGCTGGAGATGAAGAGAGAGACCAGATCGTTGTGTTCACCTCAAGACTTAGAATCTTGACTTGAGGTAATTGAGAGGCCCTTAAGAAGATTTTGGAGGATTTCAAGCAAGACGATTACATGGTGTGGAAGTGTGAATAGAATAGGGAGAGAAGTGCTGATTAGGAGATTGTTGCAATAGCTTAGGCAAAAAATATTAGGACCTGAACTAACACAGTGGGATGGAAGGTAGAATCTAAAAGAGGTGTTAGGAGGTTGGCAACCAATTAGCAAATCACAAATGAATGGTAGGTGTCTGATTTGGGGTTGTGAGGATGGTGGTGTCAAGCTCTGCAATCAGTGAGAAAACAGGTGAGGGTGGGAGTGGGAGGCCCCTGGAGTCTGACAGTAGAAGTCCAAGTAGGCAGTTGGTTCTGTGGATCAGGGGAAAAATAGAGAGATCTGGACCAGAAACAGAAATTTAGAAATGTAGCAGATGCTGTCAGTATTCCACCCATATTGCTTTGGTAGTTACCATTTTGGTGTATTCTGGCACATCTTTCCATTGTCAACAACTGTCCTCAGGGGCTTCTCTACCTATGGTCACAACAGGCTGGAAGGGGTAAGGAATTAATGCTTTCTGGGAGTAGCCCTCAAAAAATGACTCTCAGGGATTGTGTGCAAATGCTGCAGCTCATTTGCCCTTTGCCTGGGATAACTCTAGAGTATGTTTTACGCTGTTCCCTGGAGCTTCCCAGCAGGACTAAGCTCTTTTCGCCCATTGTGGAATCTTGCTTAATAATGTTTACTTTATGGGCTCCTTTCTCTTCCCTGTCTCCCTTCCCCACTCCCCTGATGGCGTTTCCAGGCATCACTGCCAAAACAAATGATTTGCATCTACATCCCTGTTTCAGGATATACTTCTGGGGAAAACCAAACTAAGACAGGTAGTAATGGGCATATGGGGAAAGTTGAAAACTAGGTGGTAGTGAAGAAATAAATGAGATCACCTGAGAAGAAAGGATAGGTTGATAACAGACCCCTGGGGAACACTATCATTTATGGAGTAGGACTAGAAAGACAAATCTGTAGATTTAGAGTAGGAGAAATCAGAGAGGAAGAGAGCAAACCAAGAAAGAGTAGTGTCCCAGAAATCAAAGGAAAACAGGATTTCAAGATGAAGGAAGTAGTCAACCATGTCAAATGCTGGAGAGAGATCAAGTGAGAAAAGAACTAAGGAGTGTTTATTTCCTGCATTTGCCCAGTAGGAAGTCCTTGGTGAACATCGCACTCCATGGAAAAGAGGGAGTAGAGGGAGCTCAGGATATTTATCCCTTGGGGCTCTCCCAGAGGGAATGCTTTCGACTGGGTTTCGACTGGGTTTCATCCCTTCTCTGACGTTCACTGTTCCTTTCAAGACAGCCCCCTCCACATTCTCTCCTTCTGCCTTTCAGTAACTTCTTCCCTTGTTGCTTTCGACTCAGGGATGGTTACTCCATTGCTACTAGCCCCAGGTCACTACACTATCCCTTGTGGTTCTCCTACACCCTACTGGGACCCTTATAAAAGGTTCTTGTTTAACTAAACCCCACTTAAATTATCCTAATTTGAGGGTGCCATCTGTTTCCTGTTGGAAACAGACTTACACAGGGGTTTAGACAAACTAAAATTTATTTGTTGCTTTGTTTTACATCTAGCAGTTTTAGAGTTTTTCGGAAAGGATTTAAGGCAACCATTTTAATAAGATTTTAATAAGATGGAAGAAACTTGAGCATATTGTAGGGTAAGGCATTAGCGATGAGGTGTTTGTTTTGCCTGCTGCAACATTATGAATAATGCGGTTCACATGTGTAATACACTCCCACAGAAATGGCCACACGTTGTTACCCTGTATCCCAATTTTCGGGCTTTACAGCATTCTGTTCCTTTGAGATCCCTGATGCATAAATGTCCATGGGTAGCTGAGATAGGCCGTGGGCTACGGACAATTCCCAGATAGCAAACTAGAGCTTTCTCACTCAAAAAAGCATTGCGGAATATGAGAGTAATATTACAGAGCAGCTCTGGAATACTCTTTAATTTATATAAACAGTGTAAGAAATCAGGGCTAACAAGCCACATGGTGTTACACCCCACCAGGCTGACTGCCTCTGCAGTTGGGAGCCCCTGCGCTGGTTGGAGGAACCGGGGAATAGGGAAAGGTTAAACAAATATATACTAGAGAGGGAAGAAAATTGGTGGAGCTAGGTCCTCAGAGGAACCAGAGTGTTACAGGATCCCCTTCTTGGGGGCGGGTGAGGAACAGCCACTTGCTCTTCCTCAGAGGAGACACCAAAGGGACACAATTTTCTAGGCAGGATACTGAGCAGCTGTCCTTCTGCCTGTGTCCCTGCCTGTGCCTTCCATGCCTTCACACCTCAAGGTCATGATTAATGAAATGAATCGACCCACATTTCTGTGTAACTCATTGAGATGACTTGCCTTTATTTCAGATTTCTTTCAGTGCGATAGAACTTGTAATGTTTCTATGTGATGCTGTTAGCTCCTGAGATCAACATTTTATAAGACCCAAATGGTCCAGAGCAAAACCTCTAGTTCCAAAGAATTGGAATTTAAAATGTGGTTTGAATCTTCTGAAATTTTTATTAAGGAAAAATAGGGCAAATGTAGGTGATCAAATTAGTTGTTATATTTGTAACACATGTAACTCTGATGCTGGCTACCCGATGTCCCCAAATCCTCTGACCTTCTGCGTCAACCTTTAGTTTACTCTCCTATAAAGTGGCTTGAGCCCCTTTCGTGTGAGAAGTAAGTCTGCTCCCCATCGTAGCTGGGCATCGGCAGGAGGGTGGACCGGGTGTGCGTGGCAGTGTCTCACATTCTCACTGTGCCTTCTGGTTCTGATTTCCTGCCTCTGGTGGTTCTCAGTTACTTTGCTGGTGGCTTCACCTTCTCCCCTGGCTCTCAGTTATGAGAGCAGCTGCATGATGTTGGCATGAGTACCACAGATTTTCCTAAAAGTTGGGGAATTGATAGGATAATTACGGCCTGAGGCAGGAAATCATTCCCAGTTCTCTTTTCGTGGACATTTAATGCGAATCCCTCTCACAGAGAATTTCTCACTGGCCATGCTTGTCTCTTGGCCCTGAACTTTCACCCTCTTGAGGATCTCTCTTTTTCTTCCCCCAAATTCTTTATGCATCCCCCAGTCTCAGAGACCTAAAAACCTTCTCTTCCCAGCCCACCATCAGAGGCTTCCAAATCTTCTTTCTTTATCATGTCGAATGCTTTGATTCTTCTTTATTGGAACTCTGTTATGTAGGTTGAATTCTAGGAATCTCACCTTTCACAACCAACATGCTCGGTATGGCATTGTTCTTAAAGAGAAGAGCCTTTCTCCATCATAAGAAGATTTTTTTTTTTTTTTTTTTTTGCCACCTAGCTCGAACTGCAGCATAACAACTCTTCATGTATTAACCCCCTTCCCTTCTCTCCATCCATCCATCCTGTTTTAGATCTGAGATAAAAATGGTTTTACAATGTTAAAAAATAAAATACGTCTAAAGTATCTATAATTTAGGTCATGAAAGATACATATTATTTCTTCAGTGTAAAAGTTGTCACAGAAAAACTTAGAAATGTGAAGAATTTTTTTTTTGTAAAATACTTGGCTGTAGAATGCATATTATTGCAGTTTTTGGTTAAGGAGCTAAATTTTATTTCCAAGAATTTTAAAGTGATAAAGTGTTTCCCAAAATGTTCATCTTTAGCCAGCAATGACATCAATTCTGAGCAAAACCCATCTCTGTCTTAAAATTTTGTTGTCACATTTATGTGTGACATTGAACTTAGAAACCTACTCAATGTCTCAATGTTCTCCTCAAACAAGGCACTTTCCATTTCCACTTCAATGAATCATTCCAATAAGATCTGAGACTTTCTTTACATGTTAGTAATTTCCCTGCTCTTTGGGAAGGTCCAGGGTCCAGAAAAATGCACTGATGAAGATTTTGATGTTCTAGCCTCTTTCTTGAGCTCCTTGTACCCTCAGCTGCGTCCCTCTTCTTGTTGAGGATGTGCATATTCTGAGACTGAACCTGATTTTCCAGGACAGCCCTTCTTCTTAGAGTGGTATTTTTGTAATACAAACTACAATGAAGACTACATTGGCGGAATTCACTTCATGTTTAAATGCCTGAGGTCAGAACTCAGGACTTGTTTTCTTCGTTCCTCTGTAGTTTGCATCTATTTCATCCTACAGTTGCAAAAGGGTCATTTGATTTGTTTTCTGGGGTATCAGCTCTGAACTGACCTCAAGTGCAGCTAGAGCTCTGCAGGGCCAGATGCAGATTTTGAAGCATAGATTATTTTCCTTCCTATAGAAGGCCCTCTCTAGGAGAATGAATATGAAATTATGAGTATAAACTAGGTATGAAGGTGATTCTCTGTTAAGAAAGAGAAACAAATCACAACTAGTTACAAATTTTGAAAGTTGACTGTATTCAAAATAATTTTGAAAGTTGACTGACTGTGTTCAAAATAGCTTATTTTCAAGACTTTTCCAAAAAGATCATAATGCTAGGGACCCTTCCAGGGCCATGGAAGGAGCCTGTATAAATGTGTGTGTGTGTGTGTGTGTGTGTGTGTGCATTATTTTTTATATCAACTTTTATTTTAGATTCAGAGAGTACATGTGCAGGTTTGTTACATGGGTAAATTGCGTGTTGTGGGGTTTGATGTATGAATGATCCCGTCACCCAGGTAGTGAGCATAATGCATAGTACCTGATAGTCTTCGAACCCTCACTCCCCTCCCCTGCAGTAGTCGCCACTGTCTATTGTTCTCATCTTTGTGTCCTTGTTTAGCTCCCACTTATAAGTGAGAACATGTGGTATTTGGTTTTTGGTTCCTGCATGAATTCCTTCAGGATAATGCTGTCCAGCTGCATCCATGTTGCTGCAAAGGATGTGGCTTCATTCTTTTGTATGGCTGTGTAGTATCCCATGGTGTATATGTACCACATTTTCTTTATTCAGTTCACCACTGATAGACACCTAGGTTGATTCCACGTTTTTGCTATTGTGATAGTGTTGTGATGAATATACAAGTACAGGTGTCTTTTTGGTAGAACAATTTATTTTCCATTGGGTATATGCCCATTTGCTGGGCCAAATGATAGTTCAACTCTTAGTTCTTTGAGAAATCTCCAAATTGCTTTCCACAATGGCTGAACTATATATATTAATTTTGGAATAGAGATTTAACATTATACACAATTGTAGTAGCTGGTTCAATAGTCTCTGTGAACCTATCTTCACGTCTTACACTAGAATTTGATGTCTGCAGTGCAGGCCTTTTGGAAGGGAGGGAGGGGATGTAAAGTGGGGGAGGGCAAGGACATCCTGTGCATAGTAGGATATTTAGCAGCATCCTTGACCTCTACCACTAGATACCCAATACCTAGGAGCATCCCCTCCTCCAGTTGTGATGAACAAAAATGTTCTCAGGCACTGCAAATGTCCTCTGGGAGACAAAAACCACTCCCAGTTGGGAACCACTGACATAAGTCCTTTGCCTGTGGATTCACAGCTGTGAGGACCCTAAAGTGGCTATGTGGCAGTCTCAACTTCCAGTTGAATGGAATTGTTGTTTTGTCTCTTGGTGGAAGCATTCCTCTTTCTTTGTAACTAAGAAATCAAAACCAGCCAAGCCAAAAGTTGCAAGTATGGGAAGCAAAACCTTTGCTAGTGAATCATCAGGGTATTAGTGAGAGGGTTACTTCTATTTCCATCCCTTAAGTCTCAGATTCATGAAGCCTGGTTATGGGAGTCAGGTTGCTATAACTTTTGGCCAGTTCTACTTACAATCTCATTTCTTCTCCTGCTAAATATTATAGATCACTTACAAACTTACAATTTAGCAAGGATCTTTTGTTTGTAAAATTAAGACAACCCCTCCCCCACCTCTTCCAGCTCACCTATGTAAAGAAAAATTAGTCTCAGGGTATCTCATGGATCTCAAGGTCTGGATCCCAAGACCCAGCTAGGTCTTCTTGAATGACTGGATGTGGATTTGGAATACAGTCTGGAATGAAGGGTGCTACTTTCTCTGCCTTGGTGTCTTCCCATCTATTTCTCTTTGGCATAAGATCTCTCATGGCTTTTGCATGTTTGCTTCCTCTCTTCAGCTCTCTGTTAGGAACAGGTCCCCAAATCTGGCCATAAACAGGCCCCAAAACTGGCCATAAACAAAATCTCTGCAGCACTGTGACATGCTCATGATGGCTATGACGCCCATGCTGAAGGTTGTTGGTTTACCAGAATGAGGGCAAGGAACACCTGGCCCACCCAGGACGGAAAACTGCTTAAGGTGTTCCTGAACCACAAACAATAGCATGAGGGATCTGTGCCTTAAGGACATGTTCCTGCTGCAGATAACTATCCAGAGCCCATCCCTTTGTTTCCTGTTTTAGTTAATCTATGATTTATAGAAACAATGCTTATCACTGGCTTGCTGTCAATAAATATGTGGGTAAAACTCTGTTCGTGGCTCTCAGCTCTGAAGGCTGTCAGCCCCCTGATTCCCACTCTGTACTCTATATTTCCATGTGTGTGTCTTTAATTCCTCTAGTGCCGCTGGGTTAGGGTCTCCACGACCTAGCTGGTCTGGGCAGCTCTCTGCCTGCACATGGGCTCATTGTGCTCATTCTAAAATGGCAGCCTTAGTCTCTGCAGGGCCTTCCAGCTCACCTCCCACAAATCCAAATTCCCACTCAGAGGGAATCCCATTGGCCCACTGTGGTCAGTCAGGTGTGCCTGAGCAGTGATTGGCAAGGTCAATAAAAATGCCCTCATCTTGGCATTGGATATTCCTCTTTTATAAGAACCAGAAGGCTGTATTGCTTTTCTTCATGTCTACTGTTGGCAGAAGCCACATTGTTGAGTTTCTGGAACTTCTTTTCTACCCAGTCACCAGTAGAGTTTTACCTTTGCTGTCTAGTGGCCAATCAGCTTCTGTGCCTTCCATTGGAGGAAAATGAATGCGGGTAAGCAGTAAATTCCTTTTTCTTTGAGCTAACAGGCTGGGGCGGGGGATGGGGAAGACACTAGCTCAGGGCTGTTTCATATCTTTCTGGTGCTCCTGGTGTCCCAAGATAAAGGAATTATACCCTCTCCTTCTTATAGAGTTGCTTCCAACAATGACCATGACATTCTGTTTCACGGCTGGGTCTATCTTCCTTTTTCTTTGGCAGGGGTCGGGGGAGGGGAGGGCGTTGTTTCATTTTACCACAATCAAAATCTAGAAGTCTGCCGGTTAAGATGACCTTTAGTGGCAATATATATTTATGACTATTCTTCTGGATTTTATGGACCAAACAACTTTCAAAACCAAATCTAGATACTGATGTATGGTTACCAGCTCTATATTTTGCCACATAAGGCCATTAGAATCTCCCATATCCAATTGTCATCATTGAATGTTAGGTTGAATGCTAGCAAACTGTTGTTTTTGTAGCTCAAAAGCAGTTGAATATTGGCAGTTTCCTTTGATTCAATCTAATGTAATAAAGCATATTCTAACTTGAGAAATACAGGAAGGATATACCTTACAATAAAAGACTAGCTCTTAATACAAAGTTGTTTAATTTTATGAAACATGCGCTATACTTTCCTTAATTTTCTGATTTCATCATGGACCGTGACAACTTCATCCTGCCATGGTACTTGTTTTTGGTGAATCTTTTTTTGAAATTCTGGTCTAGTGAAACACACATGGGCGACCCTCTCAAGATCATTCTCATTTCTTATAACTCTTTTTTCCTAATCTGAGACAGGGTGCTGGCCTTCCCTTTGTCCAAAGCCACGTTTAAAGAGGAGTCAGGTTCTCTGAGATCCTCTGAGGCTGTTGTTGGGTGAATTCCTCACTTGCACCAAACTTAGGTATTTAAGGGACATGCCTGCCAGCACACAATTTATTTTTACACTCTCCCCATAAAGAACTTGATCACATTGACAAAAGGAGCCCCAGTCACCTCCTACGGTTCCTCAATGAACTATGCAGGAGTTCTACCAACCACAAGTTAAGCTGATTACCTTTAGAATCATCTTTTATCATCATCTTTGTGTATTTTGCACTACTTTTCTATCATCTCAGGCAACTCCCCCATCACCCTCTATTTTCTACCCAAGTGATCTTCATCTCTCCTACAAGCTAAATCCAGACAGATTGTATAACAAACTGGCGTTGGTTATTAAAAACATCTTTTTAGCTCTTGGCATAACAAGCAAAACCACTCCTGATGAAAAGAAAGCCTGTCCCATATGGTTCTCAAAAGAAGTACAATTTTTTGAATTTACTGTACATGTGAAAATAATAAACAATTTGCATTTCTTTCTTTTTCTAGTAATTCAGACTCTAACCTGAGGGTCTTTAAAGAATGGATTTAGTAATTTCTACATTGTACCACTTTCTGAAATATTACTGATTTTCAATGAAGTAACTAAGCCCTAGCCAAATGTTTTAGTTTATTTCTTTCTCTCTCTCTCTTTTTGTCAATCTGTAAATGCGTCAGAAAAACGTTTACTGTAATGTTAGACTGTGCATGTGTTGGCATTAAAAGTGTGGTTTTGTCCTTACAGGGAATCAAATAGAAGCAAAATTATAGTTAATTCTTGGTTTCTGTGGTAATGGGGAACAGACTGAGTTTGTACCAATAACACTTGAAAAATTTATTTTAGAAATTAGGTTGAACTTTGTCCTTCACTAAACTTTTGCCAGAAAATCCACATGCAGTCAAGTTGTTCTTCTTTCTCTTCTTCCTGGCTCTGCCCCAAGCTGGGGTAGGGAAATGGCCAGCAGGAAAGAAGGGTGGAATCAAAAGACCTATGCCCAAATGTCGTGGTCCTGAGGTGGTTCTCAGCATGTTGACTAGAGTTATTTGTGGGAAAAGGAAACTACTCTGTAATAAACCAGGATGATAGCTTCCTACTCTTTCAGTAGGTGTCTTGCCTTTCCTTGTGGTTTAAGAGAGATCCCCCAAAACTCCTGTTATCTCCTTTCTAAATTCAGTTTCTAGTTAGCAATTGAAAGAAAGCAGTAGAAGGACTTTAGAGAACTCTGAGGCCTCTTTAAAGATATTCTTTCAAAAAATGATTTGAAGTATAGCTGAGTGGGAAAGATGCCACCACAGAGCCATCTACTTCTAGCCAGTAGCCTGCAAGAGAAAGGGCTTATTCAATGTAGTTTAGTCTCTAACCTTTTGGGGGGAAGGTAAGCTCTTTATGGTCTCACGGCTCCCCTGGGGGTTTTCTATAGACCCGAAGGGGCGGGGCTACGCTTATTCTGGATCAGTAATGTGTCCTATTGCAAACAACTCACATGCTGACAGAGACACAAGTGCACTGCAGTCATGGTCTCCAGATGTGATGCTCCAATGGTGTAAGCCACTAATTTGTCCTGGAGCTATTACTCTTATCTGTTGAAGAAAACTTAGAAAATGACTTTCAGTTAAAAAAGAATTGCTGGAAAACTCTAACTCTTTGCTACTAATAGAAGTAATCCTGGCACAATTCTTCAAAAGCTTTGGAATATATATATATGCCTCCAAATATATATATATCTCCCCTATAATATAATAATATATATGGGATTATAGTAGGGTTGGGAGAAACCCTAATTAGCTACATTAGAGGAACTCAAAATACAGAATGAAATGATGGTTTTAAATAAGGCTAGATATCATAATTAGTCCCAGATGGTTCCTTTGTAGTCAGGAGAGTTTTACCAAACAGCCACATTTGTTTTTTTTGAATGTCAAAATAGAAAACGAATTAGGCTCCTGCACTGTTTCTTAATACAGCTTCTCTGGGGCTTTGCTTTGTAGGCCTTGTGACATGCCCATTGAGACAAAAAGATTGTGTTCTCCATGATACACTCTTCACAAGGCAGCAGATGTTCTCAGAAACAATGTCTATGTCCTTGGAACCAAGAGTTTCTCTTTCCTCCTGGCTTTCTGCATTTGCTTTTGGTTATGGAGAACATTTTCTCTTTCTCTGGTTCATCTGTTTAGGATGCTCACTGCCCTTGGGCAGCGGGTCTCGTAGGTCTCAGGGTATCATCTCCACTTGTGAGAAAGCAAACTCATCACCAGACAGGGAGCTCTGACTCCCATGGAAAACAGCCAGGCAGATCAGAGACAGGCATCTTCAAGTAAATCCTGTTTGCCATGGAAAACAGGGAAAATCAGACCAAAGAAAACCCACAGCTGATTGCCAAAGAGGGTGTTGTCTTCAGTTTTTTCCAAGAGACATCAGTTGTTCCTTAATATTTCCAATAGAAAACTTGACAGAAAAAATAATTTGTTTCCAGTTCTATCCTACTAACAAGTTTTGCCCATTATGTTACCTAATTGCTTGCAGTCATCAGTAGGGAAAATGTAGACACACCCATTTTTTTTTTTTTTTTAATAAATGACTCTCCCAAATCTGCATTTATTTGTTGGGATCCAGAGTTCCTTTTTAAAATCTTCAAAATATTTCCATTTTAAGTAGATGGATTAACACACACAATCTGTTTCTTCCTCACTCAAAGAAAACTAGTGATTCATTGCTTTTCCATGAGCTAGTACTTGATTTAGAACAGGATGAAGCCAGCCTTATCTCCCATCATGTGGATGTTTAATTTCTCAAAGTCCATGTGACAGTTACCATGAGTAGAATAGGCATTTTGTATCTAGTCAGATTCGTTTGTATTTAGAGTGAAAGATATATGTTTATTATTTAATATTTTGGTGAATAAACAATGCTTTTTCTTCTCTCTAGATCAACATATTTATTTTGTATATTCTTTTATTTTCAATGAGTAATATAATAAAATATAACCCATTTTATAATAAATGTTCTCCATAGCTGACCAGTGAATCACAATAAAACTAAGTTTTCCCGTGGAACAAAAATTACTCATTACATGTAACTACCAAATTTTTAGAAGAAAATGGGCTTTGCCCAGATCATGTGGAACATGCCAGCCCTTTGTTTTGTATGGAATTTCTGGTGGAATAAGTGAAAATATCTTTCCCCTTTTGAAATATCTGGATAATTGCTAAAATTCCCCTCTTTTTTCTTTAGTGAACATGAAGTCAAAACCTGGATTTTGAAATAGAGATATATATTTCACTTACAGATATAAAAATGCCCAATTTCTGTTTTTAATCACCTCATAATTCTTATTTTTCCTATAGGACATCTTTGCTTTTATAACAAATTTAAAGAAATGAACAGTACATAAACATTGACCAACTCACAATTTTTTATAAGCTTAACGTCCTCTTATTAATGTCAAGGTGATATCAATTATGTTGTCAGGAATTATCAAATGCCTGTGTAGCATAATAGCATCTAAATATTAGTGCACATATTAAATTAATTATGTATTGTATTAATATTCATACATTTGGTTAACATATCATGCATACTCTTGACTTCAGGCTTTGTGCCTATAAATTCATGCAGATTCCCATAGCTCTGTTGTTATATATTTTTTTAATAACTTCTTGCTGGAGCTGATTTCACAATCTCAGCATTTTTGGGGGCTTAGGAACACTAAAAATTTGATATTAGAAGTGTGAGAAAATAGACAAACCATTTAAATTAGTTTTATGGTATCTAAGACTTCAAATGCTGTGAGACAAAGCAAGCATGCAGTGTCTGTTATTAATGCTATAGAGCATTTGTCATCCTTAAAACAGACATCTGGAAGAAGTGCTGTTAAATTAATTTATTTACTCATTTATTTGTCATGTATTTAACAAATGCACCTTGAGCACCTACTATGTGCCAGATACTCTGGTAGGTGCTGAGACACGTTGGTGAGGAAATTCAAATGCAGGTCTTGCCTCAGGGTCTGGTGGGATAATCACTCACTCTTATTGAACATCACATCTCCAATTGCCTTGGAATTCTGACATTCCATGAATCTATGAGCCATTCAGTTGTATTACAGCATCGTAATCCTGGTTTACAACTTGTCAATTAGGCAGTTTGCCTACATATTTTCCTGCCTTCGGATGCCAACTGAGCTCTAAGGTTATCTCCCGCTTCTTAAAGGCTCTCCCTCTGGTTTTCTGATTTGATTTATTTATCTGTGACTTCTAAGACACTGGAGTAGGCCATGCACTGATGCCAGTATTGAGTGCCAGGAATTATGGTAAACTGCTTCTGGAGATGTTTAGGGTATGTTTCAGGAGGTCGGTGACTTTCGTTGCACCTAAGAATCTTGTCTTTCATTAGTGGATAAGATAGTAAACATAACCAACCGACATGGTAGTTAGGGTCATGCTGACTGCAAGTTTGCCTCACCTTTTGTAAGTAAGCACAGAGCCATGGATGAGTTATGCTGAGGAACTGGGTTGCAGGAACTTCTATTTACCCACAAGATAGTTTAAAACATTCAAACTGAAGTTACAATCCCCATGCTCTCTTCCTCAACGAACAGACATTCTTCTAGTGGAGACGCCAACCTGATTCCATCCAAAGCCAGTCTCATTCCTAGAATAGCTAACAACCACAGCTAAATATTTCCCAAGTAAACCCAGCTAAGAATAGTTCCTTATTTCGAGAGCTCTGACACAAGAAACTCAACACCCTGTTGGAGTCAGATAAGCTGAACTTTTTTCAAGAGCTTTGTCAAAGTGAGACTGAGGAGGATGGAGCCTGAGAAAAATCCAGACTGAGCCTTGTTAGACTTTCCACATCACCTATAAGGTGGTATCGAGTGAGGCTGCATTAGACTCAAAGTGCCTTTAGGCATGACTAGATGCTGAACTGACTGTCAGTGCCTTGGGCACCAAAAAGATTGACATTAACTCTGACCAACACTCACATTAAACATTCATTCTTAATATTTTGCAGTTCTTAAATGTTAGTACTGTCTGACATCTCTCCCACTTGTTCTACTAAAAGTTGCTGGAAAGCCGAAGCTCTGTTTTGCTTCTTTAAGCCAGAAAGACATGTTTATTTCTTAAGAGGTTCAATTTATGAGGGCTTATTATTAGTCCCAAAATATATTACTGGTTTGCCATTGATATGGTACTGGATCTCCTTTTCTTTCTTTTTTCTTTTTTTTTGAGACAGCGTCTTGCTCTGTTGCCCAGGCTGGAGTGCAGTGGCAGGATCTCGGCTCACTGGAACCTCCGTCTCCCGCATTCAAGTGATTCTCCTGCCTCAGCCTCTCAAGTAGCTGGGATTATAGGCATGATCCACCATGCCCAGCTGATTTTTGTATTTTTAGTAGAGACGAGGTTTCCCTGTGTTGGCCAGGCTGGTCTTAAACTCCTGACCTCAGGTGATCCGTCCGTCTCAGCCCCCTAAATTGCTGGGATTACAGGCGTGAGCCACCGCACCCGGCCTAGAACCCCTTTCTTAAGGACCCTGAGTGGGCAAGTATAAAAATCATCCCATTCTTATTAATGAGAAATAGAAGCTTAGATGAGTACTGACTCATGGTTCATATTTAGCAAATGACAGATCTGGGACAAGACCCCAGGTCTTTGGATTTCCTTTTGTCATGTTCCCATGACTCATGCCATGCCCACGTGCCTAAATGTCCAAGGCCTGCTCACCCCAGCTATTCTTATTCGTGTGTCTGTTTTAGATTGGCAAGGAAAAAAAGCTTTCTAACTTTTCTAGGAATGGGTCTCAACCCACAGCATAATATTTGAGGCAAATATCCTAATTTTCCCCAGTACCAAAAAAGATCATTTTTATATTTCTTATACAAGTCTCCATATCCATAAGCATGTCACAGTATTCTTTGACTAAGGCACTGACTCTATTGTTTCAGCATGGCTGCATTTGTTTAACATAAATGGTTTGCATTTAGACTGCCTTGCGCTTTCTTCTCCGGCCTAAAGTATTTCTTCCAAGCTAGAATGCTTTTTCTTCTTTGGCATCCATTAAAAATCATTGGCAACATGGCCACGTTCCAGAAACACTTCTGTAATGCCAACCACAGGAATTGATGTCTAAAAATAAGAATTGAAAAATAGGTTTAAGTTAATGCCCAGAAAGAAATATTGCCATGTGTCTTTACTGAAATTTGGTAAAATCCATACTAGAGAAAAGTGTGAAATACATGAAACCCTTATTGCTGCTTCCTGTAAAAACCTTGGCAGAGTAGTTAGTGAGAGCTCATCCTTTTTCATCTGTCTCTCTCCTATTAGCCACTTTTCATTCTTGACTTAAGGTTGTGTAAGTTCAGGAGAGATTCTTACTCTGTCTGGAACCCATAGCTGAGCAGGCTTCCTGGGAAGAAGCTGGGCTCCTCACTAACTAATGATGTCCCAGCTCTTGAAGTTTCTGTTTTCATTTGGCCATCATTTGTTGCTTCCTTTATGGAAATGATTAAACTCAGCAAATGATGAAACATGAAATCAAATAGTGTGGGCAGTTTAAAACTGGTTTGAAATACAGTGTGGAAACTAAAAAAAAAAATTAATATTAACTATCTGGGATCTACCTACTCCTTCCATCTAAAATTCCATTTCAGTTCATTCCATGAGAATAATTATACCCTGAAATAAACCATTCTTATTTGTCTTTTATAAGTCTTTACTCAGCTTTCCCCTATATTTTTCATCTTACTTCTGATTTTCAAACACACAGTCCAGTGATAAAGCCCTATACGCAGTCCAATCACTTATAACTCATGAAATGCATCATATGTTGCCAGTCCTTTATTTCTTCCTCTTTCCCTCCCTCCCTTCCTTTCCTTTTTCCTTTCCTTTGTGCACACAAACTATAAGAAATTCATAGGGCAGGCTGCTAGGAATTAGCAATAATTACAATGACTTTTTCTAGAAGATGTAAAAATAAAAATCAGGCTGGACCCAAAGATGAGACAATAGACACATTTAATTTGTAATAATGACTGACTTTTCTTTCTTATTGCATTTTCAAAGCTTTTTATGTGGTTGGAGAAGTGTCATGGACAGTCAGTCCAGAGAATAATAGGACAATTTCAAAGCTATTCTTCCTCCTCAATAGTCTATAAACCTCACGGCACTGAATTTCACAACCTAGCCCAGATTTACATTTAGATGAACAGATTCAGTAACTCCTCCGGGTTTGGGATGTGTCAGCCTTATTGGTACTTACTAAAAGGAACTTTAGTTTCTTTACTTTCTAATGTCATGACTGTGTTGTCTACTGTGGATTACTGTTGATTTATACAAACATAAAACTTATTTTGCTACAGTATAATTTTGCTCTGAGTCTTTTGGACTCATATTTTTGGTAGACCTTCTCTTGTGTGCACAAATTATGATGTCACAAAGTTATGGATTTTAAATGTTGATGGTAGCTCTTAGGATGTATTGGTATTCTTTCTTTCTTTTTTTTTTTTTGAGACAGAGTCTCACTCTGTCACTCAGGCTGGAGTGCAGTGATGTGATCTCAGCTCACTGCAACTTCCACCTCCTGGGCTCAAACTATTCTCCCACCTCAGTCTCCTGAGTAACTGGGACTACAGGCATGCGTCACCACACCTGGCTAATTTTTGTATTTTTAGTAGAGACAGGGTTTTGCCATGTTGGCTAGGCTGGTCTTGAACTCCTGGGCTCAAGTGATCCATCTACGTTGGCTTCCCAAAGTGCTGAGATTACAGGGGTGAGCCACTGTGCCTGGCCTTTTTTCAATAAGACAGTCTTAGCTTTTGTCCTAGGCGGAGACTAGACAAATCAGCTTTCAAAATGTTGAGTTTCTCTCACCAATGACATCATGCTAGGACCCATTGGATCAAAAGGAGGATTAACAAGTCTATATGGTTCATAGCCTCTTATTTTATTTTTAAAATATTTTTTACCCTATTAGACACTTATTATTTCATTTTTCAAAATGGACAAAGGCTTATATAATCTTGCCAATATGCTAAAAATAATTGTCTTTAAGATAATGAGCCAGGCATGGTGCCTCATGCCTGTAATACCAGCACTTTGGGAGGTTGAGTTGGGAGGATTGCTTGAGCATAGGAGTTAGAGACCAGCCTGGGCATCATAGTGAGACCCCATTTCTACAAATAATTTTTTAAAAAAATTAGTCAGGTCTGGTGGTGCATGCCTGGAGTCCCATATACTTGAGAGGCTGAGGTGAGAGGATTGCTCGAGCCTGGGAGGTCGAGGCTGCAGTGAGCCATGATCGTACCACTGCATTCTAGCCTGAGTGACAGAGTGAGACCCTGTCTCAAAAAAAAAAAAAAAAATCCTCCTGTATATTCTGCAAGTTTGCTCAATTCCCATGAGCTTTTCCCGTTCTTGATCATGTCATGAAAAAGATGATTTTTGCGAATCTTTCTATCTCCATGAAAATCTGTATATGTCTGCCATATGGTTTCTTATAAGCCCAGGCAAACCTCTGTAGAGCCAAGCCCTGCAAGCCTGTCTGGTTCACATGCCTCGATATGACCTTGCAGGCTCTGTTCCTTCCTTTGCTGTTGTCAGCACTTTCCCAGGGGCTGGGGAAGGTTTTGAAGCCTCTGAATGTGAAATCCTTGAAGATAATTCCAGGGTAGGAGATTATGTTGCCAAACATTTCCCAGCAGATGCAGAGCTGGGTGGTGTCCTGCAGATTTCCAAGGTGTTGTTATCGGGGCTTTCTTGAGGAGCAGCAAATCCAACTGTGGCAAAGACAAGGCACAGTTGTTTTTCCAGGGAAATCTGTCCAGCTTCCTGTGGCATGCCTGACTGTCTGGGGTCACCATGGCTACATGTGTGCTCTGGGGAGTGGAGCGCTTATGCCAGTCACAACAAGCAGTATCTGTCATGAAGGAAACACACAGAGGCCAGTTTTGATGGCTTCTTGTCTTCACTGACCATCAACATGTTTAGAATGGTTTATAAAAATTTAAAAATTAGCCAGGTGCATTGGTGCATACGTGTAGTCCCAACTACGCAGAAGGCTGAGGTGGGAGGATTCCTTGAGCCGAGGAATTCAAGGCTGCAGTGAGCTATGATCACGCCACTGCACTCCAGCCTGGGTGACAAAGTAAGACTCCATTTCTAAAAAATGAAAACAAATTTTTTAAAAAGAGAAAGGTGTATAAACCAAGAACTTAGTCTTTCAAATGAAAGTACAACACCTGTGAGTTGCTTCTAGGTTCTGAGTACTTAAAGATGATTTAGTATTTTATTATATTTGCCTGAGCCATTTTAGATCTCAAATTGGATATATTTTGAGGTCTCAGTTTATTCAGTCCAGTGCATTTGGTATTGTAGCCAGAGGCTTAGATCCCAGTCCTGGGAGAAGGTAGGAGGATGGGGAGGACCAGGGGAAGGAGCCTGAGGAGTCAGTGCTTTCGTGTTCCTCCTGCCCACTCTGAGGTCCCCTTACGAAGGAGCCTGGACAAGGGCCTGGGAGACGGCATACAATTGGACCTCATGGGTGATCTGTTGCATTGTTTGCACTCATTTGGTGAACTGAGCATGTGACTTGTCAGGAATATTTTTCTTCAGTGTTGTAGCATGTGCCCAGTAAGGGAAATTTAATCCATATGTGTCAAAGATTCACTTACACTGAAATCATTAAAGCACTGTTCTGAGTTTTTTGATGTCTAACAAGTCTTTTGGCTTTTTCCAAGCAGTTCTAAGTCCTTTGCCAAGAGCAAGCCTAATCCCGAGCACCAGAAAATTCAGACTTTCTCCCTGAGTTGAAAACCCTTTCCTCTATCTCAGGGAAAAATTCCTCAGCAATTCAGCATTTACCTGCCCCCATTTCTGAGTGCCTCAGAGGAGCAGAGCTCTGGAGGGGGAAAACACGATACGGCCTGATTTACACATCTGGCCCCGATCTGGGTCTGTTTTCGAACTTGGCAGGAGGGACAGGATGCATTTGACTTTCATCTACCTCTGCTTCACTGGAGATGTTGTGGGGCATGAACACCAGGCGTTTCTGAGTTCATGTGGTCGATGGACATGGAATGGAAGAAGCCTCTTTTCCCTGAAAGGACTTAGGACAAAATAGTAAAGAGCATCAATGCGCAGAGAAGAAGTATGGCATTTCTCTTCTTTCCAAGACAAGAGCTACTCAGTCCCTGTTGGAGCTGCATCTTACCAACAGCCTTTCATCCCCCACCTCACTAGTAACTGCAGTTGCCTCGATTAGGGTTAGGGCTGGTTCTAGGGTACTGCGGTGATGCAGTGAAGGCTGCCTCTGGAGGGAACCTCTTTCAGTATCTCCCCTTGTTCTTCTTATTTTTTGGCACATTTTCTGTACTCCTACCCTTAGTAATCTTTTCTCAGAAACTGTCCCAGGTCCTTCCTGTCATTGAGGAAAACAGGAGATAAATAAAGTCCTATGAAGTTGTTCCTGAGAACATGCTGCTTCCCCAGGACTGGTGACCATTGGATTATGTCTTTTTCATTTCTATGTCATTTCTGGTACAGTGCCTGGCCTACAATTGGTGCTCAAGTAATGTTTGCTGAATAAATACGGTATCTCTGTACACAGGAGAGTCATGCGACCTCCAAAAGGCTGAGCCCTTGATGGTGAAATTTCAGCTGCAGACCTACTCTCAACAAACATCCTGGTCTTTCTGTATTTCTTCTAGTGGTTTCATCCATTCAAACCCAGAATGCACATCAGAGCGTACATAACTAAATGGCAGCCCACGGGACAATGCTTTTGAGTGGAAGTTTTTCTAATACTCTCCAATCACCACAGAGAAGTCAAAGGTGATCCACCGCTCAGGACAGAAGGGGGCTGACCCTTCTCTGCTGCTTGGCTCAGGCTTGTGTTGAGACAATGCACGAGGCCATCTCTTGCTTCCTGCAAGATTCTAGTTTCTTCTTTCTGTTGAAGTTCTTTCTTCTGTAATGTGAAGGCTAGACTAGTACAGTTGTTCTATGCATTTCATCTTATATATACTTTTTCTGAGGCTATTCAGACTTTAGAAAGGATCAGGTTTCCAGTTATTTGGAAGAGGGACACAGCCAGATAATTTCTGGGTCTCCTTGCTGGTCTCCCAGCTGCAGTTTTGAGAACTCATGAGAGCCAAATTGGTCTGTTTTATGTGGTAATTACTGGTAGCCTCCAACAGTTAGAAGGAAGTGATAACTGGATCTCTCTTTCTTCACACCCTAGTTTCCAGGTGTTACGTACCAGTGAAAGTAAGTCTCAGGCAGAATTCTAGTATATAATTGGATGTTTATTAGTAAGCAATCATGCAGTCTGCTCCAGTAAACTTGATGAAGTCTTTGTCCTTTTAGGCACTTGGACTAGTACCCTGCATGAAAGTTCATTTCAAGGCAAACAGAACAATATTCTTGGAATGGGAGGAAAAAGCTTCGAGTTTGAACAGGTAACAAAGTCCATCACGAAGTGGTGGAAGGCTAGATGAGACCTAGGGTCTCACACTGAAGCTGAAAGTGGCGGAGATTTTTATACTGTGTTCGTGCAAAGGTTGAGGTGCCTGCATACAATTTTTCATCTGACCACATACCTGGAGCACTTCTTATTTTACCCATGAAAATTTATTTAACATCCTTTATGCTAAGCAATGTTCTGGTGCAGATTTGGAAAGCAATCTTTAAAGCTGCTTACAGCAGCCTTCTTTGGGATAATTCTAGGTTAGGACATTTTAAATGCTGATTGCCCTTTGGGAGTTGAGGTTAAGGTTCATAGAGACATATATAGCCCTGTTTACACAAAAATATTCTTAAAGATACCATAATACAGTATTGAGAACTGATAGTCTCTATGCTTCTATCAATAAAGATATGATTAGGGTCCTTCTATGTATACATAAAGGACTGAAATATCAAACTAAAAACCATTTGTAAGAAATTTGAAAGATGGTTTTGGATGGTTTTTTACCTTAGCGACAAGCAATACACAAAATTATCTCAAGCAGCTGCTGTTTATAATATGTTTATTTTAAATAAAAAAATTGAAATAATATTTTTAAAATAAAATGATTTATTGATGTAATCAGCTTATTATTTACTACATAGTTAACACAGGTATTTTTAAGAGTCTTAAAATATTTTTGAATCAGTTACTTTCATAGTTTTAAAAATTATGTAATGTGACACCTTTGTGAAGTGATGATGTATTTGTATAAGAAAATTCATTTTAGTCACAACAGGGGAATTACTCATTTAACTCAGTCAAGCACAACTCTTACATTTGTTAGCAATATAGTAATTGTATTCTCACTTAGAAGATGGTTTTATTGTCATTATATATTGAGATTTTAGATATAGAACTAATTGCTGTCATATCTTGCCAAAAATTGACACATTTCCAAGCAATCTGCATTATTTATTCATAATTTGAGCATTTTTTCTAATATAAAAAGGTCTCCCTTTTACCAGGCACACATAAATTCTGACCCCAAAGTACACTGATGTATGGATGTGATGGTTAAATATGGAGGCGGGACTACCGCTTCATTCATTCTATAATTCTCCCTAAGTGTCTACTATGTTCCAGGCACTATGCTGAGCACAGAATTGAATGTGTGGGCACAGCAATAAGCTGGCAGGTGTGTCTCCAGCCAGCCTCGTGGATCTACAAACATACCAAAGAGGAGGCGCACACTGGTGTAATGGGCCAGATGACAATCTTGTGTCTTCCCACTCTGAGTTCCACTGTGAGGTTTGGGGTTATTTTGTGAACTTTGTTTCCAGGGGGTGTGTGTGTGTGTGTGTGTGTGTGTGTGTGTGGTGCAGGGTTGTGGGGGGATGGGTAAAATATTACATCAATTAATTAATTCTGTATGTAAAATAGTATATACATATGATAACATACACAAAGATAGGTGAAACAATCTTCTACGTGCTGGGCATTACAGAAGTCTCCCTGGGGAATCACACCCAGTTTCTTTTTTTTTTTTTTTCTTTTTTTTGAGACGGAGTCTCGCTCTGTCCCCAGGCTGGAGTGCAGTGGCGCAATCTTGGCTCACTGCAAGCTCTGCCTCCAAGGTTCACGCCATTCTCCTTCCTCAGCCTCCTGAGTAGCTGGACTACAGGCGCCCGCCACCACGCCCGGCTAATTATTATTATTTTTTTTTGCACTTTTAGTAGAGACGGGGTTTCACCACGTTAGCCAGGATGGTCTTGATCTCCTGACCTCATGACCCGCCCGCCTCGGCCTCCCCAAGTACTGGGATTACAGGTGTGAGCCACCATGCCCAGCCCACACCCACTTTCAAAATTTTAATTGCTACTCAAATACAGATGTTTCCAAAGTATTAATATGGTTCTGATTTTCCCCTAGAGATTTGGACTTGCATATACAAATGGCAGCTGTCTCCACATGGCCATCCCTCAGGTACCTCAAATGCAAAGTGACCCAGGGAATCCCATCTGGCCCATTTAGACCTGTGTGCCTCACTCTCTTTTCAGTTGATGGTGCATCAGTGCTGAGGCAGAAACCTGGGAGCCATTCTGGACTTTCCCCGCTCTTTCAGATCCACAGCCAATCCAGTGTCAAGTCCTCCTGATTCTAGCTCCTTGATCCTTGCAGCCATTGCCTTCTCTTTATCTCTGTTATTTCTGCTGTAGTGTGAGCCCTCGTTGCAGATCACCCTGAGAATCAAAAGAACCCCCTGCGTGATCAGTTCCCTTCCATTTATCTGCCGCAAAGTCAAACTCCACACAACCCAGAGAATAACTTCCTAAAGTAACAATCCAACCAGGCCCTTCCTTGTTGATATTCCTTCAATGGCTTCATATCCATGATGGCATCACTTTTTCTACTGTGGGTAGGGACCCATCACTGGGTTATAAAGTCAGGTTAGTCCTCTGTGACCAGTTTTAAAGAAAAAATTTAGGATAAATTAGGATTGAATAGTATAAAAACAGATAATTTTTTTACTTTTTAATTTTTTTGTAGAGCTGGGGTCTCCCAAAGTTGCCAATGCTGGTCTCCAACTCCTGGCTTCAGGTGATCCTCCCACGTCAGCCTCCCAAAGGGTTGGGATTACAGGCATGAGCCACCATGCCCAGCCCAGATGATTCTTATAAGATGAGAGTAAGTAATGTTTGCAAAATTTTTGTTTCAGGTAGGTGTGTGTTACTGGGTAGCTACGAAAAATTTATTTTCTTTTTAAACTAGGAATCCTGATTTTATTTTAAAAAGCTATTGATGTAAACCTCAAAATTTCCTACAGAAATACACTTAGAGACTGAGGGGGATGAATGCAGTCCCCAGGGAACGTGGGACATCTTGTTTATAAGTGAAAACATTTTCCTCTTTTATCTTCACAGTTTTCTAAAATTTTATATTCTGCTCACTAATAAACCTACATTTACCTTATTATAAACAGAATTTTAAAAATTACTTATCTTTAAATATGTTTCTTCACCTAAGGCTTTGCAAACTCCTGCCACACCACCCGGGGTCCTCATTCCCTGGTCTCAAAGCTAGACCCAAGTGTTAATGGTCAAGCTGCTTAGTGCAGGTCACCCTGCTTTCTGGTGGCTGCCCCTGGCTACTCCACAAGGGTACTCCTTTACCTGATACTTTGGGTTGCAGAAATACTCTTTGCATCTCTTTCTATTCCTCCATGACTCTTACCTTCTTTCTTTTGTCCTTGCTCCAGTTCCTGGATAAAATGTCCAGCTTCCTTTCCTTCTCCAGGCTAACTCTTCTTCCTGTGTCAGAGCCCTGCTAAGGAGTCAGTTCCCCTACAGGAAACCTCACAACCCTTCATACTGCTGAGGGGGCCATATATTTGCACTACCCTGTACCAAGCTTGCATAGGCGAGATTATAGGGAACACAATTATATTTTAAAAGTTCTGGTTGCTGGTGACCTGGCCTCAGCCAGGCACAATTTGACATTTATTTCCTGGCATGCTACGGCAGTGGAATGTTATCTTGGGATATTGATTTGTGTTGTGCTTGTTGCATGTTCCATTTCCCCATTTAAGCAGGCGGCTGGCAAGACTTTGGAATCTTTACCTCAGGGATGATAATAGAAACTGCTCAAGTGGAATCTTCCTGCCTTTTGTCCAGTGACTGTGTCAATTGTCCTGGATGGGATGGAGAGGAAGGGGTGGGACAGTGGAGGGTACCTTTGTGGACAAGCAAGAAGAGAAAAGAGAGACTCCCCAAAGGGGACAAGGGTAATAAAGCTTGGTAAATTTGGGCAGGGCCCTGGGCCAGCAGAAGGACCTCAGAGATAGGACAGGGAGTGTTGAGGGGGCTGGGCCCTTTCACAAGGTCTCCAGCCTGGCCAGAGGCTCTTGATCCCCAAGAGAGGCCAGGAGATGGCAGAGCTGCTGGCCGTGATGGGATCCTGTGGGCCGGGACATCAGGTACTGCAGCAGAAATCAGATGGATGAAGAATGCCTTCCTGATGTCCCAGGGCTGTGTATGGCCCAGCCCTGGCAGGCAGGGAACCCCAGCAGGACTGTGACAGCATTTTCTGTGTACTGAAATTGGACTCAAATTGATTTAAAGAAAATAGAAAGGCTGGGCATGGTGGCTTATGCCTGTAATCCCAGCACTTTGGGAGGCCGAGGCAGGTGGATCACCTGAGGTCAGACATTCGAGACCAGCCTGGCCAACATGCGAAACCCTATCGCTACTAAAAGTACAAAAATCAACTGGGCGTGGTGCAGGCACCTGTAGTCCCAGCTACTCCGGAGGCTGAGGCAGGAGAATCACTTGAACTTGGGGGGCCGGAGGTTGCAGTGAGCTGAGATCATGCCACTGCACTCCAGCCTGGGTGAAAGAGTGAAATTTTGTCTCAAAAAAAAAAAAAAAAAAGAAAAGAAAAAGAAAAAGTGGTCCCTCTTACTTACCTAGCTTTGTGAGCTAATGTGGGCTACGATTCACATCTGTCATATTACTGATTTTGGCTTTATATTGAATATTTTGTTGTTGTTTTCGAATGGATAGCTGACATTTATATACATAGCATCTTATGTGCATAGACTCATTTAATTCCCACAATTCTTACAAGGCTGGACCTATTGTGATCTTTATTTTGCAAATGAGAGAATAATGATAGAAACAATCTGTCCTAATTTCCAGCTAATAAGTGGTGGAATCAGATTTAAACCCAGGCCGACTGGATGTGGAGTCCAGTTACTCCCCGCTCCCTCCTCCCACCTCCCTGTGCTGTGTTGCTGGTAGATGCTGCTTCTTTGAAGACCATGCCATGTGTTTCCATTTTCTTCATGGGGCTTAACTCAGTGAAGGGCATCAGAGGTGATCAGCAAACATGGGTTGATTCTCTGGTTGTTGACATAGGAATTTGCTTTCCTGTGGAAGGAGCCTGGCCTCTCTGCCCTGGATCTGCCGGACATTGTCTGGCTGAGAGCAGAGGGTGGTTAGAGCTGTGCTCTCTTCAGCGCTATGCTCCTTCTCCTCCACCTTTTCTGCTGCCCGCCCAGGCTTGGGAGGAACAGCTGGTCACCTTCAAGCTGTCTGTGTGTCCTCCCTATGGTTTTGGTCTTTCAGGCTCTGTGAAGGGTGACCGGGTCCTGGAACTCAGTGTGCCCCAGTCACGCTTTACAGTGTGACATGCTTTACAGTGCGACTCCCAAGAGTGGTTATGGGATGAGCCCCAGGGGACCCGCTGATGAACAGCAAAGACGTTGAGGGCTGGCTTGGTGACAGAGGGAACCCTCTAGACAAGTCCTGATTTTTGTTGGAAGACATTTAAAAGTCTCTTCCAGTGCAGAGAGACAAGGCCCCTGTGGGAGCCAAATTCCCTCTCAAACTCATGGTTTTGTTTCCAGGAGAAGAGGTCACTTTCAGCTTTTGTAACTTTAATTTGAAATTAAATGTGCCATTGGGACAGAAGCACTCTGTGCTGGGGCTGTCTTCATAACAAGGGTGACAGTGTGAACTCTCATGGCGCTCCACACCAGGGCCTAGCCAGGGCGACAGAGTTGTGATTCATGCCATCTGGGGCCTGCCGTGCTGTGAACTCCAGGAGGAAGCTGCGTGACTGAGAGCTTTTGTAGCTCAGGGGCTGGAGGATGAAATCTGAACCATTTCTGTTCCCTTGCCTTGTTCTCATCTGAGCCCAGGCAGTGGAAGGAGCTGAGGTCTGGGAAACAGTCGAGCAGGCTGTTTCTGGCAGGCTCGTGCTAGCTTCCCACAGGACCACGGGTCTCTTTCTGCTGTCCCTGTCAGGCTGACCCCAACCCACCCAGTGTCAGGAATGTCAGACCTCCTCTCAAATTGAAAGCAACTCCTCAAACATGAATAACCGCAGGCTGAATTGGCCTTTCCCGGAAGATTCGACCTTGGCAGTTTGGGGTTTTGAATTTGGTGGTTTCTGAAAAGCACACATGCAGCTGCAGAGGAGGGGGTGGGTCTATGGCTGCTCCATGCTGAGCATCCGATCCTGCTGCCCATGTGCTGTGGCCCGCTCCTGAGCCAAGAAGGAGAATTATTAATAGGCTGTGTCTCTCCAAGAGTTGCTGGAGAGAACTAGCCATGCACTATTCTTCTGGCCTTTGCTTTAAGTTTCATATATGTTGAATTGTACAAATCTACCTCCCCACCAAATGTCCTTAGAGGGCCAAAGATGGCCTTTGTTTCTTCATGATAACATCGCCTTTCTTTTTTTTTTTTTGAGACACGGTTTCATTCTGTCACCCAGGCTGGAGTGCAGTTGTGCATTCATGGCTCACCACAGCCTTGAACCCCCAGGCTCAGGTGATCCTCTCACCTCAGCCTCCCCAGTAGCTGGGACTACAGGGGCACACCATCAAGCCCCGGGTAATTTTTGAAATTTTTATAGAGACAGGATTTTACCATGTTTCCCAGGCTGGTCTTGAATTCCTGGGCTCTAGTGATTCCTCTGCCTTGGCCTCCCAAAGTGCTGGGATTACAGGCATGAGCCACCACACCCAGGTACTTGTTAAGCCTGAGAATAGAATTGCTGGCCCTCCTTCTATGTAAGCTCCCAGTCTGTCTGCAGAGGCCAGCCTTAAGGTTACTGTTTCTGCTGCTCAGATGGCCCCAAGCAGGGGGACTCCAGGTGTGATATTGGGTACATTGGTCATCCCTCTGCCTCCCACCTGGATGGAAACAGTCTGAGAGCCCTCTCTGTGGCTTGGTTTTAGGCAGGACCTTAGGACTTGTGGGTGAATTGATGGGGGAGATACACACTTACCTATGTCCTCTTTCCCAGCATGGGACTTGAATGCTGCTATTGGTGCACATTTCTGCAGACGTGTCTCTGGCTGTCAGGATGCAGAATGTTGGTAGGTCCAGTGTGGGGGCTGCCAAAGGCGGTGTCATGTGCTCTGTGGATTTTTGTGTGATTATAATGGTCCCATTTGAAGTTTTCCTGTTTGTTGCAGTAAAACCTCTCTTCAGTGTCTGTTACCTTTCTCTATATTCTTGGTGAAGGAGAGAGATAGTAATAAGGGGCCTAAATGAGGTAAGAAGAGCAGATGCTGTTCTCTGCTTCCTCCCTGCCACCAACATTCCTTCTGCCCTGTTTTTCCTGGCCAGCTGTGCTCTGGGCAGTCCAAGCCTGTGAACCAGCCACACCCAGGATCTGTGGTGGAGCTCAGTCCCAGACTGTTCTGGAAGAGTCGCCCAGAGGAGCCGTGTGGTCTCCCATTCAGCAACAGAGTACGGGATGGTCTCTCTGAAGGGCAGAGGGTCTGAGCACTGTCCCCTTCATGGCATCTAAGGCTGAAATGCTGAATGATGCAATGAGAGGATTCTAGGGGAGAAAAGGAGCTGTACATGGGCTTGATTCTTCCCTCCCCAGCTGGTGGACACAGCACCAGAGGTGGAGCTGGAGGGCCCTCCACTGACCCACATGCACTCCACTTTGCAGCTGTGCCCTGGGACACACTTATAATCTCAAAGTGTTATGAATTCCAACCACTGGATTCTACCCTACTTCTGACATAATCTTCTTGGGTTGATAGTAGCCTGTCTCATTACCGAGTATTTCTTCTTATGGGTAGCCCTGGTTAGTCATTTTCTTTTAACTTTTTGTTTAAAGAAGACCTGTAGATATGAGCTTTTTGTCAGAGATGATCTCTGCAGGCCTGAGTCTAAACTGTTAACCCTCTCTCAGAGAATGAGTGCTGGCTCTTGAATTTCAGGCGCTTTGACATTTACTGAGGGAAAGAAGGAGAATGGAAGGAGTGAGCATAAAGCGCTGACCTGAGTGGAATGGCGGGTCGACTTGCCAGAGCCCCGAGATGATTATACTCTCCCAGCTCTAGGACAAGCTGTCCAATTTCCCAAAAACCAATTTGACAATTGTCGAGTGACCAATTTGCTGAATTAGAAGAATTTACTAATTTACCAAATTGCTTATTTCTTTTATGCATTTCTAAAGACTTGAGCAATTGGCATGGGCTGGGTTGGCAGGGCCTGAAAGGGTTTGGAGCAATGAGTCAGAAGCAATGGTCTCTGGGAACAACCCTGTAGGTGGCGCCACTCTCTGGACTGAGAGGGGCACTGGGTGGATGGTGGAGAGTTAGGGGAGGCTTTGCTGCAGAGATCCGAGCCTTGCTGACTCTTCAGTTCTTGTTTTTAAAGCAATCCTTATTTTTGACCACCTTTTTTCCTTAAAAGTCAGTCAGCTCACCACTTTTGGATTCTTCCTTGACTTCCTGGCCGTACATACTTCCCATCCTCACGCTGCCTCACTTGTTTGGCTCTTCATCTCTCTCCTTCTCCTCCTTCACCCTGGAGCAACACCGGAGGCCTCTCATGTCCTCCCGTGGAGAAGTGGGAGAACAGCACAGCCCTTGCCTTACTATTTTGTTCTTACGACCCTCAGACCTTCAGGGGCTCACTTTCTCCCACAGCACTGTAGCCAAAGAAAGGTTTCTTTCCTAAGAGGGATTATGGTATCAGCTCTTCAAATACCATTAAATTTTTATTTTCTACACATAAACACATTCTTATGGTTTTGGAAAATGGAAGCAGTATAAAACCAAAATTTTTTGCAAACTCAGTGTGATAGCCTTCATATATTAGGCATTCAATGAATATTTTAGTGATTAACAAATGGGTGGTTTTTAATAATGAACCTCACCCTGTTATAACCAAATACTCGTGTCAGAGAAACTAGCTTGCTTTTATATCAAGATTATGGCCCTGGATTTTGATAATGCCACAGAAATATTGTCAAATGTTGTTCACTCGGCTCTGCTCTTTCCAAGTTGAGGTGAGCTAAGGGAGCCAACCAAAGTAAGGTTGGTTTCCTGCTCCTTTTCCCCCCCACTTAACCCTTTGCTTAAAAAGCTCTCCGAGGCCATAAACTACTAGGACACAACTCCCTATTAATTAGCCATTTATAACTATGTTTCTGTTGATTTTTTGGACCAATCATTAATTTGATAGGGTTATAGGAAGTCCTATGCTCCTGTAACTGAGAAGACACTGTCTAAGTGTGGGTCCAGATTGAGGAGGTCCTTTGGGGTCTGTTGCTTCTATCATTGGCCTGACCCACGCTGTCTCTCAAATTCAGACCTCTCAGAAAAAGGAAGAAAGGCTTCATCCGCAGTGGGCATTAAAAAAAATCATAAACATCTATTCATGGTCTTGGAATTGAATCTTAAGGCAAAGCAGGATCTCAGGTAAGATTGACAGATGATGAACTGGCAGCCCACACCCCATTCCTGTTGATATGTTCTACCTCTTTCTATTACTGGGGTGTGATTACTTCAAAGCCAGGAAGAGCTGCAATCTAATTTTAGAAGAATGCCCTTCTTTTACACGTTGGTGAGTATATATCTTAATATATGATGTATATATCTATATAATTTTAGTAGTTGTATAATAAAAATTGGGATAGGTAAACAAAAGAGAGCAGCTGAAAAGTCTACCTATAAAGGCTTCAGGCTAACATAGTTACTTATATTGCTTCTACCACAAATCTGTGGGGATGATTTTTATTTGTTGGGAAGGGTTGTCTCTGAATTTCCTGTAAAGTTTGGCATTTTAAATCTTTTTTTTGACTCTTCTCCTGTTAAATATATATCTTGGAAACTTGGCTGTTTCTGTTTCCTGAGCTTCACAGCGAACCAACAAACCAGCAGTAACTGTAATCCACCTCTTAAAATTTAATCCCTTGGGACAGTCCATCTCAATGGCAGAATAAGAAACACTCTCCTGGCAGAATAAGGGTGAAGATAAGCCTATTCCTGTACTTATCTGGGAGCACATGTAGGTATGAGTAACAAGACCAAGAGCTGCCAAGGGTGAAGGAAGATGTAGGAGCCCATGGATTGCATGAGGGAAATATGGATCCTGTGAAGGGCAAGTTGGTTTCTTTGTGTGGACGACCCAGATAAAGCAATGAAAATGGATAATAAGGACAGTAAGGACAAGTGCCTTCCAAGGCATTAAGGCAAATGAGATTGTAGCATGGATACAGAAGAGAAAGGAGAGAGAGAAAAAGTAGATGGAAAAGTAAATGACTCAAACCTTCCATTACTGAAAGTTCCAAATGTTTCTTTAATGGCAATCACCAGATTGTAGGCCTTCATTTTTCACCGGTCAGCATTCCCTCATCTTTCTGTTCATAACAAATGTGAGTTCCTCTTCTGACCACTAGAGGTCTCTAGAGAATCACGGATCAACATCTGAAGCCTCATACCCTCTTGCTATCAGCCACTCTAGGAGGTGGAAATGTTTATTTTTCCAACATGAATAGTCAGTCACATAGTCACAAGAGATCCAAGGCCTGAATCTTAAATTTCTAAAAATTAAAAAATGCATATAGCTGCTTCAGTGGGTAGCTGCCTACTCAACTTCAAGCTGGCACTGACCATCATCCCTCAAATATGTCCCTTGCTATTTTGATGGTAGAAATTCTGCTATTACACAGAATAACAGCACTGCTTCTACTAAAAAGGCAAATGCTGTGGAAGCCTAATTTATACAATCATAATGAGTTATTTATACGATAGTATGAGTGACTCCGTTGGGCCTTTGCCATTGTGATTACGAAGGATGACAGATCAGGGTTGGTGGGGAGATGAGGAGGGCAATGAAAGAGGAGGTGAAGACAAACTTCATCTACTTCACACCATTGCAGAGGTCTGACCCCAGGTCCTCTTCCAACTTCCTGCCCCTCAGTAAGTGCTGTGGGTGTGTAACCCAACTCTGGGGTCAAGTGAACAAACTGCCCTCAACTTCCTTAAGGCTTCCTGTTCAAGACGATGACTTCCAGACTTTACTGGGACACTGATATTATCACCTCTGGAGTCCTTGATGTGACTCTCTTCCTGGTCATATGGACTGTAGCTATTTTGGGCGTGTCCAACATGTTTGATAGTGCCGGTGATGACAAGTGTACATTTCAACATTCCATTATTTAGAACACGCATGTAATTATTTGTAATGAATCACTGATGACATCTGGAGAACAATGAAGTCCTCTTTTAATGTTTGGATGATTAGCTATCGGAAATTTTTACTTTGATGGTCTTTCATTTTTATCTCAAGGATTTTGGATATTAGTTCCTGTTGCACTCTGATGTACATTAATTTTTCCTACATTTATCTGTCCATCAAACATTTATTGAGAGTCTATTAATTTCCTCTTACACTGAAGGCTCTATAAATATGAGGATGAATAGGAAGAATAGGGCAGGGTTCTCAAGAAGTTCGTCAGTTGATAGAAGGGCCAGATATGTTGAGGCAGTTACGAAGTGCATGATAAATAGAGAAGTACGAAGTGCATGATAAATAGAGAAGTACGAAGTGCATTGGGACTAGGAAAAAAATAAAGAAATACTTCTAGAAAAATAAAGTCCATTTTCTCAGCTTGTTTGAAAGCCATCATCTGTTGTTGTTATTATTTTTCATCAGGGGACAGTAGTCTGATAATTCACCTTGATGCCTTTGGTATATTTTTTAATTGCTTTTAGCTCTTTTAAAAGGTGCTTACCACAGGGTTGAAGGGTAGAGTATATGTAAGGCAATGTGGCTAGAGCCTACTGGTATAACCCATTCCAAAGGAGTGACCTCTTATCTGGTCAAAGGAAGACCAGTGGCCAGTAGGGTTGCCTGTGTTTTCACAGTGGATATCCTGGAGCTCCTGAAGTTGGTACTACTGGAACACAGAACATTCCCTACTGAAGAGAATGTTATAAAGTGCATATGTTCTTTCTTTCTGCAATTTTCAAGGATTGTGCACATCTCTCAGTAACCTAGCCTTCTTTTGAAGCCTTGCTTACAAGACAGAAAATTAGGTGAGTGGCTGAGATTTAGAAGTGCGTATCTACCAAGGGGGAGAGAATAAACTGTCTTTTGAGCAGAGAGGTGGCGCGAAAGCTCACCAACTTCCTGGGTCCAGTATTCTCAGGAGGCCATCTCTTCTGCTGAGGATGGCTTCCTGCAATGGGCTGTGGGTTTGTTTTATCTCTGACCCAAAATAGCATTTGTATTCAGTTCTCTCAATGGAGAGAGTGGAGAGAGCAAATTTCATTTCTTCATTATGCAAAAAGACACATGTATTTATAATGAACAACTCCATTTGGCTTTTTACTTTTAGGTGGGCATAGACTTCAATTGATGCCAGATCCTCCTTTTTCCTTGGAGAATCATGCTTGTACTTTCTTAAATTACATTTATCTACCCTTCTGCATTTTCTTTACTCTGATATTCTTTTTGGAAACTTTTTTTTTTTTCAAACCTCCAAACCACAAAGTGAAACAACAGGGAACATGTTCTTACAACTGGGAAGTCAACATGACAGACATGTTTGGATGTCTGTTATATAGCTTGCTGTAGACCCATCTATTAATAAATAACTGAACGTGGCCGGGCGCGGTGGCTCACGCCTGTAATCCCAGCACTTTGGGAGGCTGAGTCGGGTGGATCATGAGGTCAAGAGATCGAGACCCTTCTGGACAACATGGTGAAACCCCGTCTCTACTAAAAATACAAAAATTAGCTGGGCATGGTGGTGCGTGCCTGGTTCAAGAGATTCTTGAACCAGGGAGTTGGAGGTTGCAGTGAGCTGAGATCGTGCCACTGCACTCCAGTCTGGTGACAGAGCGAGAGACTGTCTCAAAAAAAAAAAAAAAAATTGAACGTATATGAAGACTATAAGTAGGAAACTTACCCACCAAGAATTAAAAAAGAATGAAAAGGCTTTCTGAATCCAAGCTTTAACTTATTTTCAAAGCACTAATGTAGGCCAGTGGACATTTGTCACATGCAAGATGTATTAGGCATTGTGAGACCAGATTATGGAGAATGTGGGAAGCTAAGACTGACAGTTGCCAGGTTAGCATCTTCATGTTCCCTGAACAGAGGAAGAGATGTTGAGGTTGTCATGACATCACTCACAGAAGGCTCTTGCATCACTTTCCTCGTCTCCCTTTCATTACTAGTAAGACTTAGAATCCCAGAGGCCTTTGGTTTGCTTTTCTGCTTCTATGCTTCAGGGGACCTGGTACCGTGTAGTCATTAAATGAATGCCCAATAAGGCCCAAAGCCTGGAATCATATTTGCATCCTGTTGACATATATTTACATAGGTTGCTATCATTATCTGTTTTTGATCACCCTAAAGGGGCTTTGGAAACACAAGTATTATACATCATAATTTTTGAGGAACAATATCTTTCTTTGATGGCTTTGAATTTGGAGGTCTTAGAACCAACTTGTTATGGGTGAAAATTGCAAAACCTAGGTGTGGGGTTGGGGGGAAGTTGGAGAACAGAACAATGCTATTGACAACTTGATATTCCAAGAGCAGAGAAAGCTATTTCAGGATATGTTTTCTCGTTTTGGACATCAAATGCCTATCCAAGTTCTGGAAAATGTGGCTCAAGGGTTGCATGGGTCCTGGGCAGCTCTTGATCTGAAGTCCCTCATCCTGGCCTTTGATCTCCCACTCCTTTACTGTTGCCAGGATGGAGGGTGATGGAGTTGAGTTCACATCAGCATTTGAAGTAATGCGGTCCTCATACTGTCTTCTGCTCGAGTTTACTCAGGTTCATTACAGGGGTGGGGTTAGAGGGCCATTTGTCTTGGGCCTCAGATTGAAGAAGGGCCTCAAAGCTGAACTTTAAAATCTTTCTCCAAAACATGGTGTGCATATGGTTATTAAAATTATTATTGGGACAAAAACATTTATTTGCTAAATATAAATGTATGAAAAATACCATAATTTTTGTAGCAGTATTTTAACACATTTTAAAAAATATATTAGAAGTGTCCAAATGTGGAATTGGCTCAGATGTCTCAGCTTCTGAGAAGCTCAGAATTTACCACCAAACAGCAGCCAACGTATGAGGTCCCTTGGGCTTTCGTCCCATGCCAAATGACCCAGCTGATAGAGCCTAAGAACAGATTAGATTCCCTACAGATCCTGATCTTTGAGTATGTACTTCAAAGTGGGGTTTTTAACATCAGTTTTTAAACTTTGCTCTGCATGCTTGTAGGACACTAGCATATTTTGACTTATAAGAATTAATATTTTACCCATTGAAAAAGTACCCCTACTGGGCCACATTTTTAACTATTTAAATTGGGAGAAAAAAGCTGAAATACCCAGAGTTCATGGAGAAAAAAGTGAAATAGGATCTGCCAATATCTGTCAGTACTCCATAGGAACAAAGCAGTGGAAATGAAACTCAGTGTTTGGGCTGTGCATGTGTGCGTGTGTGTATGTGTGTCTTTGTGCAGTTGGCAGATCAACCCTAAACAGGCCTCGTGTGGCTGAGGCTCATGCATTCACAAATCCAGGTGGTGGCCTCCATTTGCAAAAAAATTTCTTTGTTTTGCCATTCTCTGGGCAGAAAGTACTGCCAATAATATATGAGTAATATCTGGGGCTCATTTCCATTTGGATGTGGAGACTTAGGTCTCTAAAACTTTCCAAAAAAAATGTCCGATTGGGCCAGTAGGGAAAGCCATGATGCAACCTTAGTGGACTCATTTATGCTTTGATTGCCATTTCCTGTAGATATCCATGTTTATACATTACGAGGCATAATGTGCTTCATCTTATTATGTGCTATTATTTTAATTTTTCCAATGATAAAATAATGCATGCTTTTTTGTAGAAAATTTGGAGAAATGTATCCTATATAGAAGCTTAAAGGAAGTATGTATAATCTCAGCAAGCAGTGTTATCTCATGCTGACTTAATTCTAAAAGAAATTTTGGTAATTTTTGTTAATTCTTTGTTAATTCTATGCAAATCATTCCATTGAAAATAATAATGACAGAAACATCAGAGTTTTAGGTTTGATCATCAAAACCTGTTTACTGTGAACCTAAAATACAACAGGGACCTGTTGGGATGCATCTAAATTCCAAAGGTCATGTGGATACGTCCTCAAATCTTTTGTTTCTGTTTTAAAATGACAGTGATGGTAAATATTTATGGTTGACTGTGTATCATTGCCCTACATTTTTTATGTGAACCAACTATTTTAATAATTACAAGAATCTTAAAGGAAAGTGCCATTGGTAGAGTCCCATTTTACAGATGGAAAAATTGAGATGAAAAAGATTAAGTAACTTGGCCAAGGTTACAGGCAACTATGCAGTAGAGGTGAGTCAGCCCGTCTTCCAGAAACCCTGAGCATCTTCCCTTCTAAACTTGAAAGTGTTTAGTTTCTTCAACTAAGGGCATAACCGGGTCAGTCAGGATGTATTTGACCACATGAAAGGGCAGCAAAACACATCTCTTTGCTTTGATTTCTGTAGAAACATGTCCCCTGTGTTAAGTGGTGACAAGCCTCGTGGGGGTTTTGCTCAGGCGACAGGCTGGAAATGCATGTGTGGCAGGCGGGCTTGTGAGATCACATCCGAAGCTGGCTGGACTCAGTTCAGTCCTTTGGAGTGTTGATTCAGATGACGGGGGGAAGAGGCGAACCCCTCTTCTTTGGCTTAGAAGATTACGGATCTGTAACTTCAAAAGCTGTTTGCAATTTTATATTCACGTCTCGCTGCCAAGGTGCTTGTCTTATCTGCAGTCTGTTGGCTGGGGCCCTTGTGAGTAAGCTGGGCGGTTTCCTCCTGCATTTGGAAGGAAGTTGCAGGGTCAAAAAGGGGGGTGGGTGGTGGAGAGGTGAGTGTGGCTGAGAGGATGACACCAGCGGAAACAAGGGAAATAGTCTGGGAGGAGGGCCAGACGAGCAGGGTGTGTCAGAGTGAACTCAGGGAGAGGAGAGGAAAGGCCCTTTCCTAGTCTGTGCTGATCTGGGAGGACACACCATCTAAACAGGAAGAGCACAGAACAGAGATTCATCAGACAGACCTGCTTGGGGTTCTTGCTTGCTGGTTTTAAGGCTTTGTGACCTTGGTCAATTTACTAAACCTCTTTGGCCCACCTTCCCCTTCTGTACTGTTTGCTGTATGGTCTGTTTTTTGCTAAGCTCAGGTGGTAATGTTGCCCTCAATACTCCATGCCCAGCTTGTTACAGAAGGAAGAATGCTGGTCTAGGAGACAGGAGATCTGGGTGGATTTTCTGTCCTTACTCTTCATCAGCGATCTGACCCTGGGCAAGATTAAGAACTAATGTGACCCCCAGTTTCTTAATCTGTCAAGTGGGTATAATAATACATACCCTTTTAACTTCACAAGGTTTCTGGGATGCTCAAAGAAGATCAGGTGTTTGAAAAGATTTTGTAAACCTAAAAGGATTATACGTTGAGCTGTTCTAGATGCTGGGTGAAATGTGCGACTGAACACACAGTACTGGTGGACTGCTGGGTTCTCACTCAGGGATGGCAGAAAGGTTTCAATTTGTGAGCCAGCCACTCTCATTGACTGGGAGTGGCTGCCTGGACCTCCTGAGCTTTGGCTGCGTTCTGAGGGAAAGAGTGCTCATGTTGATTATTAATGTCTGTCATGGACAAAGGGGTAGGAGAAGTGGTTCTTGGATTGTGCGTTTGCTCTTTCTGTTCCCGCCTAGTGATTTCTAAATTCGGTTGCTCATTTAGATTCTCCTGGTTAAAATGCCCCATCAGGCAGATTTCCCATTTCATAGGCCTGGATGTGACCTGGGGTGAAGGCAAGGAATCTTCATTTTTTAAATAAAGCTTTCCTTGCTGGTTATTTTGATAGTTGTGCAGGTGTGGAGAGGTGGAGCAGGCATCGAGTCACATGGGAGCTCCAGGTGAGTCTCATGGAGCTCTGAGCATTGGAAGAATGGAGCACAGAAGAGTTAAGCAACTTTTCTAGACATGGTCGTAAGTTTGAAAAATGTAGATCAGGCCTGTGGTTTCTAGTAGGTTGCCTAACTCTTTCTTCATTAAACAAATGGGTTGTATTGTCTGTTATGATGATTCTCCCACTGGCTTCAGGCCTGATTATTTTTCCTTGTGGTTCAGACAGCTGCTCCAAAAGAGTCAGATGCTGAGATCCATTGTCCACCCTGGCTCCTGCTCTGAATTGACATCAGTTTGCAACTAGCAGTTTCATAAATCAAGAAAAAGAAGAAAGGTAAATTAATGACTGTGTTAACTAGAGGGGCTCTGAATTTCTGCTTTACATGTACTCATTTTGAATTTCACTTTTATTATAATGAACTTGCAAACACAGCATTGCAATAGTATATGCACCTCCCAAAGATGCTGGGAAATAGCTGATATTTCATCATTTGAGGACAGTTTGTGCCTGCAAGTGGCAGAGGTGCAGGAGGAGACAAATAAAAGGGATGCCTACATCCTATTTCCATGAATTTCTGTCCTCTGAGCTGAAAGACAATTTACAAGTTGGCTGATAAGACCTTGAAGAAAGAAGATATTTTAAAACTTTAATTGAAAATCCCCATTCCTTCTCATTGAAGAAGCAAAAGAAGAAACTATAATGATGGACACTCTGGTGCTAGTATCAGTCATTTTGATCACAAGACGTGGACCAGCCCACCTTGGAGCTCACTGTGGTGGTGGCCTGGTCCTAATGCAAGTCCTAATGGAGCTCTTGGAACTGGCTGTAGCCTTTGCTGAGCAGGAGCAACTATGTCTCTGGTTCTTAAGGATTGAAAAGGTAAGGTTGCAGTTCTGGATGCTGGCATTACTTCAGGGCAACACACACACACACATACACACACACACACACACTCAGTACTGTAAGTCATCCTTTCTCTCGTAGGGGAAGATGTGTACTTTTTTTTTTTTTTTTCTTGAGATGAAGCCAAACTGAAGAAAAACGAACAGAAAAAAGAATCACAGGCCCACAGCTTACATGTCATTCATACAGGCAGGATTCAGGGCCTCGGCTTCTGCCAAAAGAAAAAGACATTCTACACCCCTATTTCTTAATAATAAATAACGATTTCTACAGCAACAAATGCTTTTAACTCTGCCCCCATCTCTGCTCTATGAGCCTTGAAGGCATTGCAGTTTGAGACCTGCGAGTTGGACCTTTGTCTGCCTGTACTTTCTGAGAACTCATGTAAGAATGAAAACACACACATATACACACACACACAAACACAAAAAACAACAAACACCAAAGCATTCTGACATGAAACTCTGGCGCCCATTTCTCTGAGGCAGTACATCATTTTAAAGCTTTTAATTTCTAGAGTAAGGAGTACATTAGTTGTGCCAAATGAATATTCAAATTGCAGGTACTCCAGGATTTATGCTGATTCTAACTTTGAGGGTTGCACTTTTGAGTTTAATTTTGTCTTGTTTTAAGCATGGGAGTGAGGGGAAATACAGGAGTGCACAAGTAGGCAAAAGGGCAGGCATGATTGATGGCCATAGAAAGTCCTGACAAATTTGTAGTCAATATTGTTTGTCTAGAGAGGATTGTGTGACAAAAGAAGTGTCAGCAGCCACTGAAGTCTCATTCTTCAGGACCCAGCCTCCGAGTTAGAATAGGGGGCTTGAGTGAAATGCCTGTCACGCTTAATTGGAAAAATCACTCCAGATGAGTGAGAGAGGCTGACAGTTATGCATTACAGAGAGAATTTAGTGTGTCTTACAAGGTTGATACAGGCACCAAAAGTGACTGGCTTTAGCTTTTCCCTATTAGGACGGCCACTAGAAGGATAAAACCCAAGAAAAGAAGCTACTTCTTGCTTCAGATTCACAAGTGCTTGTAAAAGACTTCCACCTTCATTACTTTCATTGTCACGCCGGTCTTTACCTCAATTCCTTTTTTTTTCTTAGGTTTTCATTCTGTCCTGGCTTTCTTAAATACCAGGGACAATTTCACTGGGCATACAGTGGAGAAAGGGAAACCATAGACTTACTCATTCTCTCTCTGTCTCACTCTTTCTCTATCTCTCTCTCTGTCTCTCTCTCTCAGTGTGAATGTTTGCCTGTCTTTGTGGAATTGGTAATGAACATTTCCAGCCATTACTTCCAGTGCACAAAGGCTAAACTCACTTTGTCATTTGATAATTTGTTTATCTGTCAGCATCTCTCACCCTGAAATGATGAGGCTTTGGGAGAGCTGTGGTTTCTCATCCAGGTGAAGTCTGAGAGCCTATGGTTCTATAAGGGCTAGAGAGTTTGAGAGCGGAGATGGATAACTTGTTCTCTGAGTCCTGGGAGCCCGCTGTTTCAGGGCTAGCACCACCAACATTTGGATGCTTGGGTGCAATTTGGTCATGGGTCTCTTCAGTTTAATTTTCATCTTCCTGTTGGGTGTCTCAGCATTTGTCTCTGTGATCGCATAGATTTTTGAGAGGCTGAGGACGGCTGCTTTGCCTTGAAGCTTCTGAGCCTGTTTGGCCTCCAAGACTTCAGCCACCAAGTTGTTACACAGCAGTGCTTCCTTTGTGTTGTCCCTTGGTGATGTGTTGTGGTTGGTGGCATTTATGAAAAGGATGTGGCCTTAAAGACTGCTTAATTCCAAACTTGCATAATTCAGGCCATATCCTGAACTCAGTTTTACTGTTCATTTGGCCTGCCAGCCTTAAAATTCTTTGATCCTCAGAAAGAATTTAAATTTGAGGCACTTACATTACTTCACATTTTGAGTGTGAAGAGACTATATGAATTTTTCATGTTACACTATTTCGAATTTGTGTAAAATATGGCCATGTTAGAATAGTCTATTGGGGTTTGTGACTGTTAACTCTTACAATTCTTAAAAGTATAATCTAATTCATGGAGCTAAGTTCCTAAATCCTACTCATAGAAATGTGAGTGTAAATCTTTTGTAGATGAGTGGGTAAGCTAACAAGACTTGGAAAGTATTTTGAGGTAAATGTTAGGGCTATTATTAATATCTTTATATGGCACAGCCTGAAATGCCTCAGTAACAAATTAATTTAGTTGAATTCAATAAAGATTTATTTAGTACCTACCAAGGGCCAGCCCAGCAGAATAGTAGACATTGGAGCTACCACATGGATCAGGAATTGAAGTCAGTGAGTTGAACTCGAGGACCCAAGAATGGTAAACTCAAGCCAGCCATGTGTGACCTTTAACATTGCAGAATGTATTTATCTTATTCTCTTACCTTTTAAACTTATTCTTTCATGAAGAAACACATAACACTGCCAATTGAAGTGAGGAGAAATGTAAAAGTATTTCAGACATTTTTGAGAATGCCCAGCGACAGCATGGAAAGTCTCTATGAATTTTTTTGTTCACGTTTTACCATAACACTTTTAATTTTCACTGTTGAGGCTCCATGCCACTTCTAGCTGTGTGTCTTTGAGCAAGTCATTTAACCTGTCTGTGCCTTCATTTTCCCTTCTGTTAAAAATGAAGAAAATAAAAGTGACTATCGCTAAGGGTTGTTTCAGGGATTAAGTGAGTTCACATTTGTTAAACTCTCAGAACATCCTGACATATTCTAAATATATGGTACACTACTTTCGATAAATAATATCTTTAAAAAATGTCCTCATCTTTTTTTTTTTTGGTTTTATTTATGTATAGTATGCTTACACAATGGGATCTTTGTCTATGATATCGAAGACTTTCAATGGCAGCTCATTGTCCAGAATGGCAGACATTCTGGTCATTGTCCAGAAAGTTTTAGAAGGTGGAATTTAATGTATTCTGAATACAGAACTCAATCCAGATATCAAATTGCCTTGGTGAGATTTACTTCTCTGGTTAAAGTATGATGCAGGTAAAGTTCCAATCCTGATTAATGCAGTTGTGGTCAAAGTTTAATTATATTTTGGAAATGTAGTATTTAAGTGACATCTATCACTTAAATACTATCATAAATGCTGAGTCCCATGGTGGTATTGATGGACCTGAAAATATATGTTTTTTCAAGTGCTTTTACAAGTGAAAAAATGTAGCTAAAATGTTATTTCTCTATTCTATTTAAAATTAGGTTTCTTGGAAAAGCTTTCATTTTCTGAAATAAACATCCCCTTGAGCCTGGTGGTATGTATAAATATGGATTCACGAAATGTGGGTTTGCTTAAAAACAAGATATGCCCAACGAACTTTGCTTCCTTTTTTGATAGAGTGGGGAGACTGCTGGGGAGGGGAAATTCCACAGACAAAATGTGTCTGGATTTCAGGAAGACGTTTGATAGAGTCTCTTATGACGTCCTTGTGGGAAAGATGAAGGTACACGAGCAGAGTGACAGTGAAACTAGGAGGCTTCGTGGCCAGTTGGACAGGGATATGTGAAGGGCACTGAATTCCAGGTGGTGCCACTTGGGAGGGAGGCTGCAGGGCTGTCTGTGGACCTCACCTTTTTGGCCATCTTGACCTGAGGTTTGGATGATCTCAATCGTGAGGAAAAATTAAGAAACCATATCAAATAAGAATATGAAGTTTAAAGTAAATAAATCCTTCATTTTAGTCCAGAACTTTAGTGTGCATTTGTGCTGGGGGGAAGATCTTACTTTCTGTGGGAGAAAGGCTGAGGGTTTTTGTTGGCTGTGGGCACCACATGAATGACCAGTGTGAAGCAACTGCTGTAAGGATTAAGGATGCCTTTTAATTAGAAATGATTTTGGTAATAAGGAGGCTGTAGTCCCACTATGCCCTGCTATAGTCAGACTACATTTAGGGAGTTTTTCAGTACTAGCTATCGCATTTCCATTTTGTGGGGAGAGTTGCTACACAGCTGGAGTGAACCCGGGTAGTGAAAGGCCTGAAAAGCGACTTAAACAAGGAACCGTTGAAGGACCTTGGGACAGTTTAGCTAGACAAGAGCAAGCTGGGAAAGTGGATTAGTGAGCTGATATCTGGTTTCAAATATTTAAAGGAAGGTCAAGTAGAACAGGGAGCAAACTGCTGCATCCCTCCGGTACCAAATAGGGGCTAACAGGGGTGATTTAAGCAATGAGAGCTGTTAGATAATAGAATGATTTGCTCATTGTTTGGATGAATTTAAGGAGAGGGAACAGGAAGGCTGTTTAGGAAAGTTGTGGACGTCATATATCCGGAGGGCTAAAAGCATGGGCTTGGGAGCCGAGCAGATTGATGCTTGAGTTCTGGCTTTGCTAGTGGCTGAGTGACCTTGGGCAATGCATTTAATATTTCCATGACTCAAGTTTCTAATCTACACAATGCAGAAAATAATAGCACCTTTCTCCTGAGGTGGCTGTGAGGATTTAAATGAAATAATTCATGTGAAATGCTTATATTACCTGGCATTGAGTTAATATTCAATAAATGACAGGTATTGCTATGACCAGTCCTGATGTGAGGGAGGGCTAAACTAGATACTCTCCTTCCCAAATCTTATATTTCATATTTCTGTTCAATGTAGGGATTAAAAGGGACAAATGCATCTAGGTCATAGCCCTAGAGAGCCTTTGATTGCTTTCCCCCCCTTTGTTCTACTCAGTGCTCCTTTCAACTTCTTGAGGCGTGCATCTTGGGGAAGAAGTGTCAATCTTCTTTTTCTCAAATACATGTCACTAAAAATAAAGTGGCAGTGTACTTGAGAAGGTGCGCTCCATTCTGAGGACCCAGGGAGTGTGCTTTTGCTCATGTTCTTGGGAAATGGTAATCATATTATGCAGAAAACCAGAAAAGGATATGCCTAAATTCAAATTGTGTCAGAGATTTTTATGCCTACCAATTTGTTATTGTTTCTATGCCTTGTATTAATATAATATGACTTGAATAAGTATTTAAATAATTGTGCAATTAAAAAGAATTATATTCATTGTTAGAGAAAAAAAGGCAAATGCAACAGAGGCGGCATAACCACACATTATGTTTTTATCCAACTTCCTGGTCGAATCCTGCCACGGTTTGCTGACAGTATGCCCACGCCACATTTTTTGAGAGAAAAAACCATTTCCAGGAGCCTAGCTTTTCTTCATCCTTTCCCACAGCCACCTCCTGCCTCTAAAGTGCTTGAAGACACAGTAGGAAGGCACCAGAGGGCATTCTCAGACCATCTATTTTCAAGGAAATACAGCTGGGAAGTACAAAACAATTCTCCACTTCGGCCAGTTTTGGATGAAATGGTGGTTTCTAACACACACTCAGAAACACTTGGAGTCTGAAAGCTGCCATGCTAAACAAACTGCCATTCAACCTTGGGGTATCAGCAGAGGCATTTGACTGAGTGATCCCAATTCACAGGACAGTCAACGTTGTCCTCAGAAGCTGGGCAGGCAACATGGGCAAGCAGAGAAACCTGCCTGAAAATCCAGAGATGTGGGGCTCTTGGTTCCAGCATTAACTGCTTTTTGACCTTCAGCAAATTACTTTGTGCTCCAAATCTTAGTTTTCTCATCTATAAAAGGAAGATACGAAAGAATACATGAAGATCATTTTGAAGTCTAACTCTCAGTGGTTGAATTCCTTTCTTTTTTTACTCTCCCTCCCTTCCTTCCTTCCTGATTAAAGGAGAAACTGGGATATACTAATACTGTGTTTGGAGTAGGTCTGCTCTGACCTTCTAGTGCTGAAGAGACAGTCTCTGAGGATTGGCAACACACACTGCTCATTGTCGAGTTGAAAGTTGAGCACTCAGGCTTTGAGTGGCTTTCAGGTTTATTCAGGCTTTTCTGACTGGGGCATGCTTACCTTCTTCGTTGGAACAGCCATGGGACGTATATAGTCTAGCATCTTGGAACATTGACTCTACACAAGAATTCTGGAGAAAAATATGACATTTTTAGTGTTAAATAGAGATATTATGGAACATAGGTTAAAATTTTGCGTGCATTTTTACTGTGAAAGAAGACTTTAAAAATGTGGGATCTGTAGTTGGATGCTTTGGGCTGTACTTTTGTATCTCCTAAGATTAGAATTATCTCTTTGTATTATTTGGAGTGTATTGGAGGGAAATTTTAGGAAAGCTTACCCCTTGGGGTACGTTTTGAATGTGTCTCAGGCTGGGTTCCCTTGAAGCAGAGCCTGAGGCAAGCATTTAGCTGCATGCAATTCCCTGAGGGCATGGCATATTCTTTAGGGGGAAAAACCTACTAATAAGAGAGAGATGCAGGAGAGGAAAGGGCAAAGAGCTGTACAATGATGTCTTCTCAAGGACTGTGATCTGATTCATTGTGTGCGTGTGGGTGGGTTCTGATGAATGATTCACACCACAGAATTGACTCACCTTGAGGCAAGGGGACTGGAATTTTGTACACCCATATCAGTTGGTCATTATTTACAGGTAACCATAGGTGAAGCCTGAAAGGCGACAGTCTTCAGTCAGGAGGCAATTCCCCAGAGAAAGGAACAGCTATAAGCTGTATGTAGTCATGGTGTGCTAGAGTCAGCTCACCACAGCTCACGAGTGCTGTGTGCACATCACTTCCCAAATGCCCTTTCTGTGACTTCACCCTGACAGCTTGCAATCGGCCAGGACAGAAGCATTACATCATGAAAATCAACAAAAGCTACAAATCCCAGGCCTTACACTCCACAGGCAGCCAGATGTTAAACGTTTACCAGCATGGCCCTGGCCAACCTTCTCTGTAGCGAGAGGCTGGTGTCCTAGCTGGTGAAGGGGATCGGAGGAGGGCACCAACAGCATCTACTACATTGGAGTTACAGAGGATTTGCCCACAAATGATCTCCCCAACTAATTCGTCAGTTGGCAAAGCCATTCCTTTAGGGGTTGCCTTTCCTAGCCGGAAGAGGAGATGTATATACTATTGAGAATCATAGAACCAAGAGTCCACCACACTCCAGTCAAAACGACTGATTATGTTTTATAAGTGCAAGAGAAGGGCAGAGAGGAGGTGAGGAAAGTGTGTCATCGGAATTACCTGCAGTAAGGGGCAAGAAAGGGCTTATATTGCCTGAGGACAGAATTTAGAATAGCATTGATGCTATAGTATTTTTTTGAAGATTTTTTTTTCTCAGAATTTATTATTTAAAACACTGCACTTGACTGACTTCATTGATAGTTAGACTTTTTATTGTAAAATATTTATTGAGGAAAATTTCAAATATACATAAAATATATCTACAGCTAATGAAGAGTATAATAAACCCTCACCCCTCAGATTCAAAAATTATTAACTTATAGCCAATCTTCTTTCATCTATATCTCTACTCACTTCCTCTTGGGAGCATGGGAAGTTTTGGAGACTTAGTTAATTGGATAAAAGTTGATTGTGGCTAGAAAAAAGCCAGAGGCTGGCTGTGATAGCTTACGCCTATAATACCTGGACTTTGGGAGGCCGAGGTGGACAGTTGCTTGAGCCAGGAGTTTGAGCCTGGGCAACATGGTGAAACCCTGCCTTACTAAAAATACAAAAACTGGCCGGGCGCGGTGGCTCATGCCTGTAATCCCAGCACTTTGGGAGGCCAAGGTGGGTGGATCATGAGGTCAGGAGTTCAAGACCAGCCTGGCGAATATGGTGAAACCCCATCCTACTAAAACCACAAAAATCAGCTTGGCGTGGTGGCACGTGTATGTAGTCCCAGGTGCTCAGGAGGCTGAGGCAGGAGAAACGCTTGAACCCGAGAGGTGGAGGTTGCAGTGAGCCGAGATCGCGCCACTGCACTCCAGCCTGGGTGACGGTGCGAGACTCCGTCTCAAAAAACCAAACCAAACAAAAACCAAAAACAAACAAACAAATAAAAATGCAAAAATTAGCTGGGTGTGGTGGCATGTGCCTATAGTCCCAGCTACTCGGGATGCTGAGGTAGGAGGAATACGCTTGAGCTCGAGAGGTCGAGGCTGCAGTGAGCCATGATTGTGCCACTGCACTCCTGCCTGGGTGATAGAGCAAGGCTCTGTCTCACAAAAAAGAAAGAAAGAAAAAAAAAAAGGCAGATTTGGGGAATTTACCAAGGACTGTGGGAAAGGATTTGGTAGACGGAAGACACAGCAGCTAATGGACCACTTTCCCTAACCTATTAGGATCTACTAGGAATCATTAGAAGATATATGAAATGCATTACATGAGACCTGTATTCTGATTAACCTCACAATTTTTATCTCCAGCTCTTCCTAAAATGAAAAACCAGTGATGAAAAGAGAGTTACAAATTTCCTATAAAAGGAATTCAGTACGTCTTTGCTCTCTGAATACTTCTTTTTCCCCTGGGCTTTCTCTCTTCAGGTAGACAAGAGAAAAATGTCAAGACGATTTCTGAGTACAAATTCTAAATGATATTCCATCCTAAAGCAAGGCTTGTTGCCTCCATAACAAGATAAGAATCTTAATTCTTATTTGATGGGCAAAGAAATGTTATTAGAAAACAGAAGCAAGCTTGGACCTTCTTGTGACATGGACTTACGGTGATGGATTATGCCTATATACAATATTCATTTTTCTTTTTCTCTTTCCTTTCACAGTCTTTGTTGATTTGAGATAAGAGATGGCTTCTCACATTTTTCTAAGAATAACAGGTTTCCTTCTCTGCTTTCTGGCCATTCTACTTTCCCTCTTACTGGTTGCAATTCCAAAGATAACACACATGTGAGTGCTTGACAATCTGGAGTTGAAAGAAGTTGTTATGGGCCTCAGGAAGCACATGTTTGAAAAATTAATTAATTCATATGAATTAATAAACTAGGGAAAGCTTGGTTCAGTCATAATATATTTATCACTAGAACCTTCTACCAAGGACAGTTGGAAGCAGACAAATGACTTGAAAAATTAGACCATTGGGAGCTTCAGAAAACCGGTGCTGAGGGAAGAGTAGACACAGCAGCAGAGAAACAGCTCTGTCTAGATAATTGTCTAGCTAGTTTCTTTCTTTCTTTCTTTCTTTCTTTCTTTTTTTTTTTAGACAGAGTCTCACTCTGTCACCAGGCTGGAGTGCAGTGGCACGATCTCAGCTCACTGCAACCTCTGCCTCCCAGGTTCAAGCGATTCTCCTGCCTCAGCCTCCTGAGTAGCTGACACTACAGGCTCGTGCCACCAAGCCCAGCTAATTTTTTTGTATTTTTAGTAGAGACGGGGTTTTACCATGTTGGCCAGGATGGTCTCGATCTCTTGACCTCGTGAGCTGCCTGCCTCGGCCTCCCAAAATGCTGGGATTACAGGCATGAGCCGCCGCACCCAGCCTTGTCTAGCTAGTTTCTAATAAAGTGGCTGAAGCTACTTTGTTGGAACTGCCCAAGAAAGAGCCCTGTCCTTTATTCATGTGGGGAATCTGAGAAAGAAGCTCCCGAATGCTATAGACAAGTGCATGAGCTGTTTATTGACAGAGGGTTTTCACTTGCCAGTTGCATGGAAGAGGTTGTTGACAGGTTGTGGATAAAAGGCAGAAAGTAAAAGAAAGCATTCTTTCCTAAGGGATGGTTATGAATGAAGATTGGAAAAGGCTGTGCAAGCATCGATTCCTACAACTCATCTCTTCTAGCTAGTAAATCTTGAAGATGAATTTAAGTTTAAAATTGACCATAAGCTGGCTGAATTTCTGTTGAGGTTTTTCCACAGTTATTGGGAATCAGACTTAATTCTTTCAGTGGGTTTCTTGGCCTCTTTACTGGAATCCATTTTTCATTGTTTCTTTTTCTTTTTTTTTTTTTTAATTTTTTTTTTTTTTTATTATACTCTAAGTTTTAGGGTACATGTGCACATTGTGCAGGTTAGTTACATATGTATACATGTGCCATGCTGGTGCGCCGCACCCACTAACGTGTCATCTAGCATTAGGTATATCTCCCAATGCTATCCCTCCCCCCTCCCCCGACCCCACCACAGTCCCCAGAGTGTGATATTCCCCTTCCTGTGTCCATGTGATCTCATTGTTCAATTCCCACCTATGAGTGAGAATATGCGGTGTTTGGTTTTTTGTTCTTGCGATAGTTTACTGAGAATGATGGTTTCCAATTTCATCCATGTCCCTACAAAGGACATGAACTCATCATTTTTTATGGCTGCATAATATTCCATGGTGTATATGTGCCACATTTTCTTAATCCAGCCTATCATTGTTGGACATTTGGGTTGGTTCCAAGTCTTTGCTATTGTGAATAGTGCCGCAATAAACATACGTGTGCATGTGTCTTTATAGCAGCATGATTTATAGTCCTTTGGGTATATACCCAGTAATGGGATGGCTGGGTCAAATGGTATTTCTAGTTCTAGATCCCTGAGGAATCGCCACACTGACTTCCACAATGGTTGAACTAGTTTACAGTCCCACCAACAGTGTAAAAGTGTTCCTATTTCTCCACATCCTCTCCAGCACCTGTTGTTTCCTGACTTTTTAATGATTGCCATTCTAACTGGTGTGAGATGATATCTCATAGTGGTTTTGATTTGCATTTCTCTGATGGCCAGTGATGATGAGCATTTCTTCATGTGTTTTTTGGCTGCATAAATGTCTTCTTTTGAGAAGTGTCTGTTCATGTCCTTCGCCCACTTTTTGATGGGGTTGTTTGTTTTTTTCTTGTAAATTTGTTTGAGTTCATTGTAGATTCTGGATATTAGCCCTTTGTCAGATGAGTAGGTTGCGAAAATTTTCTCCCATGTTGTAGGTTGCCTGTTCACTCTGATGGTAGTTTCTTTTGCTGTGCAGAAGCTCTTGAGTTTAATTAGATCCCATTTGTCAATTTTGGCTTTTGTTGCCATTACTTTTGGTGTTTTGGACATGAAGTCCTTGCCCACGCCTATGTCCTGAATGGTAATGCCTAGGTTTTCTTCTAGGGTTTTTATGGTTTTAGGTCTAACGTTTAAATCTTTAATCCATCTTGAATTGATTTTTGTATAAGGTGTACGGAAGGGATCCAGTTTCAGCTTTCTACATATGGCTAGCCAGTTTTCCCAGCACCATTTATTAAATAGGGAATCCTTTCCCCATTGCTTGTTTTTCTCAGGTTTGTCAAAGATCAGATAGTTGTAGATATGCGGCATTATTTCTGAGGGCTCTGTTCTGTTCCATTGATCTATATCTCTGTTTTGGTACCAGTACCATGCTGTTTTGGTTACTGTAGCCTTGTAGTATAGTTTGAAGTCAGGTAGTGTGATGCCTCCAGCTTTGTTCTTTTGGCTTAGGATTGACTTGGCGATGCGGGCTCTTTTTTGGTTCCATATGAACTTTAAAGTAGTTTTTTCCAATTCTGTGAAGAAAGTCATTGGTAGCTTGATGGGGATGGCATCGAATCTGTAAATTACCTTGGGCAGTACGGCCATTTTCACGATATTGATTCTTCCTACCCATGAGCATGGAATGTTCTTCCATTTGTTTGTGTCCTCTTTTATTTCCTTGAGCAGTGGTTTGTAGTTCTCCTTGAAGAGGTCCTTCACATCCCTTGTAAGTTGGATTCCTAGGTATTTTATTCTCTTTGAAGCAATTGTGAATGGGAGTTCACTCATGATTTGGCTCTCTGTTTGTCTGTTGTTGGTGTATAAGAATGCTTGTGATTTTTGCACATTGATTTTGTATCCTGAGACTTTGCTGAAGTTGCTTATCAGCTTAAGGAGATTTTGGGCTGAGACAATGGGGTTTTCTAGATAAACAATCATGTCGTCTGCAAACAGGGACAATTTGACTTCCTCTTTTCCTAATTGAATACCCTTTATTTCCTTCTCCTGCCTAATTGCCCTGGCCAGAACTTCCAACACTATGTTGAATAGGAGCGGTGAGAGAGGGCATCCCTGTCTTGTGCCAGTTTTCAAAGGGAATGCTTCCAGTTTTTGCCCATTCAGTATGATATTGGCTGTGGGTTTGTCATAGATAGCTCTTATTATTTTGAAATACGTCCCATCAATACCTAATTTATCGAGAGTTTTTAGCATGAAGGGTTGTTGAATTTTGTCAAAGGCTTTTTCTGCATCTATTGAGATAATCATGTGGTTTTTGTCTTTGGCTCTGTTTATATGCTGGATTACATTTATTGATTTGCGTATATTGAACCAGCCTTGCATCCCAGGGATGAAGCCCACTTGATCATGGTGGATAAGCTTTTTGATGTGCTGCTGGATTCGGTTTGCCAGTATTTTATTGAGGATTTTTGCATCAATGTTCATCAAGGATATTGGTCTAAAATTCTCTTTTTTGGTTGTGTCTCTGCCCGGCTTTGGTATCAGAATGATGCTGGCCTCATAGAATGAGTTAGGGAGGATTCCCTCTTTTTCTATTGATTGGAATAGTTTCAGAAGGAATGGTACCAGCTCCTCCTTGTACCTCTGGTAGAATTCGGCTGTGAATCCATCTGGTCCTGGACTCTTTTTGGTTGGTAAACTATTGATTATTGCCACAATTTCAGAGCCTGTTATTGGTCTATTCAGAGATTCAACTTCTTCCTGGTTTAGTCTTGGGAGAGAGTATGTGTCGAGGAATCATTGTTTCTTTTTCACTGAAATGTCATGATGTGAAAGTAAAAACAATTTGCAATCAAGGTACATGAATATTTCTGACTCTTATCAAACAAAAAATAGAATAGTATTGAACATGTGCATGTATTTGTGTATGTTAGCAGAAATTGAACTATTTTTTAAAATAGACTTCTTTAAAAAGACTTTTTTAGAGCAGTTTTAGGTTCATAGCAAAATTGGGAGGTATCCTATATATCCCTGCCCCGCCGCATGCATAGCTTCTGTCATTAACATCATCCATTAGAGTGGTACATTTCTTATAATTGATGAACCTACATTGATGCACCATAATCACCCAAAGTCCATGTTTAGACTAGGGTTCACTTTGGGTCTTGTACAATCTATGAGTTTTGACAAATGTACAATGATATGTATCTGTAGTATCATATGGAATAGTTTCAGGATTTCATTTAAAAATACCTTAATTCTTATATAACTTTTGTTCTCTCAGGCTGCCCCTAACTTGTCCCTAGACCAAGTATGGTAACTGCATGTTACAATATGCATATAAGTTCATGTTATAAAAAGTGCAATTAGATCACCAATTTTTGTAAGAGAATGTACTTGGTGACACCGAGGGGAAAGAATTTTGAAATGCAAAGTTGTTACCCAAAGCAACAAAATCCACTGGCAGAATGAAAATGTTAGTGTTCACTTAGCCCAAGTGGAGGGCCCCTTAAATTCAGGATCATTGTTGGGCATTGATTCTGAGTAGAGGCCAACAGACACGGGTCTTCGCTCTTTTACAAGAACCTCCTTTGGGTTCCTTTGGAACTTCTGTGACCCAAGTTCTTTTAAAAGGAGAAAATATAATCACCTGGGAATAAGTTCCAATCAACCTGATTCATATTAGCTTGTCTTTCAGGTAGAACAAGCACCAGTATCTTTACTTTTCCCCAGTGGTATAATAAAAGGGGATAGTCTCAGGTAGCCTCCGTGACCAAACCCTAAATCTTCTTTGACAGTAGATAATGTGGCAATGGCCTTAATCGTTCTAAAATGTTAACTGTGCAATGAGTTTATGATCTAAAGGCAGAATGAAAGGAACCCAGATTTCTAATTTTGCACCTAATTTGTTGCGACAGGTATAAAGGGGAAATAGAGGATTAAGATTAAATGAAAGATAGAAAAATGTAGATTAGGGAAGTGCTGGGATATTAATTTCAAAAAACAAATAGTTAAAAACATGTGAAGTGCTGCTGAATGTATGTATCAATTCTTTTGTCCATTGGCAAGTGTATCAGTGGTAATCAATCCCCACATGGCACAGGGCAGCACCGTGAAGGAAGAGCCTTGGCTCTGAGGCTCAAGAACTAGCAGAAGTACATCTGGAACTAGAGCAGATGCATCCTGTACCTACCCCGTGGGGTTGCTGAGAGGACTAAAGGAGATAATACTGTGTGAAAAAAGTACTTTGTGAGCTACAAAGCTCTAGCTAAATACTAATTATTATTTTAATATAAGAATTGGTACTTATTCCAAAAGATCTTTTGATAAGACTAACATGAATGAAGCAAACTGCATATAATTAAATTTTAAAATTTTAAATGGAACTATATAGATGGATGATTTCTAACTTTTTTTTTTTTTTTTTGAGATGGAGTCTTGCTCTATCACCCAGGCTGGAGTGCAGTGGCGCAAGCTAGGCTCACCGCAACCTCCCCTCCTGGGTTCAAGTGATTCTTCCTGTACTTTTAGTAGAAACGGGGTTTCACCATGTTGGTCAGGCTGGTCTCGAACTCCTGACCTCGTGATCCATCTGCCTCAGCCTCCCAAAGGGCTGGGATTACAGGTGTGAGCCACCTTGCCTGGCCTAGATGGACGATTTCTTTTCTTTTCTTTTTTTTGAGATGGAGTCTCGCTCTGTCGCCCAGGCTGGAGTGCAGTGGCGCGATCTCAGCTCACTGCAAGCTCCACCTCCTGGGTTCACACCATTCTCCTGCCTTAGCCTCCCGAGTAGCTGGGACTACAGGTGCCCGACACCACGCCTGGCTAATTTTTTGTATTTTTAGTAGAGACAGGGTTTCACCATGTTAACCAGGGTGGTCTCGATCTCCTGACCTCGTGATCCACCCGCCTCGGCCTCCCAAAGTGCTGGAATTACAGGTGTGAGCCACTGCGCACAGCCTAGATGGATGATTTCTATAGGAGACTAGGGATGAGAAAAATCCAGGTAAGCTGGAGTGCTTTGCAAATGCTCAATGGAAGAGAAGGGATTTGAGCTTGTCTTTGAAATGTGAATGGAATAAACCAGGAGAATAAACCAGTGGGGTAAAGGCAGGGAGAACTTTAAGGCAATGTAGGTAGAAATGGAGAAGGTGTGTTTTGGGACCTTTGAAGAAACAGTATTCATTCATTCATTCATTTGTTTATTCATCCAACAATCCTTTATAGGCTCCAACTCAGTGTCAAGTGCTGGAGACACAAAGGCAATAAACCAAGGTCTCTGCCCTTAGGGAGGTCAAGTCTGGTGCACACGTGTTGAAAGTGCTGAACAGGACAGCCCAGGTGGGGGTGCAGATCTCCAGGAAAGCTATTCAGTGAGGAAAATTGGGCTTGTACTGTGTGATTATGGTTAAGGAACATGAGAGGAAACTTGTAGAGCCTGAAAAAACACCAAAGTGAAAATTAAGGTTTAATTTTTATACTGTTATTAACATAAAATTAGGCACATTGATATTGTAATAAGTTTATTTGAACAGATAGCAATTCATGAATTGGGCAGCACCAGACTGTAAGCAGTTCAGGGTTCCCCTGAAGGTGTGAAAAGATAAACTTTTATAATGTGTTTTTGAAAACAAGACAAAGAAAAGATTTCATTGGTTAAAGTGGAAAGTCCCTAGCTAGAGGTGAGTTGGTGGTTTCTGATTAGTTAAGCCTAAGTTTTGTTTTACTGCTTGCAGTGAGTTAGGTTTCTGTTTGCTTATATAACCCAAGGTGCTGGAGCCATCTCAGCCTAATGGCTTCGCAATTAATTGTTTTAACAGAGTCCAACTCCCGACTATCAGTGGGCCCTCGGATTTGTTGCCTAAATTTTCCCATCGTTGGTTTCTTTAAATGAGGGAGTCAGTGTAGATGGTATGGATAGTCTGTGTCTTTCCTTGATGTATTGCTAATGTGAGGATTTGAGGTACCCAGTATCAAGGGAAAAGGGGAAGGGTAAAGAATTAAGAGTATAAAGAAAGAAGTGCAGAGAACTGAGAAAAGTTTAGAAAACAGAAGAATGAGGAGAGCAGGGATCAGTGGGTAAAAGCCACAAAAAGATTATTCCAAAAAGAATAGGGAACACACTCAAATTAAAAGTAGTAGACGACAAAGACGGGGGAGAAAGTGGGTCCTATCAATAGTGGGTGGCAGCTGCCATGGAATGGAGGCTTGAATGCCTGCTCTACTAACTGATTACTGAATGATGTCAGGCAACTCACAGCCTCACCTGGTTGGTATAAAGGTTTCCGAAGATAATACAGCAAGAAGCACCTGGCACATAGTAGGACTCAGCAAATACTCAAATACATTTCACCTAGGAAGATGTGATATATTTTAACTGTAAATACAAATAATTAATGAGGGTAAAACTAATTAGTGTATGAGTTTAAAATAAGGGACTGTAAATAAAGCAGAGCAAATGGAAGACTGGGTGGGGTAGTTGTGTGCACTAAAAGGTCAGTGTTTCAACATACTAAGGGTTGTTTATTGTGTTTCTTCATTCTCCAAGGCAGTGATATTTACTGATGAGGTAAAGCTAATAAGCATCTATTTGATTTTCCTGCCAGTAGCACCCTGACGTTGCCCACCTGCTGTTTCCCCCTCTGAGGTCACTTAATTAAGGAGTATTTTTTATGTGACACCTCATTAGGTCCTCCAGGATGCCATGCGTGGGAAGCTGTTCTACAAGGGCCCTCATATACCCCACACGTGCTAGGGCTGCCTGGAAGAAACACTCCTAACCCAACAAGACCCTGCATTTAGCAGCCCTTTGAAGGCCAGATCTGTGTGGCCACAGGCCTGGCTCTTGGTCCAAATAGCAGCTGCCGTGGTTGTCCTTTGGGTTAAGACATGACAGTCATGAAGAGGTGTGGGTTTGAGGGACAGCAGATCATAAAGCACTGTAGCCACAGCAATGGTTTGGTGATTTATGTCTGTGTGACTGAGCCAAGGGGCTGACAAAGGAAGAGATATTCTATTCTGGCATTTTATATCAGAGGGAACTGGAGATCTATAGATGCTGCTACTTGTGGGCTGTGAAAAGCAGGGCTTTTTTTTTTTTAATTTGAATTTAATTAGGTTGTTTTAGCTGAAACTGGAAGTCAGGAATTGAATCAATGTCTCCAAACCTAGTTTAAGTAATAGAAGAATCTATTCAACCTGGCTCTGTCTGGAAAGCTTGGACTTGAATTTTTTATTTTATTAACAACTTTATTCTCTGCTATTTGCCAAACTTTGGTTCAGGCATTTTGCTGAGTTGAGAACTATGGAAATTTGTTGTAATTGGAGGGGAAAGAATCACATGTGGTTTCTTCCAAACCTTTTTCCAATTCTTTTGTTTTTTTTGTTCCGAATTCCATGGGAAAATTACTCAGAACGGTTATTTTCTCCTTTAATGATGCAACAATGCTTGGTTTGATTTGCCTGTTTTTATTTTCTAGCTGCATTATAATTACATTTTCCCACATGACTTATTTTTTTCTTCCAAATTAGTAGATATAAAATTCTGATGGTTCTTTAGGGAGCTAATCTTCAGAGATTCTCTTCTTGGGCTATCCTTTGTATGGGAATAGATGATGCTGGACAGCCAGGCCCCTGCCTGCCCGCTTAGTGGCAATCCATCACCCCAGGCCTTTTAATTAGCAGTTGCAGGTGAATCACTAATTGGACCTACATTTGCATACGTAAGCCAGAAATTTGCAGGTTTACGTTTATAAATCTTAGTCACACAGGCAGGGCAGAAATATTAGCGTTCATCCCTCATCCCTTATAATTGCCTCATCAGCTCTTTACAATGGATTTTCCTATCTTGGTACTTGTAAGTGGGTGAAAAATGACTTACTTTATTAATTTGTTAGAAAAAAGAGGTGTTTTTTGAAGAAGAAAGGAGTAAGAAAAAAACAAAGAAAAAGCATTTAAACAGGGCTCCTTTAGGCAGCAGCAGGGAGACATGGTGCTTGAAAACTAGCAGCTGGTTTAATTTTTTTATTGCTTTGAGTTTTGCGTGTGTGTGTGTGTGTGTGTGTGTGTGTGTGTGTGGCATTAGCATGGTGAGCAGTAGCAAAGAGAAGGCTCTTAAGGAGTTTATACTTTTCTGAGACAGTGAAGGCTTCCTTACCTTGAGCCCACATTGACTCTCACCTTCAGGAGCCTGAGGAAAATCCAGGCTTAATGTTGGATTTAATCAAAGGGTCAGTCTATTTTCAGAACTCATCTTAATGGAGTGGTCCCGGCACATGATCAGAGATGATGCTGTGGGCCTTCAGGTGGCTACTTTGCTGAGCAAGGTTTATGATCCTCAATCTGTCTGGAGGCAGGGAAGCTCCTAGCTTCTGGTCGTTTCTAAGACCATCCCAACTGGTCATTCAGTTAAGGACATTTCAACCATAAATACTATTTGCCAAGGAACTGCATGTGTCAAGGGCTAGACTTCTCATGATAGAAAACCTACATCAATATCAAGTCCTTGGTCTGCCACACAGCAGGATGGAAGTGCAAAGGCAATTGGTGTGACAAATGTATTGGCTTAGTTAAAGAGAAGGCTCTAAGTTATGTATTTAGTTTCATACAAGAGAGAATATCACTATTATTTTTAAGGCCATGATCATAGGCCACAGGGTTCTCGGGTCAATCCAGGGTGGAGAACAATCAAGTAGGTATGGGCAGTCATTACAGGCCTGTCTGGCTTAAGTTACCCCCAGCATACTTTCTCATACCAGGCCCCAAATGCCCGCTCTTCCTTGCACGTAAGTCAGCTAAAGTGGCTTATATTTTTATTTGAGATGATTACAGTCCTCCAATTGGACCTTGGGTGACACTGCCTCTGCTTCTCTCCTTGCTGACTTCAGGGCTCACTGATGGCTGCACTGATTTTATTTCTCAGTCTTAGAGACTGCCTCCTTTGATATGGCATGATGTCACTTTTCCCATCATTATGTAGGTAATAACATTTTCCTTCTCCCAGTCAAGTTGGTTTTGCACTGCGTATTCCAATTTATCTCTCCTCTCCCTTCCTAAAGAAGCGGAGTTCTTGCTTGCTGGGGATGGAGACAGGGGAAGCAGAGGGAAAGCAGAAAAGTCGCATTGTGTATCAGCTTTTGTTGTAATATGTCGTGTAACAAACACCACCAGATCTCAGTATCTTACATAGCCAGACATTGATTTTTCATTCATCGGTTTGTGGTCAGCTCTGGTGACTTCATTTCAGGCTCTGGGTCAAGTTCATGTCTGTTCTATGTGTCTCTCATTTCAAGGCTACTTGGAGCTTTTTCTTTTCATGGCAGAGAGCAGATAGAAGTGAGCATAGGAGGCCAAGTGAAACTACACAAGCACATTTAAAGTGTCTGCTTGGTTGTGGGATACATTACATCTGCTCTCATTGTTCTGGTCAAAGAAAGTCACATGGTCAAGGCCAATATTAATGGGATGGGGAAGTATATTCTTCCCACAGAGGAATGGTCAGAAAGGAGAGAGTGTATCAATAATACAACCTACTCTTTATAGCTGTGTTTCAATACAGAGTTTTGAAAAATTTAGCAATTATCAGTCTCAGGGAGAAGTTCTGGGCCCTAAAGAATTGGGAAAGAGAAGAAATAAGATTTATGATTTGTTGTTGCTATTATAAATGGGGTCATATTAGTCCGTTTTCATGCTGCTGATAAAGACATACCTGAGACTGGGCAATTTACAAAAAGAAAGAGGTTTATTGGACTTACAGTTCCATGTGGCTAGGGAGACCTCACAATCATTGTGGAAGGTGAAAGGCACGTCTCACATGGTGGCAGATAAGAAAAGAGAGTTTGTGCAGGGAAATTCCCCTTTCTAAAACCATTAGATCTTGTGAGAATTGTTCATTATCATGAGAACAGCAGAGGAAAGACCTGCCCTCATGACTAAATTACCTCCCACTGGGTCCCTCCCATAACACGTGGGAATTCAAGATGAGATTTGGCTGGAGACACAGCCAAACCGTATCATTCCACCCCTGGCACCTCCCAAATCTCGTGTTCTCACATTTCAAAACCCAATCATACCTTCCCAACAGTCCCCCAAAGTCTTAACTCATCTCAGCATTAACTCAAAAGTCCACAGTCCAAAGTCTCATCTGAAACAAGGCAAGTCCCTTCCGCCTATGAGCCAGTAAAATCAAAATCAAGTAGTTACTTCCAAGATACAATGGGGGTACAGGCATTGGGTAAATACAGCTGTTCCAGATGGGAGAAATTGGCCAAAACAAAGGGGCTACAGGCCCCATGCAAGTCTGAAATCCAGAAGGGCAGTCAAATCTTAAAGCTCCAAAATGATCTCCTTTGACTCCAGGTCTCACATCCAGGTCACAATGATGCAAGAGGTGGGTTCCCACAGTCTTGGACAGCTCTGCCTGTGCCTTTGCAAGGTACAGCCTCCCTTCTGACTGCATTCATGGGCTGGCGTTGAGTGACTGCAGCTTTCCCAGGCACACGGTGCAAGCTGTTGGTGGATCTATCATTCTGGGGTCTGGAGGATGGTGGCCCTCTTCTCACAGCTCCACTAGGCAGTGCCCCAGTGGGGAATCAGTGTGGGGGCTTGGACCCCACATTTCCCTTCCATGCTGCCCTAGCAGAGGTTCTCCATGAGGGCTCTGCCCCCGCAGCAAACTTCTGCCTGGGCATCCAGGCATTTCCATACGTCTTCTGAAATCTAGGTGGAGGTTCCTAAACCCCAATTCTTTGACTTCTGGGCACTCACAGACTCAACACCACATGGAAGCTGCCAAGGCTTGAGGCTTGTACCCTCTGAAGCCACGGCCCAAGTGCTACATTGGCCCCTTTCAGCCATGCCTGGAGTGGCTGGGACATGGGGCACCAAGTCCCTAGGCTGCACACAGCACAGGGACCCTGGGCCCAGCTCACAAAACCACTTTTTCCTCGTAGGCCTCCAGGCATGTGATAAGAGAGGCTGACATGAAGACCTCTGACATGACTTGGAGATGTTTTCTCCATTTTCTTGGGGATTAACATTTGGCTTCTTGTTACTTATGCAAATTTCTGTAGCTGGCTTGAATTTATACTCAGAAAATGAGATTTTCTTTTCTATTGCATTGTCAGGCTGCAAATTTTCCGAGCTTTTATGCTCTACTTCCCTTATAAAACTGAATGCCTGCAAGTAACTCTTGAATGCTTTGATGCTTAGAAATTTCTTCTGCCAGATACCCTAAATCATCTCTCTCAAGTTCAAACTTCCACAGATCTCTAGGGCAGGGGCAAAATGCCACCAGTCTCTTTGCTAAAACATAACAAGAGTCACCTTTGCTCCAGTTCCTAACAATTTCCTCATCTCTATCTGAGACCACCTCAGCCTGGATTTCATTGCCCATATCATTATCAGCATTTTGATCAAAGCCATTCAACAAGTCTCTAGGGAGTTCCAAACTTTCCCACATTTTTCTGTCTTCTGCTGAACCCTCCAAATTGTTTTAACTGCTACCTGCTACCCGGTTCCAAAATTGCTTCCACATTTTTGGGAATGTTTTGAGCAGTGCCCCGCTCTACCGGTACCAATTTACTTTACTAGTCCGTTTTCGTGCTGCTGATAAAGACAAAACCAAGTCTGGGTAATTTACAAAAAGATAGAGGTTTATTGGACTTACAGTTTCACATGGCTAGGGAGACTTCACAATCATGATGGAGGGTGAAAAGCATGTCTCACATGGCAGCAGACAAAAAAGGAGAGTTTTTACGGGGAAATTCCCCTTTTCAAAACTATCAAATCTTGTGAGACTTATTCATTATCATGAGAACAGCACAGGAAAGACCTGCCCCAGTGATTAAATTACCTCCCACTGGGTCCCTCCCATAACGCACAGGAATTCAAGATGAGATTTGGGTGACGACACAGCCAAACCATATCAGGGGTCTTTCAGAAATGCAAGTAAATTATTTGAGTTACTTTTAAAGTTATTTTTGTTTTCTGGACTTTCTTTTCCTGAATGTAATATTACTCTAAAGTTGGACTACATAGATCCCTTGGCTTTTATTGCTTATACACATACTGATTAAAATTTGGTGCTAGACCTGTGAAGAGTTTGAAGTAAGTTATTACTGTTACTCATTTGTTTGCAAATGTTCTCATTCATCTGGTAAGCCTATGTTGTTTGCTATCATGACTATTTACTCCTTGGAAAAGGGTATGTGATCTTTATTGGCATATCAGTTTGGATGTCTCTATGGAGTTCTGCACAGCAGACCATTGGCAAGATTCTGATTTATCATAAGCTTTATTTATCACACAAGAAATGCACAACTCTGTGGACATATTGGATACATGTGCTATCTGAGTTTCTTTTAAAATCAATGCTGTGTGACAGTTTTTCCCAAAAATGATTAACCAACTTGAATCAAGAATTCCCCAATTATATTTAATTTCAAATATTCAAAATATCAAATATTACCTTTCGGTATATTTTTCAATTTGAAAGTTACCTTGTACTGATGAAGAACTGGTTAACATTGCCTACAAATGGATTTCTGCTACACTAAGTGTGAATAACAGCTGACTCTGAGTTGGGCTAATTGTGAACTAATTCAAATTGCTGTGTCACTGTGGGTGATGAGGGGAGGTGAAACTTGTCTTTTTCCTTCTCAGCAAATTATTTTTATAAGAATAGTGATACTTTGGATATGATGTTTATTTCCCATGAAGAACCCACATTACTTGATAAGTAGATTTGTTTTTTCCATCAAACAGTCTCTGTTTCAAATTAAAACAGCTTCTTTATTCTTTTATAGTTATTTAGTAAAATGATGGAGTGTAAATAAATTTTCGTGAGTCAGTTGGATCTAATAATCAAAGTAGTAGGTTTTGGACTCATAAAGACCTGGGTTCCTTCCCAAATCTACTCCTTTGATATGACATATTTTTGGTAAATTTACTTCATCTCTCTGTGCTCAGTTTCTTCCTCTGCAAAATGTGGTTAATAATAGTAACTAATGCTAGGTGTGGTGGCTCACACCTGTAATCCCAGCTCTTTGGGTGGCCTAGGCAGGAGGATCGCTTTAGCCCAGGAGTTAGAGACCAGATGGACAACCTAGTGAGACCTTATCTCTACAAAAATTTTAAAAAACTTAGCTGGGCATGGCAGTATGTGCCTGTAGTCCTAGCTGCTCCAGAGGTTGAGGAGTGGGTATTGTTTGAGCGCAGGGGTTCAAGGCTGTAGTGAGCTATGATTGTACCACTGCACTTTAGCCTGGGCCACAGAGTGAGACTAAAAGAAAAAAAAATTAACTATTCAGCAAGGTTTGTTGTGTGGACTAAGCGAGGTTATTGCAAATTGCTTAGCATAATGTTTTGCTCACAGTAAATAATAAATATTAGCTATTAATATTATTTGTAACAGTGTTATTAGTGTAATGGATAATGAATGGGTATGTGAACATGAGAGACAAACATATAAATCATTTGGGGTAAAATTGGCCTGGGGTTTTAAATATTCCTTTTTCTTTGTAAGAAAAAGAAGAATTTTTTTTGAAAAATCAACACTGAGAAATGCCAATTGTACTTTGTTAACTGACCATTCTATGTCAAATAATTTTTTTGGTAGTACAAAATTTTAACTTTTTTCTTTTTTAATCTTTGTTGAAGTTATCTGGAAACTCTATCTGGGACTTTTGAACATATGGGAATTGCAAAAACTCTTTGTGCTTATTCATGGTTTATCTATTCACTTTTATTCTGCACTCATCCCTATTATTGAAATCAGTGGTCCTCAGCCCTGAATGTCCTTTATTTTAATGTTTTTATTTTATTGTAAATTGACAATTTATAATTGAATATGGATGTACTGTAGAATCACCTGAGAAGCTTTTGAAAATTCTGATGCCTGAGCCCCTTTTCTGAATATTCTCATTTATTTGGTTTTATGTTGTTGAGAATCTCTGGACTAGATCTCATTTTTGGAATCTCTTAACCACTTTCTTCTCTCTTTTCTTCACTATATGACCAAAGTCTCATCTTCTTTACAAAGCCATCCTTTTCAGCTAGGAGGACCAAGGTTACACTGCAATTCCAACTCCCAAATCTCAGTGGATGTAAAAGAACAAATAGCAATGCATGTGCATCCCACAGGAGTGGAGGGGTTCTACTCCCTGACACCTTCACTCCATATGTCACTGTTACATTTGCTTAAGGTATTTGGGTCAGAACTGGCCACCTGGCCACACCCAACTTCAAGGAGAGAGAATATGCCAGCCTATCATGTTCCCAGAAGGACAAACCAAAACATCTGTGAGCTACCACATTTGATGACACCTTGCCACACTTTGCTCTCCTCTTCTGAATTCCTGCTGCACTCATCTATACCATATCAAGATCGATCACTTCATTGTGTGCGATTTTGAACTTTAGATCTATTTTGAATTTTCCAAGGACAAGACCTTGGAAATCATGTGGTCTAACTTCCTAGCTGACTTTGGTCCTTAAAACAAAGAAGGATTCCAATTTCTTATTTTTAAACAAAATCATTAAAACAACAAATGTTGTCAACTCATTTTTTTTTTCTCAGTGAAAGACAAAACAAACTCAAAGTTAGAATGGAGAGCTACTGGGAAGAAATGCATTTCTGCATCTAGCTGCTTCAGAGTGCATTCCTTATTTAGATGGGGCCTCATGTGTCACAGTACATTTCTGAAATGGTTACCTGTTTCCATTTGGTCTTGTGCCTACTCGTACTTTAGTGACATTAATGGCTACTAAGGAAGTAAGACTTTTGGAGAAAATGATATTCTAGTCATTCCAAAGTTGTATTGAATACATTTTTTTTTGCCATGAAATAGCCTTAGGAGATCTGCTGGCTAATAAACCAGACTTGATAATCGCATCATGTGTATGGCAGAAATTATGCTTATTCCCCAGTGAAATAAGATTTCTCAAGTCCTGGTAGAGGCAGATGAATTTATCATTCTGAAACAGCAGGGTGGGTCATAGCCTGGGTGGCAAGCTTTGTAAATATTAATGGAGATTCCAAATTCCACTGTGTCTGCAGTAATTTAGAAGCAGTGTTAGCAGCGAAGGGTCAAGGGCAAAACAACAACAACAAAAAATGATGTGGGTGGGACTTGGATCTCTTTACTGTAAGAAAAATTCTTCTTTTTTGGAAAATTCTTTTTGTCTCTTCAGTGTCTGTGGCCATCTGAAAACGTCCACATGATGCCAGACCATGCTTTACTCTGAAAATCCACCGATAAGGTTATTTGACCTCTTTCTCTCTAATTTCACAGTGTCAGTCTTTGAGCTGAATAATTTCAAACAGATTTGACTCCCAAGAGACCTTTTTCTTTGTGGAGCAAACCACGAAGAAACACTTGAATAGTGGGTGAAATGACGAATACTCTAAACCTCACAAACTATTAGGAATCAATTTCTCAAACATCATACCTAATTATTCTCCCTCCCCCATTTCAATTCAGGAATCTCAAGGTTAAGGAAAAGCAGCTGAAAAAACAGTATTCTTGGTTGGGTTCATGTACTGCCCATTTTTCGTTTTTTTATAACTGTAGGATAGAAAGGAGAGAAACTTCTAAAATCTGCCCCTTTAATTGCCAAAAAAGAACACTCAGAGAAAGAAAAGTTTGTGCTATTATGCAGAGATGATAGTGTTGGCAAGAATCATAGAGACGCCTCTTGTTTAGTGGTTCTCAAAATGTGGTCCTCATGGGGACACCAGGGGTTTTCTGAGTTGGGAGGGACGGAAGAAGGAAGGGCAGGTGATTCAGCTGCTGTGGTGGCCCCATGGCCAGGAGGGAGAAGTGGATTCCACAGAGGCTTCAGTAGAAGGCAGAGAACTTGCAGGTGATGCAAAGATGTGTTTGTGAATAATCACACCGGGTATGTCAGTGCTGTCCTAGTATTTGTGCCTGTGGAGGTGCAGAAGCAGCAGATGACAGTGAATGGAGGGCACTTGGAATTAGAAGGCAGGAATAGGTAGTTTCAGTGCTCAGCGGGGTGGGTAGTCTTTGGGCCATTTCAACAGGTCCAAGATGTGTAGAACAAATAGTTTAAGAATTATGCATCAGTCTAGGCCTTGTTCTGTGTGTAAAGTTATTCAAGACAGTCATCTGAGATAATTTGAAGACCAAGAATAGGTGCCACATCCACACTTTGTAGGAAGTTTAATGGTTGAGCTCCTTTAGAGTCAAAATTCATATATAATATGTCATATCTATCATGTAATTTCAAAATTCGTATATAATATGTCATATGTATCATGTAATTCCTGCTGAAGTGTAAGACTCCATTTCTTTTGTTAGGTACGTTGAAGATGGAGAACAACTGATGTCAAGACACATTTTGGTTGTAAGGGACAGAAGTCCAACTCCAACGAGCTTGCCAAGGATGGAACCTGCTGGCAAACATAACCAAACTTTGGGAAGGGCAGGGTATGGTTAACCTCAGGTTTCTGGAAGCAGAGTGTACAGTGCTGTGCCGTCCCTCTTCTCTCTGCTTCTCTCTGCGTATTGGCCCTATCCTCTCAGTGGGGCACCCTCCCTGAGCAGCGAACAGCAGCCACAGGAAGCTCCAGTGTCAATGCCTCCCACAGCTTTCCAGAGAAGCAGCAGCCTCTTTGTTAGCTCCGTATCAAAGACATCCACAGGCAGGGCTTTGTGTGACCCAGTTTGGGTCACGTCTTTATTTGGGGCCCGGAGGAAATGGATACAATGACTACAGCCCATCATAGAACCTCATGTTTAGAGGACCAAATTTCCTCTCTCCAAAAGTGAAATGTTGTCACTGTCCATTCAACTGATGAAAATCTTCCTTTTCAACAGAAAAACTATCATGATGTTGTCTGTTGGGCTTCAGTTTCTTACAGCAGTCATCTTAAGAATTAAACTGGTATGGATAATCTGACTATGAACTCCTTGAGGGCAGGGACCATATTATATAATACTTCTGTGTCCTCTGCTATTTCTTAGCAGAATTTTGAAAATGTGCCAAGTGTTGACTTGGTTCGATCACTTGTGAGAATGGAGGGACCCATAATGTTAATAATCAATGAAGGTTGTTGGAGTTACTTACCCAAAACCTTATGAACTTAGCCTTCCCTAGCAGATTTAGTTTCGTAATTTGTCCGGTATAAGCAAACACTAAAGAGGGATTGGGGAAAGTTGTGAGTTGAGTAGTTGGGAAAAAGGTAGTTTGCAGTTTTATTTACGTCTCACAGCTTGACATTTTTTGTTTGCCTTGGAGGGGGTACTTTTAAAAATTCCTCTTTTGAAAACAATAAAATCTTAGATTTTGGATAACAGATATTTCTGTACTATATACCTCACTTAAGATTTTCAAAGTAATGTTTAAAAGTGCCTTTTATATTTTTTCATACCACATTGTAGGGAAGGCCAGGGTCATTTTTTAACACTTAACTATGCTCAATACCTCCTCACCACTATAAAGTAAGGTCGAATGTTGGTTAAAGCAAAGCTGTCTGGAATCACCCTGTCAAAAGTACTGATTTATAACCTTGCTACTCACATTTCTTACTGTGGTGCCCTCCCTCTTGTTGGCTCCTGCATCTTTGAAGTACAGGGAAAATGAACTAATATGGCAGCTCCAATATGCAGCTAATCCTGCCAATGATGTCTCCCCTGGAAGTGTTTGAGAGAAGAATTTCTTTTCCCAGTATGGATTTATGTAAACATTTGTTCCATTCACGAGTAGCACATTAATGCCTAATTCTGGAAAAAATACAAAGAAAAAACCTTTTCTGCCTGTCTAGACAGAGTCTTGTTAGTGTACGTCTGATCATATGGGTACTCATGCCGGTAATATTAATTGGTGGGAAATGAGCCAAGGAAAGACAACCCTATCTACCAATTAAATTTACTGAGCTTACAGGGTGGTTTATAAAGTCAACATGCTGGGCAAAGCTTACATCTGACCAGGGAAATTGTTGTTTTCTGATCCCCAGTTGGCCGTCAGCCACCTCAAACACGAGACAGATGTTGGCTTTACTAGGGTCAGGGTTATCACAGGGTGGGATGAATAGTCTTTGGCTCTGGGGTTTGCTACTTTTCCTTTGCTGATGAATAAGAGCAAATAAAATTATTTCTGAATGCCTTGGGGGTGGGGTGGGGGTTAGTGTTCTAAAGCTGGATAGGGCCACCGCATACCAACATCCCAGGGACAAACTTCCCATGTCTCAGACGTTCTTAGTTTAGTTTGTTTGATCTGAGGTCCACTGATTCCGTTATCTCAAAGGGCAAGGGTTAATGCCTTCTCATAAAGATAACAATGATAAACACAAACAAGGTATTCACTTTGATATATTGGTTTCTTATCCAGGGATCAAGGCAAAAATGTGGGAGAACTGAAAACACAGAGTTTGAAGTAGCATCAAAGTAATTTGCCAGTTTTTGAAGTAGGAAGTTTTTTATTAATGTTTTTTTTCCAGTGGAATTGAGGTATATAGTAGCGTGAACTAAATGAAGGCTGTGACATTGGGAGGTGTATTTTGTGTTTGCTGTGTCAAGTGTGTGTGGACTGCACATGGGATTCCTATCCACTTGTGTTTGTCCTTGGGATTGGTTTAGTTTCCACTAGGTGCTAAGGAAACTAGCCATGCACCGTCAGCTCCCCCAGGATGAGAGCCACACCCGAGAGAACCCTGTCTGTGGGAAGGTAGTTCTTGCGGGGTTGGGGGGCAGCAGGAGGGGTCCCAAGTGCTGGGACTTCGGGATCCATGTTGGGGACTGTCAAGAAATGTCATCTGACACTGGGCAGTGTGGGGAGAAGCAGGAGGCTGTGAATTAGTAAAACTTTGGATGCACTTCTGGGAGAGGAAAATACACATGCACCCTTTCACAAGGCTGAAAATACATAGCTACATCGGTATAATTTATTCTGGGAATTGCCTATTAAATTGTATTCCAGACACCAGGTTATATTTGGTGGTCTACTAGAAAATAGTATACTGCTTATCTATTTAAGGCTAAAAAATCTCCCAGATTGCCTTTTAAGCCTACAATTGCCTATGAAAATAAACAGATATCTCCCTCCTTGCTTGAACTGCCTTTCCCATCTGCTCATTCTGGAATGCTCTTATAAAAGTTATCTGCCTCTCTGACCACAATAATATTTCAGATTCTTTCCTTGGTCAATGGCGGCCCCTCTTGTCACCTCATCCACGTTGTGCTCCAGACTTTGCCTCTCTTTGGCTTCATTTGGGGCTTCTGGGGCCAGGACTCATTCCCCGCCCCGCCAACCCTCTCCTTGCACCCTGAGTGTGTGGTCACCCCTGGGCCAGGCCTCCTTTTCCCTGAAATCCCTCCTTCGTCTCCCTGGAGACATCCTCGATGTCCCTGTTGTCTGTCACGCTGTGCACCGATTCCCTTCTTTTGGGTGCCCCCTTTGCTCCCACACACCCAGTGCTCAATAAATTGAGGGCTCCCAACCCCTGACCTTTTCCAGCTGGAGCCTTTCCACCTGGCCTGCGCTGTGTAATTGTGCTTGCGTGCCCACCAGGCACTCTCTTATTATCTCCTCCATTTATCAGGCATGATGTTTTGGGATCATTTTTGCCTGTTTTTTTTTTTTTTTTTTTTTTTTTTTTTTTTTTTGCTTCTTCTCAGCCTACCTGAATATGACTTTGGCATTGCCATTGATGAAATGCAGTGTGTGCTGGATGTGAGGATCCAACTCAATGCAGGGCCATTCCCTCTTTGTGGACAAGGCCATGTTTTTGCAGTGAAGGGCTTGAGGACGTGGGTTATGCTCTGGTGAAGCTATCGGGGAAGTCATCAATTCAGGCCAAGCTCCGCCCTCCATGTGCTCCTTCAGGAAGTGATTAAAACACTAGAACTGACAGTAAAATGAGTCATTAGGTTCACAGAAAAGTTAGGCAGCAGCGATGTAGTTATGGAACCGCAGGTCATAGCTTTTTCTCATTTTTCTTTTATTTTGTGGCATCGTTGCTGTTTTGTGGAAAATTTTCTTTCTCGAAGTTGTCCAGCTGTGAGTCAGTTTCTTTGCCTGAGAACATTGTCTGCGGCAGCAGCAGAGCTATATTTTTCCTTCAGCCTCTATCACTTTTTTTATCCCCGCAAAGGAAAAAGTTAGCTACATTATCTGACTTGTGGATTTGATTTTGGGTTTGTAATTGGCTGATGAAAGCTCTCCTGACTGGCAGTGGGAGGGAAAATAGGAGAGGAGAAGAGGATTTCCATTGGGAAGCAGTGGTCCCTACTGCCCAGAGGGGCCGTAGGTAGTGGTTGCCCTCAGTTTTGCTGGGGCAGTAGTTGAGTTGAACATGCACAGTCCCTGGGTTTTCTCCCCCTGGACTGCCCTATCCTTTAAGAAGTAATGGACTGAGTGTTGACTCTGTGCTGAGTACTGTTATGTGCTTTATGTATTCTTTCTGTCCTTCCAACAACCCTGTGAGGTAAGAATGAGTGCCCCTATTTGAAAGCTTTCTTACGGAAAACTAAGGTTTAGAGAGGTGAAGTGGTTTGCTCAAGATCACACAGCAAATTAGCAGGAGACCTGCGTGACATACTCTAGTTCTGTCCAGCATCAAAGTCATAGTGCTCCCCTATTTATGCTACCTCTTTACCTTGCTAACCTGTACATAACTGAAGCTCAAGTTCTACTATATCCACCTACCTCTCTCTGATAATAACAACCCAGAGATATTAATAGTGTTCTCTATTTACTCACAGCACCCAATTAGTATTTAATGACATTATGTTTTATAATATTATAATTTAAATGACTATATGAATATAGTTTCTCACTTGACAGCCACTTGAAGACATGATCATGAATTAGGTGTATGTCTACTTACAGTGCTCCGTTTAAAGGAGGAGGGAGAATGACAATGGGCTTGAGATTTGACAAAGACAGAAATAGCGTTCGCTATAAAATAGAATGAGCCCAGAGCAAGCTGTCAAACTATAAATGGACAGAAAATGAAATGCAACAGGAGGTTGTGAAAGAAAGATAATTAACACAAGGTAGAAATATGTTTGTAAGAGGAAAGTAAAATTCTGAAAAATAAACAAGGATAAGTGGCTTATTTTTGCTGAGATGACAAGATGAGTATATTGAAAGTATTCAGCAACATATCTTGATTTTGTAGTAAAGTTTTGTTTCTTTATATGAAATCTGTCTAGCTTTAAATTTATTAGCTTTAAAATTATTCCTAGAAAAATCTATAGAAATGTATTGAAAAGAGGAGACTGTTCGCTATTATTTAGTTTACAACAAGCTTTAATTAAATTGATCTAGTAATTTGAATCAATTTTGGGTATATCTGGAATACATTTTGGTATATATGCAAAGCATATATATAACATAAGCATGATGACATATAATTTAACCTATTTAAAAGATTTATTTTAAAATCCTTTAAATAATTATTAGCATATATATTCACATATTATTATTCATTAATATAGTTCATGTTATAGTTGAAAATACTAAAGCATATTTTAAAATTATGTAATTAATATTGTTGAATACATTGGAATGATATTACTGCTAATTTGAATGAATGATAAAATCATCAAATCAAAAATTTTCTGAGTCCTGCTATGAACGAAATACTGTGGCAAATGAAAAGAAACATGATTTAGCTAGGGATGGTATTTAACAGTAATTACATTTAAGTAATAAGAAAAATTGCAAAAAAATTGCAGTTGATACGAACATTATCAACGTGATCAGAAGATGGAAAGAGCATTGCAGGTTGAATGGATACAATTCATTCAGGGGCTTTATGGAGAAGCACTTTGAACTGATTCATGAAAATCGTAAATGTGGGTCAGGTAGAGGTGATGGATACAGTATGGGGGCCACTTTGGCCGTCTGTCAGTAGAATATTTTAGCATGAATTAAGATTTCTGTAGGAGGGAGTGAGAAGTTAAATTGGGGCCATAATATGGAGAACTTTAAAAGTTAGGGTAATACATTTAAACAATGAAGAGTTATTGAATGTTGCAATGGTCATTCCTTACCAGATGGTTTATCTACCTCCACTCAAAGTACATCTATTGAACATCAGCTACTTGTAAGGCACTGTACTGAGTGTTATAAGAAAATAAAATTAACAATCACAACTTCTGCCCTCAAGTCATTTGCAGTCTACAGTAGATACATATAGTTTATATTGGAGAAAATATGTGTACATGAATGACTATTACATAAATCAGAATATAGGTAGAATTATGAGATGTAAGTGTAAATCAAATATTAAGACACAACAGGAGAAAAATAATTAATTCCAGCTGGGAGGATCAGCAATGAGCAGGCATTTAAGTTGGTCATTGAAAGATGGGGGCAACTTTGACAACACCTTCTCTCTATGAGGGGAACATGCTTTTTAAATAGGAAAACCAAGGACATAGGGGTAGGAAATTGCAGAACAAATTAAAGGCCCAGAAAGTAGTTTAACTTGGCTAGAACCCAAAGTATTTAAGGAGGACAAGTGGGAGGTATGGCCAGAAATGGAGAATGAGGCCTGGACTTGAAGGGGCTTTAACGCCAAGCTAAGAAGCTTGACTCTTTAAAAAAAAAAAACCTTCCCTGGCATTCTCATAAGCACCTCCAGGGATTCATGTCCTGGTAATTGATATACATATGGTGAATGATAAGAACTGTACTTTTGGGAACTAATAGGAAAGGACTGTGAGTGGGATGAATTGGGGAGATTACAGGCAGGAAGAACTTTGGGAGCCGTCATAACAGTGCAGGTGGGTCTATGAGGATTAGAATTAGTAAGTTCTTAATTAACCTCTCATCAGTCCGCACTTTCCATAGGGGCAATGAGAATATTAAATGGGAAACAGATTTCAAAAAGCTTTGCAGGGTATAAGAAGGTTCAAAGACTGAGTAGATGTGGGGATCAAGGTTAAGGAGAAATTAAGGATAATTTCATGATTTAAATCCTTAACTAAAAGATAATGTCCATTTAAAATTAAATAAAACATGAAGAAAGCAGAATAGAAGAGTTATTCTGGTTGCTTGGAAAATAGTGCATTTGGGTCCAAGATTTCAAAATGGCAGTCAAGCATGTTTATTTACTCATCCTTCATCTCTAATCCCGTTGAAGTCACAGTAAAGTAGTTAGGCTAGAAATTCATAACAACCAGGAGAAAGGGAGGCAGAGGTAATCAGCAGATGAGAGTTTTAACGCATTTCTGGATGATAGAACAGAGAGAAATGTGAGAAGAGAGAATGGAGGAGATAGGACTCATGAACATGTGGAAAGTGGAATGGAAGATCATCCAGAACTAAGTAGGCAGATGTGGGGTGCAGGACATGGAAGCCATGGATGAAGGTTGGTCTATGCAGTGCAAGGGGTGCGTCCTTCCCTACCTCTGTGTATGGAGCTGCCGGGAGGCCTGGAGTTGCCAGAGCTGCTGGGAGCAGTCTCTGGCTGGCAGCAAAGTGCCCCTTTGAAAAATCACTTTTTCAAGACCATCCTGGCTAACACAGTGAAACCCCGTCTCCACTAAAATTACAGAAAATTAGCCAGGTGTGGTGGCAGACGCCTGTAGTCCCAGCTACTCAGGAGCCTGAGGCAGGAGAATGGCGTGAACTCAGGAGGTGCAGCTTGCCGTGAGCCAAGATCACGCCACTGCACTCCAGCCTGGGCAACAGAGTGAGACTCCATCTCAAAAAAAAAAGAAAAAGGAAAAAGAAAAATCACTTTTGATATATTTAATGGTACGAAAGAGGTTAGCAAGCGGTGCTCTGAAGAAAACCTGGAGAAAACTGAGGTTTCTAGTGAACTACTGTTCTCATCCTGGCAGTCTGAATGCCCACTCAACATTTAAAATCCTCCCAGCCCATACTCTTGCTGATGACCACGTAATTTACGGTCATTCATCCCACTCAGGGAAGGGGCCTATCTGAAGCTAGTATAGAGGAAACTCCTACAAGATATCTAGAATAACATACCTAGACTTTCATTCTTAAATATGAATGGATATTCAAGATACCAAACACTAAAGAAAAAGCAGTAGTAAGAAAATAAAATGGTATCAAAGTTAGCAAAGAAGGAAAAAAAAAAAAACCCAAGACAAGCAAATATATGTTATATACATATAAATATAAACATATATGAAATGTATAAAGATACATATTGACCCGAGAGGAAATAGAGGTAAGTTAGGAAACAGAAGAAATCTTCAAAAAATTCTATTTTATTAGTATTGGTATTCATATTTGAGAAAGTATTACATCCATAAAACAAAAGCAGAATTTCATGAAAAAAGAAGTAAGCAAAACAAGAAATTACTTTTATAAATTATAAGTGATTGTTGAAAAATAAAACTCGAAGAACATCAAGTAAAAACAAAATCAGCAAAATATGAGATAAGATATTATAAATCTGAAAAACCCCAAATCAGATTAATAGGAATTCCAGAAATGGAAAGCAGAGAAAAGAGAGGTAGAGAAATTAACAAAATATTGGAAGAAAATTTCCCAGAGCTTAATTTAAGATTAGGAGAGCTCACTAAGTAATGTAAAGGACAGTCAGAAATACCCTCACAGCGATACATTCTTAAAGAAATTGCAGAACACTCAGGATGCAGATATGATCCTAGGGAAGTGTTTAAAAAGAAAAGTTTATCTAAAAGGCAAGGAGAATCAGACTGGTATTAGGCAGGCACACTGGGTGTTAGAATATAACAGAGTAATGCCTTCAAAGTTCTGAGGAAAAGTTATTTTGATATAAAAGTTCCATACTCAATCTATGAATCAAGTATTCGAGTAGAATCAAGATATTTTCAGACATGCAAGGGCTCAGAAAATTTACCTCCCAGCTGCACATTTTAAAGAAGATATTTCTCAATGATGGCCAGATGAGAGAGAGACCCAAGGAAGAAGTCACAGGTCCAAGCCACGTGTGAACATAGGAAAGCCAGGCTGAGCGCTGTGTGGAGGCCCCACAAGCCATTGGTCCATGTGTGAGGAGGAGGGCCTAGGACTGTAGGAGACATGTCCCTGGGAAAAAGTAGATTTTGTCATATGGTTGAGAGTACATTTCAGGATATGGTAGAAGTATATGTTTCTTCAATTTACAAGGGAAAAACAAGATAATTAAACACCTCCTCCCCTCTGTCCTCCAAACTGAACCAAATATAAAAAGTATAAGAAAGCCATGGTTCAAATAGGAAGCTAACAAAAATGTGACGCGATATAGAACAATTGAGGCCACATGATAGAAGAGAATCCCTTTGTCTGGGATGACAGGAGTGCTTCCTTGTGCTGCCCAGTGTGGTGACATGACACTATCGAGAAGGACAGGTAAACCAGTACATTTCTTGGCTTTGCAGTAAATAACATTTAAATAGTCATAAAGGCATGAATGGTGTTTATTGGTTTTTGAATTTTTAGAATTGATTTATGCACCAAACATTAAAGATAATTATGGTTATAGTACAGAAGATAAATTATAAAATTAGAGGTTTAGATAATGGAATTTAGAAGAGAACAGGGGGCAGGAAAAGTGGAGGAAAGGGCAGGTGTGCTAATATCTTCATCACTGAACACACTGAGAAGTCACTAGATCATGTCAAAAGTTGACAGAATAAGACATAGAGGTTTTTAAAATATTTAAATTTCATATGTGACAAATAAGGAAATTGATAATAACTACAACACGTAGGGAGAATGGGTGAGTGATGGATTGAGTGAGCTAAATGCTCATCTTTTATAAGCTTATCTTTGATAGTTAAAGACGTAAACAACAGCAAAAGTAAAATCAGAATTGTTAGAAGTGCTTACGTCTAGGGATCAGGTGGTGTGGGCCATTTATTTTATTTAATAGAGTAATTTAGTAAAATTGAACAACTAAAAACCAAAAGAAAGACAATACCAGTTTGATGCAATGGTAGATAGGTCGGAAAAGTTTCTTATAAGAAAAATAGAGAGATTTATAAGACTGAAATCTGCCTGTTTACTAGGCTATGACTGATGATATAGACAGCAGGCAAAAATCTCTCGTAGGTGAATTCCAGTGGTAAAGTTTGAGGATCAGAAAACGGAGTTAGAGTACCGATAAAAGCTAAACTTCAAGGTAAAGCCATTTTGGGGTAGTTAGTTGCTTTAGGAAGTGCTGCATTGTGTAGTAGTTTCTTAAGGATGTGGTGGCTCCCAGTTCAAGGACTTTGAAAAAATTTTCTTTTTCTGATTATAAAAGCAATAGATGTTCTTGTAGAAAATTGGAGAATTACAGAAAGTATAAAGAGGATTCAGCCTAATGAGTGTGTGGCACCCTACCACCCCCAGCCTTTTTTTTCTCTTCCTTGAAGCACCAAATGAAATAAACTCCCACCTCCATTACCACCCCCAGGTAAAAATTACCCCGCAGTAGGGCAAAAATCAGTAGTTAGGATAAGTGAAGTAGTTTAGCCTACTCATGGTATTCCCGAGCCACCATCCAAACTTTCTAGACTTGGAACACACCTCCTCCTACTGCCCTGTTACTACTTCAGCTGTCACCAGAGAAATTCGCTAACATAGACTCAGGTGTTGCTACCTCGCAGAGGTGATGCAGCGAATTAAACGCTTCTCAAAATTTAGTGTGTATAAGAATCATCTGTGGAGCTGCTCAAATAGTGCTGATTTCTGTAGCTTCCATTGGCCAGAGGTGGGGCTGAGAAATCTGAATTTCTAAGCACTTGCTACTCAAGTGTAGTCCGTGGATCAGCAACGCTGGCATTACCTGGGAGCTCGTTGAAAATACAGCACCTTGGGCTCACCCTAGACCTACGGAATCAGAATATGTATTTTAACAAGATCACCAGGGGATTCGAAAAGCACTGGGGTAGGTGATCTTATCATTGTTCTAGGTATCATTTTTTTGGTCAAACACCATCTAGCTGGTCTTAATTAAAGCACTCCACTCAGAGTCAGTAGCAGTGATTTCTCACCACCATCTCTTCTCCCTTCTTCTTTTCCTCTTTGGGGAGCTTTAATCTTTTCACTGACATCCAGGAAGACGGTAACCATAACATTTTCAGGTTTAACTTAAGTCAGTATCAAAGGAAGGAGGCCCTGAAGACACCTGTGGACTTCGTAGGATGACGGGTCAGCTGGAATGGGGGCGGGGGGCACATTCACACAGGAGCAGCTCACAGGGACCCGAGGGTCCTTTTTCAGCTGGGTCCTCCTTAGATCACTACTGGGGAATATATTAGATATTGGTCAAAGGCGGTTATATGAATGTTTAGCAAGATCTGTGGCATTTTGTGGTGTTTTTGTGCATGCAGTGAGTTAGTTGATGAGGTAAATTAGCACTTGTTCTTAGCTCCCAGCCCCAAGAGAAAGGAATCTGTGAGGAGAAAGAATTCAAGTCCACAGCTGAGGGGATTTTGGTAGCTGATGCACACTTAAACATCCGGGGTATGACTTCTAGGACACTGATTATTATGGGAAAGATTCATGCAGGCCAGAAAATGTTTCAGTGGGACTAACATTTTTGAAACTATAAAATAGAACCCTTTCAAACCCTTTGATCTAGTTTGTTTTTTAAAGAGAAAATTTGGAGTTATGTTTTCTTTACATATTTTGCTTCCTTTGAAATTTGATTGAAAACAGTCTGGGTATGTGTATGTCAAAGTTGTATTTTATTCATTGTTGGTTTGTCTCTTGCCCCTGGGCAGAAGTATGCGGGATTCGTCCTGCCCAACAATAGGAGATGCATTTTCTACTCAAAGCATTCTTCCTAGGCATGGACTGTAGACGTTATTGTAGCATGTGATGATTCAGTTGCTTAGCACACAGTTCATTCCCTGGCTGCTCTGGAGATGGGGACAGCGTGCTTGTATTGGGTTTGAGCCAAGTCTGAGCCACGTCCGTCTGCTCGGGGCTGGCCGGCTGTGCTGTAACTCTGGTCAGCACTGGTTGTTACTCTCCTAGTCATCTTTTTATCTTCCTGGGTAATCTCGGGCTTAATTTGGTTCCTGCCTTTAATACTCCCATCTGGCTTCTTTCTTTCTTTTCTTTTTTTTTAAAACATCTGTCTGAAGCTTATATAGTCATCCTCATGAGCACTTGGTTATTTAGAGTAATAATTCTCTTCTGTGTGGACCTGGGATCCATGTTAACTCCTTATATAGAACACAGAATAAGTTAGCTGCAAGTTTCATGTAACTCTTTAGACGCCTTGAGAACGTTCAGGTCATTTTCTTCTTTGGTCTCTCTGGTTGGTTGGTACCTATTCAACAAGCTACTTTGGGGAGCAAAGAGTTTGTGCCCCCTCCTGCAAATATTAACCATCTCTGAAGATGATATAGTCTTTGGAAGAAGATATAGTTGTGTAGGCACTCTAATCAAACTGATACAGATAGAAGTAAGATGTATGTAAGTTCAATGTTAGATTACTTCTCTGGAGGCATTTGTCTTTTTATAGTCTATGCCTTTGTTATTAAGTATCATCTCTTGGTTTTTCATAATTTGTCTTGATACTTTTATTGAGGGATTAATTTAAGTGATCATTGTAGGTAACAGAGTTTGTCTTTCATTTACTTGGTGTTAACATCAGTGGCTAAATTGATCAACCTCAGGGCTTGCTTTAAAGCAGAATGATAAGTAAAAGAGGCATGTGGAACTTTCTGAAGTGGAGAATGTGCCCGATATGTTGACTGCATGGATGGTTACAGGATAACTATATATATGTGTCAAAACCCATAAAATTGTACACTTAAAATTGGTGAATTTTGATGTACATAAATAATATCTCAATAAAGCCGATTAAAAAGAAACATAATGCTAAGTAAAAATTACCCAAATCTGAGATTTTCCTACAACATTTTGGTTTGTTGTCCTCCAAACCACCCAAAGTTACATTCTTCCCTTTGCTCCTTAGATATTATAGTCATGATATCATCATCCACTAATGGTCACAGGTGATAGGGTTTCAGAGGCTGGACAGATTCACTGGATTTGTGCTTATTTGTCTTGGAGAGATTAGATAAACTAGCATAAGGTGGATCCTTGTAAACTGTTACTCTTACTAGCTAATAGGAATGGTCAGAGGAGCAAACCATTCGTTGATGATTACATATCTGCATGTATTAATACAACAATTCTCAAATGCCTACTGTGTGCCAGGCTAAACACCAATAAGTGTGCCTAATTTGCATTTCTCTGGCCCTACTTCATTAATCTATGGCCTAGGCTTGTTTTCCTGAATCAAACTAGTTTGGTTTTGCACTTCTCATTTGTCTTCCTTGAGTTAAAACAAACAAACAACAGACAAACCCCAAAACTTAATTGCTTCTCCTGTTTTAAAAAAGTGGTTGTGCATTGCTTTATTTGTATCACTTTGCATATCTGTTATCTCCCAAATGAGATGGTAAGGTCTCCGAGGGCAGGTGCCGGGTGTCCCCCATACACCAGAAAACAACGCCTTGTGTAGAGTAGGTTTTTAATTCATGTTCTACCCTAGCACTTGCATGCCTCTATTATTGCATTTACCACACTTTACTAAATATATCTTTGTGTTTGAGACCTCGTGAAATTATACACTCCTAAGTGGCTTGACTGACTGTGTGTTTTTATTCATTATTTTCTCAGCATACAGTACTGCACTTTGTAAGACATTTAAAAACCTTACTGACAAAGCAGGTTTATTAATGTAAGGGATGCTGAAAGACCCAACTAACCAAAATATTTACCCTTTTGTTCTTTAAATGTACTTGAAATCCCAGACTTCTTACTTTTGTTTTGTTACTGTACTGTGACCTATTTGGGACCGTATGTTATCTGAGTGGAATGATACACTAGCAAGCTAACACAGCCAGATTTAGTTTTTGGTTCAGTGTTTTTCAAATTTTTTGGATGGTAACCCATTTTAAGAAAATCATTTAACCTGGAACCAGGAATATAAAGATATATTACATATATGCAGATATATGTATATACAGAAGCCGTACTTACCCCCTTAGATTTACTTATTGTAGTGATATACTGTGATATTTTCTTCTCTAATCTGTTTTATTCAATTTCTATTTTCAAAAATACAGGTTGTCAAAACTCACCTCATTGATTTCATGACTCACTAATGCAGTTTGAAAAACACTGGCTCTGTTTATTGCTTAATCCATTATGATGATCACACATCTATCTATGCTACGTATGGAGAGGAAAAAAAAGAATTCTGAAATGTAGTTCTGGATGTTCAGTGTTGCTAGAGGAGTGATGGTTAGTAGAGGAAAGACCTGTGGGCCCCTGGATTAGATGAAAGAGGGGCATTCAAGGACAAAGGGATGTGAGAAGAAGGGGCAGCAAAGACAATTTCTCTTATTTCTCATTGGGCTGCTAGTCCAATGTACAACTATCTTTCCAAATGGACTGTGAACATTTCTAGGGCACTAACTACACATTATTCATATCTTCATTGACAAACAAGGGTCCTGGGCTTAATAAATGTTTGCCAAGTTGAAGATAAAATAAAGAGCTCATAATGATCAAGCACCTACGATGTGCCACATAGGCATGTGTGGTAGATGCTGTTGGTTTCTTGCTTGGCTTCCTTTACCTGCTTTAAAGATTGATTGTTAATACAGCTACCCTTTTCTCTATAAAATTACCATCTGGCTCCTCTGGTCTCTTTCTTCCCCTAAATCTCTAACCAGTGACCAATGGCCAACTGACTACAGAATACAAAAGTCCAGGCCCCTGCCTTAAGATGGGACCAATCTGCAATATAATCTGTGTTCCAGAACTCTCCATGGGGTCAGGCTGAAGCTAGTCTCCAGCCGAGACCACATCTTGCTTAGCTTTCTTCCCTTGCCCATTCTACTTCTCTTACTCCCTCAAAAAATCACATTAACGAGAATCCCCACCTCAAGCTTTGCTTTTAGGGAATCCATCCTAAGACAATATGGTTCCAAGCAACTTACAGTATTGTCTATTTAGTCCTTAGAGCAAGCAACTCTTGGAGAGAGCCATTTATAAATGAGAAAACTCAGGCACACTGTGGTGAACTGAGATCCACAGTGAGGCAGTCTGAGAGCTTCTTGGCAAAGCTCTTAACCATTACATGAACTGCACCCAGCATCAAGTTTGTGTCTGGCTACCAGGACACATGATGATTCTCTTGATGGGTCAATGGGCACTTGGGTAGAGGTGGTTGGTTCCCTAGCGCTGCATATCGAGCTGTTTACTAGTACTATTGAATGTATGTATAAGAGTGTTTAAAATTTTGAAAAGTATAACATAGAAATATTTATTAGTTCAATCCAAATTTTGTGGGTAGATGAAGGAAATCTCATCTTCTATCCTATCAATTTCAGTAACAGAGAACTAATTTTAAACATAAAACTAACGTGATAGATGATACTGGTGTATGCTCACTTTTTCATTGAACTTGACTAATCCACAGGCATTTGATTGAAAACCTGCCGGTGCTAGTGGTTGGAATCCAATTTGCAGTAAGTCACTTATTCACTGCTAAGGTTAACAGTTTCTAAGCTACAGAGAGATGAGGAAAACATTCGCAGTAAATTACCATTCTCTTTTTGAAAAACATGATTCTGGCTTTTTTTGTTTCATGTATTAGCTGTGTGGTTGCTGCTACCTGCTATTCTGTAACTAGATTATCAATCACTGTGGCCAACACCAAATAAATATACTGATCACAGTTTAGACACTTTTAGAGTTTTCTTTTTAACATTGAAATTTGGAATATTGAGCACTTGGTTGTTTACTGCCTACAGTTAATTAGAGGAGTAGTGGTTAAGCAGTTTTTGTATCAGACCATGTTTCCATTTTCTGGTTGTGTGGTGCAGGGTATGTTATTCAACATATCTAAGCTCAATTAGGTAATCTTTAAAATGAGATAATATTTTCTGTTTAATAAGATCGTGATAATAGTTCAGTAAGATAATAGATGTAAGGTGCTTAACATAGTACCTAATATGTAGAAGGCACTCATTAAAAGCTAGATCTTCTTCTTCTTGTTATTGATATTTGTTGTATTTTAGCCACCATCATCCATTTTTTTTCTTTTGGTAACACTACCCTCATTTCCTTTTGGGGACTGACCTTTCTTCTGTTGTGGGGAGTCTTGGTGGGATTATCATTAAAGGTGGTTTGACCTTTCTTAGCTGATATATGCTGTAAGAGAGGCTGTTAGAGTCTCTTTTCTGGGACTCTGCTGCCTGAGAGGGTAGATACAAGGAAGGAAGCTAAACAAACATAAGATGGCTGGAGCACATTCATCCATATGGCAGATCTGATGAGCTGCGAGAACTCAAGAGTGGCTCTGTCTCTACTCTTGCTGAGCCTGCTTTTTCAGGCCTTTGGTTCTCTAAGCCACATGTATCTTTGCAATGAATTGCCATTTATTCAAATTACTTGGAGTAGGGCTCTGTTTCTTGCAACCAAAGAATGCAAAATGAAATAAATATTAACTATATGGATATGATTAAGGCCAATTTTTCAAGGCAAGAAAATTGTGCTGTGAGTCTGAAATACATTATTTCTTGGACCTATGATACCATTAAACTTATGACAGTATCAATGAGCAGCAAATAGGACTTGCATTGTGGTAAGATTCCCACTCTTGTTCACTGATGTACCCTGAGTACAGGACCTGGTGCTCAGTGAACATTCACTAAGTGAATGGAGGAATATTCTTAGCCTGCCTTCTTAGGTTACATCATTCTTGCAGTTCAAATGATGTTCTGATTCTTTTGTAGTGGGTGGAACTTTATTATGTAGAGCTTCTTTTGAGGATGGAGTTCAATAGTTCTTTAAATGTATTGCTTCACGAATCCTCATAATGATTCCAAGAGATAGGTGTTTTAAATTTCCATTTTAGATTAGTTAACTGATGCTCAGATAATTTAAGAAAATTGCCTAAGGCCACACACTTTGTAAGAGGCAGAGCCAGAGTTTGAACACTGCTGTGCCCAATATCAAGACTTTATGTGGTTTTCAGTACCTCTGAATTATCCTCTTTATTTCATACCCTTTTGCTTCCTATTCTTTTCTTTCACAAACTTGTCTGGCATCCTATTTTTGTGCACTTCTTTGGGATAAGTACAAAGAATGATGTTATGACTATCAAGTATACAACTGACATCTAAACAAGTATCTTAAAACTTGTACAGCCAAATGAGTATTGTCCCTCTTGAAGCGGTCATCTTGGGAAGTTGTGCTCTCTAATGCTTGATATATTGTTTACAGGCCTGCCTCCCATTCTCTCGAATGCTCTTAATGTGGCAACTCATTGTTTTTTGGGGTGAGATTTGATCTTGAAAACAGCCAAAGGCATTTGGAGGGCAATCTAGTGAAGTCATGCTGGAACGGACCATTTTAAATGAAAAACGAGGTATGAGCATAAGTGTTGAGAGTGGGCCAGTGCGTGGCTTTTGAATTGTTTTGAAGGCTGTTCTCCACTGGGGATCCCTAAAGTCTTTCCTGTCATCTAACAAATGTGATGCCCTGTGCTAAGCCCTGAATATACAGAGACAAGCAAGACGGGTATGAGCTTGGTCCTCCTGGGGATCCCAGTGTAGCACCGAACACGGATATAACAACAAATGATGGGTTTTCATTACATTTGTGACACATACACTAAAGAAAAGCCCAGGCTGTGATGAGAACCCATCCCAGAGGAGTCACGGAAAACTTCTGAGTAATTGCCATTTAAGCCAAGGAGGGCAGGGCAGTGTTTCTTAACCTCCACAAGACTGACTTTTGAACCAGATAATTCTTTGTTGTGGAGGGATTCTCCTGTGCATTATGTGATGTTTAGCAGCATCCTTGGTCTCTGCCAACTAGAGGCCAGTCAGTAGCAACTCCCTCCAGCTGTGACACCCTTTACAAATCTCCAGACATCATTAAATGTCCCCCAGTGGACAAAATCACCCAGAAAAAGAACCACTGGTGGAGGTGAGAAAGGAGTGAGAATATTCCATGCAGAGTGAATAGCATGTGCAAGGCCTCAAGATGGGAAGGAAGAAGACAGGCATTTTTGTGGAACTGAAGGAATGCTAGTGAATTACTGGTGAGACAGCTGTGATGTTGGGATGGTTTGTAGCCTCCTTGTAATGAAGACAGTTGTCCCTGGCCTATTTTAAAAATAGTTCAATCTCCTACTCTTATGCTGCATACTTAGTCTCTGCCCTTATCTTTCTGTTCCTTTTCTTTTCTTCCTTACTTCCGTATTCTTTCTTCCTTCGGGTTTTCTAGAGTCTACCAGACAACTTAGGTGACAAGAAGTATGCCGGGTCATGCTGAATCCATTCATTGAGTATTCAGGCAAATATTTTAGTAGCAGCCTTTTCCTCAATTGGTTTGTGATCTTATAATAAACTGAGCCCACTTTGAGTTAATTAAAATGAAAATAAAAGCATACTGATAAGCTGGGAAAAATCCCTGTAGGGAGAGGGAGGCATCTAAACCAGAGGTTATAACAAAAAGGAGGGGGCTGCCCTGTGCGTGTCAGGATGTTCGGCATCACTGGTGTCCACCCACTAGATGCCAGTGGAACCAGGGTATTTACATATTTTAACACAATAAAACAACTTGTTGATGTTGTTGAATGAGGAAAACAGCTATCTCCCCTTAACTTTCTGGCTGTAGTAAAGGAAACAGGCAGCACAGGCACTGTGGGAAGCATGTAAATTACATGTGGGAGTCGATACTAATCCCTAAGCCCTAGGAGGGACCAGGGTGGCCAGAGCTGTCAGGTGGTTGCCTTTGTTCGCAGTCTTGTCAGCTTATCCCAGGGTGCAGTATAAGTATAATCATTATCTCTATTGTCCATACTGTGAAAACATTAGAAAGCAATGCTAGGTAAGCAAACTTGCTAGAACATTATATAAAATAGTATATATTGGTCTTAAATGAATAGTCTTGGGCTCTTTCATTTCTAAAAGGTTTTGTGTTACAAGGCCACAATTTAGCAGCTCTTCTCAGATACAGTTATTCATATTTTAAGTATTTTATTCTAATATCATTCACATGGATGACAATTTAGTTGTCTGCTGTTGTTGCCAGAGCACTGCTTCTGGCATACTACCTTTGATGTGACCCATTGCTATTTGTTTATTAGAAACCACTTTGATACTCAGATGAATGGAATATTTCCTTTCATTGGAAAAATAATCAACTTTAACTTGCTTTTTCTTAAAGGGATGGGTTTTGAACCTCTGCCAGTTATTTTTGGTTGCTGTAATAAGTCTCAAAGACCATGAACCTCTCTGTTTAAAGACTGTTTAAAGTCTTCACCAAGACTTTAAGCTTCAAGAGGAAGCAGCCACTTTTCTTTTGTTCATGTAGCATCTCCATCGTCCAACAGACATACAATAGGCTCCCTGTAAAAAATGGGTTGAATTATAATGGTGCTTTGTCTGTTTGTGTTGGCGTAAAAAATACCTGAGGCTGGGCAATTTATAAAGAAAAGAGGTTTATTTTACTCATGGTTCTGCAGGCTGTACAAGAAGCATGGCACCAACATCTGTTTCTGATGAGGGCCTCAGGAAGCTTCCACTCATGGTGGAAGGCAAAGGGGAACCAACATGTGCAGAAGTCACATGATGAGAGTGGAGGCAAGAGACAGGGAAGGTGCTAGACTCGTTATAACAACCAGTCCTTGAGGAAACTCTTGTGAATACTAATAGAGTGAGAACTCACTTGGTGCCCCCAATCCCAAGGAGGGCATTAATTTCTTCATGAGGAATCCATCCTAAAGACCCAAACACCTCTCATCAGGCCCTGCCTCCAACATTGGGGATCAACATCCAAACCATAGCAAATAGTCATTAATTTAGGAAAGTGGAAGAACCTAAGTAAAGAGGACTCTAAAAAGGATAAACAGGGAGGTGAGAGGAATTACATTCTTTTACTGGATATAGGATATTGTCTTGGGCGATTTTTACTACCCCCTGAAAAGTTTGGCTGACTTCAGCTCATGTTTGGCTGACTCCAGCTTAGATGTGATAAGAATTTGGTTATAGTTTATGAAGACTAAATATACATTTGCTATTTTTAAATTGCTTATTTGTACTGAATAAGTGCCCTACCACATTGTGTGAATATGAAGTTCACAGGCTGGTATTCCATATCAGTCTATTCATACTTGGTTGGCTATGCATGTAAAACGATTAAGGGGGGGTGAGTCACCTCACAGTAAGAGAAGAAAACCTTCTTTACTGCTGTCAGCCTGAATTGTTAAGAATGACCTTCTAAAGGTGGAAATTGCCCTCTGTGGTATCAGGCAGGGTTGGCGGTGGGGACTGGCAGCCCCTTCCTCTTCTGCTCAACTTGAGTTTAATTTCTTAGCCAGTTTGTTTCTCTTCATGTTTCACTGCTTTCCCACCCTCCATCTCAAAACATGTTCGAGACAACAGATAATTTTGGAGTGGCTTTTATATTTAAGGGCAGGCCAATACTAAGAACATATTAATTTAAACAGTAGCAAATCAGCATTTTGTGAACATAAAAGGATTACGTAGGAAGTTCTGGCCATGCAGTCCAAAGCTTTCCCACAGGAAGGAATGTATGTTGTGTTGAGGAGAATGTCTCTCTGAAATACATAAGCACAAGTCACTGGTGGTTAGTGAATCACTCCCAGTCACATTCATGAACAAAACCCTCTAGGTTGGGCAAAATCGGGCAGGATTTCAATTTAATTCCACAAACACTTGTTGAGCAAGACCTGGGTTTCTGTTTGCTCTGCCCCATATATATGAATTGTTCTCCATTCTGTGTTGAGGTAATGTGAGGAGTAGAGAAATTGCTTTAGACAAACATTACTGTTTGGAAATACTCGACCTAAGTGGATTCAGTTACTTTCTGAGAGTTCAGCGAGGTTGGAATGAAGATTGTAATTTGAGTTGTATATAAAACAGAGAAAGAAAAACATTTTGCCAACTCTTGCATTCATATATATTTTCCATCCCTGACATGATTATGTTTTTATATTTCCCCAATTAGATTTTAAACCATTTGTAGGGAGGAAACTGGGTTTCTTTTAACAAGGTCTCCCAGGCACGTACCGCAGGGTTAAGTACCTTACAGACTCTCGGTAAATACTGACTGCCTGAGGGGAAGTGAATATTCCCAAGGGTGTTTCCTTAGGGCTTGGTATTTTCCGTGAGAAGCAGACCTCGTGTGGAAGCGTTGTTCCTTTAAGTTGGGATGGTTTCCTGAAAGGTTTCAGCACAATGACACTGATTAGCTGCCAGACTAATTGCTCACCACCACCAACCTTGTTTCGTAAGCAAACTGGGCCCGAGGGTAAAATAACATGCACACTGAGCCAAACTTTCCAACATGTGCTCCTAACCCTTCCCCCTTGAATTCAGAAAGTGACCTTTTGGTGAACAAATGTTCTTTCACCTTCACTGTTTAGAAGTTGTTAACACCGGGCCAGCGACGTGATTGATGCACGTGCTTTCCCCTCCTCTGGAGTAGGTTCCACTGTTTCCCCCTCGGAGCTGTGAACTTTTATATTGTTTTCCTTTGATAAGGTGGCTGGGTTGCCCATAAATTTGAATGTATGTTTTAATGACCTGGTGGTTGCTGAAAGAGTGTTATTCTGCTTTGTAGGCTTCTGGCTTTTCTTCTTCAAGGCACACTTCTGGCTAAACGTTTTCTGAACATGGCCTTCTCTTAGTAATCTGTTTGAAAAGTCTGTGATTTCCCACCCTCCCCCCGCACCTCCACAAGCCCACCTGGGTCTCTTGTTTGCAGTTTAATTAGTTTAATTCTCAGGCAAATGAGAAATCTTTTTTGAATCTAAGGATGCCAGATCTTTAAAGTCAGTTCTTTCAGCAAGCTTCAGTTTTCCAAGTAGAAGAAACATCAGAAAGGATGGAAAGATCAGTGCTGATAATTCTTAGTTATTTTTAATTTTGGGGGGTGGGGGCGAGTGTGGAGAGTAAGGGTAAATCCTTCCTCAAAGCCCAACATTGCAGATACCAACAAAAGGGGAGATGGAGGCAGTAGGGAAGAGTGATTAAAGGTACCAACTAGGAGGTTAAGTGTGTGACTTTGGGCAAATTACTTATCCTGTCTGTGTCTCAATTCCCTTTCCTATAAAGTGGAAATTATACTAATAGTACCTACCTCACAGGGTTGTTATGAAGAGTAAATGAGTTAATATATACAAAGTGTGTAGGCCAGAGTGCCCGGTGCATTGAAGGTGCTACGTGAATGTTAGCTAGTATAGATTCTCCAACAATTCTGGAATCCCAACAGTTTTGACATCAAACAATGGTTATTTTTCAGTTTTTTAAAGTAATTTATTTGATGGCAGAACTAACCTGAACTGTTGAGAATATTTTTGTCTTGATTTCATTTAATGTGAATATAAGTTTTGCTATGGAAATATTAATGTGTTTGATGTGGGGCCTGCCCCAGTCTACCAGGTGGGTTATAGATATACGGTATATGCACCATATTACATTTACAACATCAGAAACATGCTGAATTCTGAAACATATCTGACAGCACAGGTTCAGATAAAACACTGGATGTATGCCGAGATAGAAAAATATATTGGCAAAAATACTTCCTATTTATTACCTATCCTGCTTCTTCTTGGTTATACCCCTTGGTGTTTTTCTCATAGGACTGAAAAAAAAAAATAGAAATTTCACAGGCTGTTATTTTATTTGTGAATATTTATTGAACCCATACCATGTGCTAAGCAGTCAAGGTCCTCTGCTGTCAGGGAGCTGATTGGCCAGTGTTAGCTATATATTATTAAGGGCCTACAATGTAAAAGGCCTTAATCTAGATACATTATTCACATAATCTCTAGTTCTAACAATAATCAGTTCTACAAATAAAGGAAAAATGCTCTGAGGCATTAAATAACCTGCTCAAAGCTAGTCACCTATTCAAAGCAGGTAAATGGTTGAGCTGGGACTTAAATTCCAGTCTGGGTGGCTCCATGGCCTGTGCTCTTTCCACTTTACCACATTTGCTCTTGCTAAGAGCACTCAGATCTAATGGCTCTTAAAGAGAGTCTTGTAGACTTTAATCTCTTTCTGACATGCCACGTTATGTGAGGCCTGACAAACAAGAAAAGCTCACTGGTGCACTTGACCTCCCTGGAAAGGTTGTGTCACCGTGTGCAGGGGACACGTCAGCAGTCAGTGGACAAGTCAGGCAAGTCACAGATGAACATTATGGAATGGGGCATACATGAAATACTGGAAACTAGTTTGTGTAACAACCATTTGTAATTCTTATGGAAGTAAAATTTATATACCATTGAAATCACAGATCTTAACTGTCCAATTCAATGAATTTTGGTAAGAATTCCACACCTGCATATCCACCACCCCAGAAAGTTTCCTTGACTTCTTCCAGTCAAACCTCACCCCTTAGGAACCACTGTTCAGATTTCTTTTCTGCGTAGTTTAGCTTTGGCAGTTCTTGAGCTCCATATAAATGGAATCAAACAGAATGCACTGTTCTATAAATGGCTTCTTTTGAACTGTCTACTATTTTTAAGACACATCCAAATTGTTCATGCATCAGTAGCTCATTCTTTAATATTCTGTGTAGTATTGCACTGTCTGAATAGACCACAATTTCCATTTTCCCGTTGTTGGATATTTGAGTTGCTTCCAGTTTGGAGCTATTTAATAAAACTGCTATAAACATTATTGTACAAGTCTTTTATGGATGAAAATTTTAATCTCTCCTGGGTACATACCTAGGATTGTAATTGATGTATATGAATTATAATAATATATAATTTTCATAAGGCAGATGTATATTTAGTTTGACAAGAAACTGCCAGTTTTTTTTAAAGAGCTTGTTTACATTTAATACCATCAATATCTGAGAGTACCAGTTGCTCCACATCCTTGGCAATTAGGTATCAGTCTTTTAAATTTTAGCTATTCTAGTGGGTGTGAAATGATAAATCATTGCAGTTTTTGTTTGTATTTACCTGATAATTAATGATGTTAATTAACTATATTTTTATGTGCCTATTGGCCATTTGTATATTTTCTTTTGGGAAATGATTCTTCAAGACATTAGTTCACTTTTTGCTGGTTGCATTTTCATTGATTTCAGGAGTTCTTTATATATTGAGATAATAGGTCTTTCTCAGATATATCCATGTATGGCAAATATTTTTTTCCCTGTTCTGTAGAAAACTTCCAAGTTGGATTTTTAAATCTCTAATTTCCTAGGTGAGATGACCTTGGGTTTTGGTTCCTGTCTCATGCTGATTGTATTATTTGTTAGGATGGTTTCCTCTTTCTAACAAGTTTATTTGCAATTTACAACAGGAGGAACATTTGCAAAAAGAAGCCCATGTTGCTTGTGGCCCCCAAATTATTCCCTTTCTAGACACTCCTCTGAAGTTATAATGAAAATATGTGATTCCTTCTTCAAAACTGCTTTGTACCCTGTTTAGGATCATACTTATTTAATTATGTAAAATAAAAATTACTGGACAAATTAAAAACACAATAGCTAAAAACTTTTATTTTTCCAAAAAAAGAGACTTTTAGAAGGGTGTGGTAATTGTTTAGAAGTTTTCTTAATTATAAAAGTAAAACACATTTCATGTAATGTAAGTTGGCAGTTTTTTTTTAGAAAAGGAAAACTGAGTGCTGAAAGTTAAAATTAAAGTTAAAAAGTTATTAAAAAGCAAATAAACCACTCATAGATTTCTGACTTTCAGGATTAATCTGTACTGCACTTTTGTTCGACAAAGTATGCTCTATTTTTTTCTGAAGGTAAATGTATTAACAATTCAGGAGATATCACTGGAATTGGCTCCTGCTCACATAATTAAGCCAGATCCTTCAAAAGGCTGAGAGGGAGAATTGGGCTCATTAATTTCTAACATCAAATCTACTTCATATATGTTCCTGTTCGAACTCTCACCTAATTTAAGAGGATCAAATCACAATCTAAGGTCACAATTAGGGGAAGGAAGCATGAGTTTCAGCCAAATTTTATCCTCTTGGGTTCATACTAACTGCAGCGATGAAGCATTTTTCCCATTTGGAGAGTGGCGAAGTTGGGCTATTATTCAAAGAATTCTCTCCTATCCTCTGGATCCAATCCCTTCAGAAAGAGGTCACATCTCCAACCCAGGTTTCCTAGCTTCTTTGGCACATTGCTGTTCGTCTTAGTGACTTTTTCTTAATTCACAGGCCATTGCTTCTGTTATGGGGTAAACTGTGTCCCCTCAAAATGCATATGCTGAATGTGACTGTGTTTGGAGATACAGTCTTTTAAGGGGCTATTAATGTTAAAATGAGGTCATTAGGGTAAGCCCTAATCCAATGTGACTGATGTCCTTATAAGAAGAGAATATCTGGACACAGGTAGATGAACAGAGGGAAGACCTTGTGAAGACACAGAACGAAGATGGCCACCTGCAAGCCAAGGAGAGAGGCCTCAGAAGCAACCAATCCTGTCACCTTTGATCTTAGATTTCTAGCCTCCGGGTCTGTGAGAAAAATGCAATTCTGTTGTTTAAGCCACCAGTCTGCGGTACTTGACTGTGGCAGCCCTATAGCAAACTCATATAGCCTCTAATGGACCATCACTCCAATGCTGTGAATATTAAGTTCTACTAGGTTCAGGCAGACCCTGAGCTAAATGGCAGCCTATGTATTACTCAAAACCTCAGAACATTTACACCAATCACTTCTTTTAAAAAAATTCTAGTCGATATTTTAAAAAAAATACTTATTTGATGGTTTCGAAATATTACATTAAGTTTGGCTGGGCGTGGTGGCCCACACCTGTAATCCCACCACTTTAGGAGGCCAAGGTGGGCGGATCACTTGAGGTAAGGAGCTGGAGACCAGCCTGGCCAACATAGCGAACATCCATCGCTATTAAAAATACAAAAATTAACCAGACATGATGGCTGGCAACTGTAATCCCAGCTCCTAGGGAGGCAGAGGCAGGAGAATCATCTGAGCCAGAGAGGCAGAGGTTGCAGTGAGCCGAGGTTGTGCCACTGCACTCCAGCCTGGGCAACAGAGTGAGACTCAGTCTCAAAACAAAAACAAAAACAAAAACAAAAACAAAAATACAAACCAAAATATTATAGAAGTTTGGATTAATATATATCTCCTGAATTCTACCTGATTTTATATAAAATGTAAAATATCACATTTATTTTAGAACTTAAAAAAAATCTTTTTTTGAGACAGGGTCTTGCTCTGTCACCCAGGCTGGAGTGCAGCGGTGTGATCGCGGCTCACTGTAGCCTTGCCCTCCCAGGCTCACGTGATCCTCCTACCTTAGTCTCCCGAGTAGCTGGGACTACAGGTGTGCCACTACACCTGGATAATTTTTGTATTTTTTGTAGACATGTGGTTTCGTCACGTTACCCAAGCTGGTCTCAAACTCCTGGGCTCAAGCAATTGCCCGCTTTGGCCTCCCAGAGTGCTGGGATCATAGGCGTGGGCCACCACGCCTGGCCTATTTTTGAACTTTTAGAATGACAAACAAAAATCTTTCTTTAGATGTTTAGCTGTAAAATTATTTTATTCCTGGGAGAAGTTGCTGAACATTTCTGTGCCTCAATTTCTCCTCTAAAATGGGAGATAATAACAGTGCCTAGCCTAGCTCATGGAATTTTTGGGAAATCAAATAAGATTTTTACTCAGAATAGTGTTGGCACATGATATTTATTAGATAAAATACTTTGGAATCATACTGATTAGAAAATCAGCTCGGGAATACATGTGTATACATACACACCATTTTTTTTCTTAATATACTTATTGTGTTGAGTTAAAACCAGGACAGAGGGAAAAGTTTTCAAGGTGTGAGAACCCACTCTGAGAAGCGGTGGTGTTTCCTGTTTGTTTTCAGCACTTCTGAGTGGCTGGCTTCAGGAGAGAGCTTCGGACCCATTCATTAGGGGCCACAGGTGTCTTTCTGCTGCTCTCCATCTGGGCTCCATCACTGGAGGAGGCACCAGGGGACCACTCCTGGGCAATGACTTTTGGCCTCCTTCTCTCCCCCTCTTGCCCTTTGCTTCCTGAAGCCTCCAGTTTATTAATATGAAATTGAGGGAGGTCATCTTCTCCAAAGTCAATACAAATTGGCTGGTCGCAGTTCTTCAAATGTGTGGAAGCTTCCTCTGCTCAGAAACGTAGCTCTCCTTCAGGGAATTCATTAGAGTTGATAGCTCTTTAAGGAGTACACAATTTCTGGGAAGTATCCCTATTAGCCATTCACCCCCTCAGAGTTTGTTTCTGAAATCAGATAATGGCATTTTCTCCTCTGATACCTCACTGCAGGAACTGGAGGGTGCAAGCAGGCAACGAGGCTGGAGAAGCAGGCCTGAGCAGCAGAGGAGGCTGAAGGGGCAACGGGCTGTGGGGAAGAAGAAACACAGCCCTGGGAACTTAGAAGGGAGAGCTTAAAGGGGCAGCAGGCCCTTTATACATGCTCTCGCGATAATACTGTTTAAGGTTCTGTGGAACTTTGTTGTTGCCTAATAGGGACCGAGTATACCAGTTCCCCTCCCCATTATTTATTTATGGGAGCATCTCTGGCCTGAGGCCCGGCACTGCTGGAGGTGGAAGCTACCCTCCTCAACCTCATACTGTGTTTACCTGCCCTCCCCGTTTCTCCATCAGCCCCCACCCTGCTGTGCCCACCTCATCTCCTTAGTTCAGGACCTACTGTTGGTCTTACTTAGCCAGCATCAGGGTTCCCGCTGGGATCCCACATTCAGACTTGTGTTCCCTCCGCTAGAAGTGCTGAGCTGTCCTCATCTCTTTGCCTTTTTATCCTCCAGAATCTACACAGATGTCACCTCCTTAGGGAGGCCTTGTCTGAGTCCCCTGAATGGGGCCAGGCTCCTCTCTCTTATAGCTCCCAGCAACCACAATCCCATCCTTCCCAGTGCGTACCTCGGCTGGCAATGACACATTTGTCATTGTCATTAATATCAGTAGCTACTGACAATGATATTTGTCATTGTCATTAATATCTACTTCTTACGCTAGACTGTAAACCCCGTGAGGGAAGACACATCTGTCTTTTCCAACATTGTGTCCCCAGGTCAAGTATAATGTCTGACATGAAGTGAACTCTCCTTAAATGTTTGTTCTAAAGACTAAACGAGGGCCCCTTGGGGCATGCTTGTTCTTCCTCTGCCTGACATCTAAACAATGAAGCTATCTTCACCTTATAAGGAGGCTGGCATGCACACGTGAACTAGAGTAATTCCGAGGAGCAGACCAGGTGTTTCCAAGGCCTCCTGAAGCTCTGGCCCAGGTGACTCCTGTGCCCATGAATCTTGGGAACATGCACTAGGCATGGCGGTATCATAGGTGGCAGGGAGCAGAGGAACTGGCTCTCCATGGGTCTCCTGGATAGTGGCTATGGAGAGCACAATCATAGTTTATGTGTTTATAAGACCAGTTCAGAGGAGCAGAAATTCATTAGATGCGACTTTGGTCATTTCCCCTGTAATTTCAACTGTGACTTTCTCCCATTAGGAAAGACTATAATAACCTAAAAACCTTATTTGAGCTGATTGTACAATTGTTGACAAATGATGCAAGCTTGCATTTTCTCTGAATTTTGCACATTTCTAGTGTATTCATGACTTTATATGGATGTAGCTCTAAGGCTTTAATAGAATGTCTTATTTCTCATTCCTGTGGTTAGTAGAAATAGAAAAGCAAAGTCTCACTTACTTTTGTACTCTATTGCGAAATTTTGATGATTTATTTTAAATGAGGCTGATTTTTTTTTCATGACCACAAAACAACTGCCAAACCTCATTTCAATGTGTCAGATGCATGAATTATAATGATGAGAACTGCCTGCGTGTCTGTTACCTACAAAACTTGTGTTTTATAAGCATTAAAAAGTACCAGTGAGAAACTGGAGTTTTAGAGACACTTGCAGCTATTTGGCATGTTCTTTCCATTTTCTGAGATTGGAAGTCTGACTTTTGAGTGCTAAGCATGAGTTTAGAGTGCTCTGTGCTCCAGAGTGAGGGCATGGGCAATGGAGACTGGTCTAAATGGAATGATTCATGGTCTACAGATTTAATATTTAGGGAGTAAGATATAATTACATCAATGAAAACCAGAGACCTTATCTCCTGGTTAAAATGAATTTCATTTTATTGAGGATCTGAGGTTCATAGTCTATCCTAACATTTCATATTTGGAAGAGGCTCTCTAGGTCAATGAGAGTGTACCAGAAAGATACTAGATCAATTCCAACTCTGCCATTCCCTAATTATGTGACATTGGCCAAAACACATTTAACTCTCTACTTCTTACTTTCATTTGGAAAATGGGAGTTGTAAAATCTGTCCTAATCTACCTCACAGGATTTGTGGTGATGACTAAATAAAACAATGTTGGTAAATTTCAAAGGTGTGCAAAGGTAAGAAATTGTTTCCCTATATCTTGTAGTTTTCTTTTTCTTTTTTTTTTTTTTTTTTTGACATGTAGAGTCCTATTTCCTCAACCAAGTTATAAGCATTCTAAGACTTAAAAATTGGCCATAATTATTAGCTGGGGTTCAGTTACAGAGGCAGAACAACTAAAAAGGTGTAATATGTGAGGTTTGTTGTCACAGGCATTTAACTTTACACAATTGCAGGAGCTGATTAGGGAGTAGTCTTTGTGTCTGTTGCTGCAGCTTTAAGTCCAGAAAGTAGGCCACCTGGAAGGGAAGATGGGCATAAAATGGAGGTGAGCAAGAACAATTGGAAGCCACAGCACATATCGGAACTCAAGTCCACCTTGCTATCTCCCACCATGATGTGTGTGTCACATGGGAAAAGTGGGTGCCCCTCGTCATGGAGCTAAAGACATAGCTGGCCCAGAAATTGAAGAAGCTGATGGAGGATCCAGGTGGGGCATCTGTAGGCCCAATCTCTTCCCTGTGCTTGTGTGTTAAGCCAGAAGATACATGATAATGTACCTGTGCTGCAAAAGCATCTTCCTCTACCCTTTGAAGGTCAAAAACAATATAACTGCTTTACTTTCTTGCTCTAAATCTTGTGCAAATATATCTATCATGGCACATCCTGACACATGAAACACAAATGAGGCAGCTACTTGCTACATCATTTGTGGGACCAGTGTAAAATGAAAATGTGGGAGCCCTTTATGCAAAAAAGCAGGACAACTGCACTTTCTTTTGCATTCTCTCTCTGGACCTGTCATGGTGTTTATTATTTACCATTTAATGTCACAGTCCCTAACACGTGGGATACTTGGCAGGTAAACACAGACCTCATAGGCAACTTGGGCCCTGACCCTGAGTGCATGCCTGTCTCCACTCTGCCATGCTCTGTGCCCAGGACCCCACTGGTTTGGAGGGAAGTAACAGTCAATATGGGTGGAAGGAGAGTGGGTGGCTGAGAACCAATCAGGGAGGTGGGAAGGAAGTAAGAGGCAGGACCATGCATGAGCCAATTCTTCAAGCCTCCAGAACATGCTCCAGTATCTCACTGGACTGCACTGATAGAACATGAATTGAAAGACAATAAATATTCCCATACTGAGTATTAAACCAAAAGCACAAGGCCCTCCTTCTGAGGACAGGTCACTGGGCATTTGCACTGTTTGCATGTCCATCAAGCCAGCCCTGCCTGCAGGAAGGGCATTCTGGAAAAGGCAGTTCAGCCTAGCCAAGCTGACATATTACAAGCTCATGACACCCTGCTCACTGCCTATCTCCTGCACTTTTCTCAAAGGGCTATCATTATGTGTTAAAGCAAATATAACAGAGGGCTATGAACACAGCCTTGTTATTTTTCTGGGGTAGTCTCTCAGACATGGACACACACCACATTGTGGCATTGCTACTAGTGTTTCCCAGCCACTGTTTCCCTGAGGACCAAGACTTTTTTTTTTTTTTTTTTTTTTGAGACAGAGTCTCACTTTACCCAAACTGGAGTGTAGTGGCATGATCTTGGCCCACTGTAGCCTCTGCCTCCTGCGTTCAAGCGATTCTTGTGCCTCAGCCTCCTGAGTAGCTGGGACTTCAGGCATGTGCTATCATGCCTGGCTATTTTTTTTTTTTTTTTTTTTTTGGTAGAGATGGGGTTTTGCTATGTTGGCCAGGCTGGTCTCGAACTCCTGACCTCAAGTGATCCACCCACCTTGGCCACCCAAAGTGCTGAGATTACAGGCATGAGACACTGTGCCTGGCCGAATCAAGACTTATGATGTGACATTGTTAATGATATGCTATTACTCACCTGTGTCAATCCTTTATAATTGAGAGATATTTCGTTTTACAGTTGGATTCCACAGGCTGATGGGGATATTTGCATGACTGAATTTTTCATTTCAACAATGCAGTCTTTAAGATTTCTCCGATGGGATGTTGCAAGATACATGCTGAGCATCTTGTTGAAGGAGACAGTCCCCTGTGGAGCCCTACACCTCTACCTGTCTTACTGGGTATGCCAAAATGCAAGGCCCTGGTTGCTCTCTACCTGGGCCATTTCTCAAGGTTGTGTTTGCAACCAGAATCCTTAAGAGATGAGGTAATGTCTCCCTCTGTGACAAAGAGCAGGCTGCTACAAAAGCAGCAGATTCCCCATGTTCAGCATTTGTATTCATTTGCTAGGGCTGCCACAACAGCGTATCAGAGACTGGGTGATTTCAACAACAGAAATTTGTTTTCTCATAGTCCTGGAGGCTAGAAGTCCAAGATCGAGGTATCAGCAGCGTTGGTGTCTTTTGAGGCTTGCAGATGGCTCTCTTCTCCAAGTCTTCACATAGTCTTCCCTCTGTACCTGTTTGTTTCCAGATTTCCTCTTCTTAGAAATACACAAGACACACTGGATTAGGGCCACCCTAATGTCTGACTTAACTCAGTTACCTCCCTAAAAACCCTATCTCCAAATACAGCCACATTCTGAGGCACTTACGGGTTAAGACTGGAACATATAAATTTTGGGGTCACAGTTCAGTCCATACCAGTGTTCCTTCCTGTAACTCAACTTACTGCCCTCCGTGTCAGCACTGTAGGACTTGAGGGTAAGAAGAACTAACACCATAACACTGTTTGCTGTGCTGTGAGTAACAAGGCCTATTGTTTTGAACTTAGGTGTTTGGTGTCTTCTAGCATCAAGGAAACAGTAATATCCTAATAATCAGATTATAGACAGGGCAAAATAAAATCCCAGACCTGATATACCTTGCATGTGGCATCAAAAACAACATTTCCAGTAGTATCTCATGACGGATCCAAATGTAACAGTGGGAGTGACTTTAATAGTAGCCTGCCTGTTGAGAAATCACTACTGGTCCTATTTTTTTCCTTCTCATTGGAGTGAAATTTGTCTCTCAATCTTCCATCCCTACACAAGGTATTTAAGCCTTTCACTTTCTCGTCCTAGGGTGTCCATGTGTCTAGGACCCCTGAATAATGGCCTGTCTGCAGCAGGACAGGGCGCAGACAAAACCTCTCAGACACCGAGTTAAAGAAGGAAGGGCTTTATTCAGTTCAGAGCTTCGGCAAGACTCAAGTCTCCAACAACCGAGCTCCTCGAGTGAGCAATTCCTGTCCCTTTTAAGGGCTCACAACTCTAAGGGGGGTCCACATGAGAGGGTCGTGATCGATTGAGCAAGCAGGGGTACGTGACTGGGGGCTGCATGCACCAGTAATTAGAACGGAACAGAACAGGACAGGGATTTTCACAGTGCTTTTCTATACAATATCTGTAATCTATAAATAACATAACCGATTAGGTCAGGGGTTGATCTTTAACAACCAGGCCCAGGGTGTGGCGCCGGGATGTCTGCTTGTGGATTTCATTTCCGCCTTTTAGTTTTTACTTCTTCTTTCTTTGGAGGCAGAAATTGGGCTTAAGACAATATGAGGGGTGGTCTCCTCCCTTTCCACAGATGGTGAGTTGCTGATGGGCTTCACTGGAGAACAGCTTCTACTGCACTTCATTCCCTCCTTCTTGTGGCAGAAGAGTTTGTTCCCTCACCCCTGACCTTCAGGAGCCCTCTTCCCTCCTGTATGCTTGCCTCCCTTTTGGGTCATAACTCTGTCTCATCTCCACCCTTCCCTAACTTTATCTAGTCTCTGGGACAGGGAAACTGGCTTCGTAAGCAGGAGTAAAAGACTCTTCACCTTGCACTTGGCGCAGCAGTTTCTTTGGATGTTTGTTTTGGCTTTTGTGGAGGAGGAATGCTCTCTTAGGAATGCTCTCTTCTGGTGCCCATGAACGAAAAGAGGAGGAGGGATGTGCACAAGGACAGCCAGATAAATATCTCAAGCTATGATCTTCTATGCAGCTTTGACATTTCCATGTCTTTCAGAAATGAAAACAATAGTTGCTAATGTAAATGCTATTCCTAGCACACAGGCAGAGTGCTCTAGACAAGGTCAGTTGCTTTAGAAATAGAAGCCTCAGCTCAGATTCAAAGATACTCAGATCAGATTCTGGACCACTTTGAGAATGCGTTATTAAAAAATGACCAGACTAAATGTCAGAAGTTCTGATAGGAGGCCTTGTTACATGGGATTTTAGTAGCAACAATCTCAAATGACTAACAAGTGCAGAATTTATAACCCAGTCTAGGTGTGGTGCTTTGTTCTAAGTGTTAGATAAGCACAGCATTGGTAGCCATCTCAGCCCATGCTCTATGGTCCCCCAAGTTGGAGGTAATTAGACTTTGGTTACGATGGCATCTGAACAGGCAGAAAGACTGTTGGCAACATTTTCTCACAAAGCCATATGCCAGCATCACTGGAGTGACTGCATCTCCAAGGACATGTGTGCCACTGTGGGAGGACACCTAAGCTGTGTGTAGAGGGAAGCCACTTCACTAAGAGGCCTCCACCCTTCAGAGTTAGAGGATGGTGTGAAACCTCCCGCCAGAAAGGCTGGTAGAGAAGGCCTTCTAAGTTCTGAATTTAATCCTTTCTTCTGTCTCCTGTTATCCTCTGAATTGTGACCCCAAAATTCATATGCTGAAATCCTAGTTCCTAATACATAAAAATGTGATCGTATTTGGAGAGAGGGTCTTTAAGGAAGTAATTAAATGAAAATGAAGTCATTGGGGTGGGCCCTAATTCAGTGTTACTGGCATCCTTAGAAGAAGAGAAAATCTGGACACAGATAGGTACAGAGGGAAGGCCACGGGAACAAGATGGCCACGTGCAAGTGCAGGAGAGATGCTGCAGTAGAAATCAACCCTGACAACCTTGATCTTAGACTTGTAGCCTCCAGGACTGTGAGAAAATAAATTTCTGTTGTTTAAGCCACCTGGCCTGTGGTATGTTGTTGTGGCAGCACCAGCAAATTAAAGACCACCCCCACCCCCACCCCCATTTATACTCCAAACACATAAAATGATAGATAAAATAGAGCAAGAGGTAAACTAGAAATATCTAGCCATGTTTTAAGATAAGGTAAATATCTCAACGGATGAGATTTGCAAAATAGCCTGAGGGGCTAAAGCTGTGTGTCTGCTGGATGTCAAGTCAGGTAGCAGGCCGTGAATCTAACATGTGAAAGGGTAGGAATAAAAACACCCTTTCCAACTCACTCAGGTGGGGACCAGAGCCAAGCTCACTGCTTGAAGCCAGGGCCTAATGTGATTCATCCACCTGTGAGTGGGGGCTGCTAACAGAAGCTGTTACCAGCGACTACCTTATGCTAATTACTACATGCCTAGTGAGCGGGAGATGGAAGGACACATGTAAGGCAAACGTACATTGCCTTGAGATTAACATTTGAGCCAAAATGCTCCAGTTAGATCTGTGATATCTCCAATGTCATTAAGAGACAAGAGCTTCAAAGCCTCATTTCCAAGTCTCTTAGTTCTAGACTAGGAAGTCAAGGTCACTGCAAAACTGCTTTACAGGAGGAAGGGAGGGAGGCAGAGAGACAGAGAGAACTTCTCACTCAAGGAGAATCTGCAAACTAAAATCCCAAGCATGTAAAGAAAATTAACACCTGAACTAACAGCCTATCCCTTTAAGAGTTGAAAGGAGGACACTGTTAGGTCTTTTGCTCCCTCGCAGTGGAGTTTTTGCATGATAGTCTCTTCCATTCACTATTTCAACCTTGTAGTCTGGTGGCAAGATGAAAACTGAGGGGGACTGCTTAAAGACTCTTCATAAGCTGTCAGCTACTTACTGTTCTTGCAGATAAAAGCATCTTGCAACAAAAGATCTTATTTAAAATGTACCAGTGGCATGCTTTCCAGGATGCTACTGTAGACACCCAAAGAATCATTTCCTTGTATAGAAACTTGACAAGAAAAATCTTCTGACATAGATTTTTTTTGTTGTGTTTTACCCCTGAATAGTAACCAGATGTACAAAATGATAGAAATAGCTTGGAAACGCTAATTATTGGAAATGCTGTACTGGTGTCAAGAGCTTTATCTGGGCCAATTGATATATGGTGATAAACATAGCCTTCCATGGCTGCCCAAGTATTGTGTACCTAAGGTTAAGGGAGGAGACCACCCTTCATATTGTCTTATGCCCAATTTCTGCCTCCAAAGAAAGGAGAAGTAAAAAACTAAAAGGCAGAAATGAAATCCACAGACAGCCCAGCGCCACACCCTGGGCCTGTTTGTTAAAGATCTACCCCTGACCTAATTGGTTATGTTATCTATAGATTACAGACATTGTATGGAAAAGCACTGTGAAAATCCCTGTCCTGTTCTGTTCCGTTCTAATTACTGGAGCATGCAGCCCCCAGTCACGTACCTCCTGCTTGCTCAATCGATCACGACCCTCTCACGCAGACCCCCTTAGAGTTGTAAGCCCTTAAGAGGGACAGGAATTGCTCACTTGGGGAGCTTGGTTGTTGGAGACGTGAATCTTGCTGATGCTCCCAACCCAATAAAGCCCTTCCTTCTTTAACTTGGTGTCTGAGGGGTTTTGTCTGCGGCTCGTCATGCTACAAGGTGATGGTGGTACCTTTACTACTGGATTCAAAGTGATCATGTAGCTTGTGAGTTCCTGTGGTGTATGCAAGACTGATTTAAAGTGGGAGTGCAGTCTCTACCTCAATGAAGTGTTGGTTGTTAAAGGTTTACTTCCTCTATGCCTATTTTAATGCTCCTTACTTATTAGCTGAAACTGAAGGAATGCATTTGGCCAGGATCCCAAATTGCCAACTCATTCATCAGTCATTGCTTCATGTTCCTAGGAGGCATGTATATCAAATACTGCACCAGACGCAATTACTGAATAGCGAGTTATAGAAATCTCATGAGATAACTCTAGGACCCGCTCTGCTGGTGTCTCAGCAGAACCACACATAGTTGAGAGGATTCCTTTTGCCTCTCCAGACTAAGGTGTCTCCTTGGTCCCTCTCTTCTGGATTCACTCCTTATCTTAGTCTTCTTGACACACACTGCCATTCTCCCTAATGAAGAGGTGTAGAAAAGTGAGTTCAAATAGAGAATTTCCCTGTAAGATCTAGAATAGAGCTGGATTAAGTGGCTTACTTCCTAATAATAAAGTTTCCAGTGGAAAGGTGACACCAAGATATTTTCCCTTGGAAGATAGAAAAATGCCATCCCAAAGTTTACAAACATGGATGTCTTTTAAATTTGAGATTGTAATTTATTTTTGCAGAAGCTTAACATTTTGATGGGAAAAGCCACTTGAGTTAGCTCTTTTACTTAAACACATATAAGGCAAATACCTTTTTTCACCCTATCATTGGGGAAAAAACTAGAATGCATTCATATAACACAAACTAGATGCTTTAGCATCTAGTTAAATGTTTTGTTTAGTAATTGGAAGAATTTTGCCTCTGCAAAATTAGGTATGGTTTTCTCTTAAATTTGGAGTTAGGCCACTCTGTACTTGAAATTATAATTTTTTTTGTAGGGGGGAGGTACATATGTGTATATGAGTTTGTGTTTCATAGCATGTGTGTTATTCAGTTGCTTCTAGGAAATTGGAAGTAGGACTTTGATTGTGGCAAAGGCAACATACAGAATTGGTCTTCTTGCCTAATGTTAGAGGTGAAATCAAGATTTTGACTAAGCTGGTATAAGACTTGCTAGGCTGGATTACTGGTATCCTACATTTGGTGTTATCTCAGATTGACTAATCCACACTTTGAAAAATACATTCTCAAACTTATGGATTCCTACAGGGTTTCTGGCCTAGTCTTTGACGTCAGATCAAATGCTTGGGTAGTTAAGCAACTCCAAGGGAATGGCTACTCCCAAAGCTCAATATCCTAGGAAAAGGCTACTTTTGGATAAATACAAGACAGCCTTGGATTTGGAGGACAAAAAGATGCTATTTTCTTTCTAGGGCTAGTGAACTCTGGGGCATGGGGATTAGTGTGGAGATAGGGCAGGAGCCAGATAGGGAGCTGGCCCAGGAAGCACCTCTGAGGTCATATTCAGACCTGCGGACTCTTGGAGTGATAAATTTTAGCAAGAATCATTAATTTACTCTGGTTTGCTTCTATTATCTCCTAGCCACAATTAAGTATTATTAAAAGTTACCAGCTGATCTCTGGTGACTGAGGAGCCCTGGTGCATGTTTCAGGACTGACAAAAGTGGGAGAATTTTCCCCTCCCTGAGGCCAGAATAGGAGGACTGGGAGCAGGCACAGCAGACGACAGTTGAGTTCGGCAGAGAAGCCTCCCATTAGGGTGTGGTTAGAAAGGACAGAGTGTGACAGGACAACAAGGAAACTCCACTAGAGGAAGCTGGGGACTTTGGCTAGGGCAGAAATTAATGAGCATTCTTGGAAACTGCTGAGCTGATCTAGGCCTAGATTCCAGGAATTGGGGTAATGGGAACTTATGTCATAATAATTTGGGAATACAAAAGAAGTGCAAACTCATTTCCTAGTCACGGGCTGGCGAGGAATCATGAGGTTACGTTGATTACTCGATTTGGAATCTCATCCTGCATGTCTTAGGTCTCCCAACAAATGAGGGGCTTTCCTTTGTGGGAGGAGGCCTAGGCCCTTCTGCTTGTTCCAACTGCATAGAAAGGAGGAAAGAGAAGAGCTTTAGAAAGGGAGAAAATGTACATGCAGGAGTGGAGAAAACTTTTTTTTTTTTTTTTTTTTTTTTTTTTGAGACAGAGTCTCGCTCTGTCGCCCAGGCTGGAGTGCAGTGGCGCGATCTGGGCTCACTGCAAGCTCTGCCTCCCGGGTTCACGCCGTTCTCCTGCCTCAGCCTCCCGAGTAGCCGGGACTACAGGTGCCCGCCACCACGCCTGGCTAATCTTTTTTTTGTATTTTTAGTAGAGACGGGGTTTCACCACTTTAGCCAGGATGGTCTCGATCTCCTGACCTCGTGATCCACCCGCCTCGGCCTCCCAAAGTGCTGGGATTACAGGCGTGAGCCACCGCACCTGGCCGAGAACACTTTTAATATTGTATTTTCCTCCCACTAAAGATTTTAGCTTCTAGCGCTCCTTAGCCATGATGTACTGAGAACTGCATTGAATCTGTGACCCACTTCAGACCTTTTCCTCTGTGGGTGACATAAGCTGGCTAATGTCAGACATCGAGGCCACTATCACCTAGTTCTTTCTGTTGCTGATGCCCTTGGCCCCTGTGGTCCCTCGCCTGCTTCTGCCGCCATGTCTGCATCACTCACTCACTTTCTCTCAACCAGGGCCCGGCATCCATTAGGCACCATGAGCATGGTGTTGAAGACCCAGGGATTTTCAAAAGCTTACAATGATGATTAAGTCATGAAAAAATCCTATTGCCTCCAAAATACACCATGAAAAAAACTGACTAAACAAACAAAACCTTCAAAGTAAGAAATAATAAATCTTGAATTAACAGTCCATAAGTCTTCTTTCATCACTATATATAAATTTCTTTTAATGTGGGGCATAGCTGCATTTGAAAACATTTGTTGTTATGTAAGGTGGGTGTGGTTTCCAAAACTGAGAGCTCTTGGGGTCTATGAGGGCCTTAAAATAGAAGCTAGTTTTCCCTGCCCCATTTAATCTCTTACCTCCCCTCAAATCTTTTTCATATTATCCTGTCATCCTCCACCACTCAGCTTTTTTTCAGCTAAACAGCTGGGATATCATCCAGCAGAAAAAATATAATAAAAGCCCAGTGAAGAAAGAAATGCATTTTCTTCCCAAGGCCAAAGTCCCTGGTGCTTAGAGGACTTGTACTACAGGACACCGACTTGAAGCTCTTGCCATCTGGCCTGGGGTTAAACAGGTGTTCTGTTGAAAGGCAAGTAACTCAGGCTGGAGAGAAAAGTGAGATGCTGCATGGTTGATTTCTTCTCAGCCAGTCCCCCGTGAGCAGGATCCTTTTTCAACCTGCACCTGCATCTTCCATCCATCCAAAGCTGGGGTCGTGTGGGGATTGGAGCAACTGGTTGCTGTTTTGCAGTATCCTTGGGGGCTGGACTTTCCTGGTACCAAGAAGGCACTTTCCCTTTTTTGATCATGGAGGGCCCGATTCTAAATATGTAAAACTGAAATATATAAAAAACTGGAGAGAAAGTTTCTGAATTACATTTTTCATCAATTCTTTAGATTTGCAGTTACTGTTTTGGGTGTGGGTAATACATGAAACAGGTAGGGCTTGGATATCTGTCCTTTCTAATCAATACGTCATTCTGTCTAGCTCCCAGGCTCAGGAAGCAGAATCTCAAAGCCCCCTTGGGGAACTGAGTATTTAGGCTGGAAGATGCAAGTTGTGAAATACGAACCATAGACGAGTCCTGGCAAGGTGGCAATTTTTAGCAGTAGAGCATTAAGACCAATAAGCTTAATCTGAAGTACGTTGTATTAGTCTGTTCTCACACTGCTGTAAAGAAATATCTGAGACTGGGTAATTTATAAAGAAGGGAGGTTTAATTGGCTCACAGTTCCCCAGCATGGCAGCATCTGCTTCTAGGGAGTCCTCAGGGAGCTTTGACTCATGGTGGAATACAAAAGGAAAGCAGTCAAGTCTTATATGGCCAGAGCAGGGCAAGAGAGAGAGAGGGAGGGAGGAGGTGCTACACACTTTTAAACAACCATATCTTGTGATAACTCATTCACTTTTACAAGAACAGCAGTGAGGCCAGCTCTGGTGGCTCACACCTGTAATCCCAGCACTTTGGGAGGCTGAGGTGGGTGGATCACCTGAGGTCGGGAGTTCAAGACCAGCCTGACCAACATGGAGAAACCCCGTCTCTACTAAAAATACAAAATTAGCCAGGCGTGGTAGTACATGCCTGTAATCCCATCTACTTGGGAGGCTGAGGCAGGAGAATCGCTTGAACCCGGGAGGTGGAGGTTGCGGTGAGCTGAGATGGCACCATTGCACTCCAGCCTGGGCAACAAGAGCAAAACTCTGTCTCAAAAAATAAAAAAGAAGAAGAAGGAGGAGGAGGAGGAGGTGGAGGAGAAGGAGAAGGAGAAGGAGAAAAAGAACAGCACCAAGAAGATGGTGCTAAACAATTCATGAAGGATCCGCCCCCATGATCCAATCACTTCCTGCCAGGCCCCACCTCCAACACTGGGGATTACAATTCAGCATGAGATTTGGGTGGGGATACAGATCCAAACCCTATCACACATGAACCACTGGAAAGTGAAAAATTCACCTGGCACTATGTCAACACCATCACTCCAAGTCCAGTGTGCTGGTGCCAAAGACGGATCATGGTCTGTCTACTTGGCCTTACTCCAGTCCTGGCCTGATTTTATATCCCATTCCTGTTAGTGAGTCATAGTTCAATGGTTGTTGTCATGATCCCCAAAGATCAATGGATTGGGACGTCAGGTGACCTGGATTATGGCCATTAATTAGTGGAAGGATTTGGTGCAAAACCCTTAATCCTTCTGTGTATAAATTTCTCATCCATCAAATGAGCACAGTCATACAGTACATGTCTTACAGAGTTGTATGAGAGTAAAATGGGGTAGAATACTCTAGAAACTTTGGTATAGATGTAGGAACATCCTGTGTAAGGGAACTGTGGTCACATGGAAAAATAATGAGGGGAGGGACCAAGGTCCTAGTTTGTGCTTTGCCATTCACTAATTGTTGAGTTTAGTGCTTCATTTTAGCTGGGGCTCTGGTGCCTCAAGTGTGCATAACCATTATTATATCTCAGAAGTGTTGCAAAGGATAAATGAGATACTGTAAGTGAAAAGGTCCTTACGGACTACAAAGTGCTATGCAAATGTTAGTTAATCAAAATAGTGATTAATTTGGTGCATTGCTATTCTCAAGCTGATTAGCTGGCTTATTTCGCTTTAATTAAACATTTTGGTTATTATAGTCCTGATAAATCTCAGATTTATTGAATGTTGGATTCACAAGGCTGGCCTCTAACATGTTCCCAACCACACTGGGAAGAGGAGAAAGCAGGACTGCTGTTCCTGGTAGCCCTTTCCATGTGCAAGCACTCTGTACAGGTCCTTGGGGATGCCAGCATGTTCCAACACTGCCCTTTCAGCTGCTTTTGCAACTGGAGGCTCAGAGGTGGGTTCCAGGAGGATGGTCCCATTGATGCTTGGGAATGCTGTGTTTGGCATCACTGCTTGACTTGGGGATTTCTGTTGGAACACTTGACCACAGCTTCCTGGAACTTGCCTGCTGTCTGGCTGGATGCAAAGTAGGGAATCAGATTTAAAATGTTTAGACAAAGTCAGGATGACAGAGTCCCAAACTTGTTGGCCTCCAGGTCGGGGGGCATGACTTTTGTTTTGCTTTGTGGGGTGCTTATCCTTGGAGTTCTGTGGGTTTTCTGGAAAGGCATTGCTGGGTGGGGACCAAACCACTGAGTGGACTTCCTGTTTCCTTGTGTTGTGCCCTTTCTCCTCTGGCTCATCAGAGGCCACGCTGTTGACATCAACAGTGTGCAGGGAAGAAAGCTCAAGATTGCTGCTCCTGCTCTTTTTCCCTTTCACCTGGCTTTGCTGCTTCGAGATTTGAAGTATGCTGAACTTCAGTTCCAGATTGTTAAGGCTGCAAATGGATAATCTTGCTCTCGGGTCTGAGAAGCAAAGCTCTATACGAAAACTGCCTGTTCTATCTTTCCATCTGTTTAGCCCCACAATAATCCCACAGAGGGAAACTGTAGCAAGTTGGGCAAAAAAAAAAAAAAAAAAAAAAAAAAGCCACTATTTGTCTACACGTTAAAATCTCAGAAGCCCCAGCAATTTCAGGAAAGATGTTCTAGGGCTTCAAGCAGGGCTTCAAGACAAACCAGTGGTCATGTTAATGGAGTCATGGGCCATGTGCAAGTAAGAGAAAGTCAGAAATAAACAAGTAGAAGTAGTCATTTCCCGAAGATAGATGATTGCCTATATTTATGTGACTTCAAGCAGAAGAATAATGAAAGCAGGTTCTCTTGTTCTTATATCTTACCGAAGACTGGAATAAAAAATATCTGAGGGGTTGAGATTGGCTTTTTGCTTATAGGCTATAGTACAAGTGGTGCAGCCAGAATGAGTAGTGTTTACAAGAAGTTAGTCAATTGCCTTTGGTTGATTTTGTTTCTGGTACAGTTTGCTGTCTAGTCACCATGTAAATATCTTAAATAAGAAGTGCTGAAAACAAACAAAACAAACAAAAAATGAGAAATAAGGCAGGAACCAGGAGCTCAAAAATTCACAGGTTTATTGCAAATCCATGAAGGGATACAAGACAGTTATACAAGGATAGATTTTTCTTCCTCTTTATATCATGAATGTTCTTTTTAAGTACATTTAAATGTGATTTTATAGAAGAAACTTATATGATCTTTTCTCTTTGGAGAAGAGTTGGTCCTTGATCTTCCTCTTTGCCTCCCTAAACTGAGAGCCTCTTCAGAGGGTATTTAAGTTGGAGGCGACTCAACATTGGGAAGACTTGACATACTGCCTCAGTTGGTCAGCTGCAGGTGTCATGGGAGCTAGAATCGTAGGCGTTGAAGCATTGTAAGGGGAAGCTGATTCCTTTCACTCCTACTGGAAAGCTGTTCTTGGAGTAAGAAATAGGAGTGGCAAGGGGTTTTGATGTTGAAAGGTATCTGTAGAACAGTTGCCCTGTTTTCTTGGGTTGACCACATTTCCCTCAGGTCAGGCTGTGAATCAGCGAGAGTTGGTTCTCATGCTGTTTGGACTCAAAGAGCCCCTTTTTGCTCTGCTGATAAGAGATAGAAGCAGAGAAAGCAGACCAGAACCAGAAGCACATCTTGAGGACAGCCTGTTCTCTCCAGTTCTTCCTGCAAAAGAGAGAAAAGTAGGAAAGCATCTTCTTCCTCTTTTTAGATGGACTAAACATGGTGATAAAGGCAGTGAAGTTTCTGGTACTGCTGTTGGCAAAGGGGCAGCATAGTACAGGGAACTCCTGTGGTTTCTGCAGGGCAGAAGCTATTGTCTAGAAAAGGGGTGCAGTGGTAACTTTCAATGATAAGTATATGAACTTTCTTGTCTTCAGTTGGTGACAGAGGGCAGCGCCCAGTAGTGAAGCACAGAGACCATGAGAGCAGGAGAAGAAGCTGACTTGTACAAAACACTCAAGCCATCTAAAACAGACTCCTATAGATGCCACATCCACACACAGGTAATAATGGGATTTGAAACTTGTACAAAACACCTAGCTGTGTGTAAAAGGAGGATGGTGCTGGCAGAGGGCTCAGGCCTTGGCTTGTGAAGGACTACATTTAGCTCTGAGTAACTGGAAAAAGGAATCTCAGTGCGGCTGAGGCTCATCAAACTATCATCATCATTATCATCATTGTCATCATCATCATCATTCCTTCTATAAATAGTTCTCTTTGTTCTGTGACAAATAGTGTCCTAAGTGTTTTATACATATTATTTCACTTTTGGTAAATGTAGAAACAGACCCATATAGAGAGAGTTTCATCCAATTTCTTGTATAGCTTGTATGCAGTAGTTAGAGTTTGAACCCATGACACCTGGTGGCCAGGCCTGGGCCTTTGGCAACCACGATGTGCTACCTCTGAAGTCATGTTATGCAGCCTTATATGAAGGAAGGAACCAAGAAGTTTCCTTTGTGCAGGATTTGGGACTTTTTCCAATCGTCACCATGCAGTTTATCTTAAGAAGTACTGAAGTACAGTCTCCCTGGTTGGAGGCTGCAGTCTATGAGAGGTAGGTGTGTCCTGGGACCATCTTGAGACTGCTGCTGAAGGAATGCAGGACCCACCTTTGTGTCTAACTGTTGCCAGTGAGGAAGTGAGAGACTGAGGTGATGGGGGAACTTTGTGTTCCAAGTTTCTTTTTTTGGTTAGGATTTTTTTTTTTTATTATTATACTTTAAGTTTTAGGGTACATGTGCACATTGTGCAGGTTAGTTACATATGTATACATGTGCCATGCTGGTGCGCTGCACCCACTAACTCGTCATCTAGCATTAGGTATATCTCCCAATGCTATCCCTCCCCCCTCCCCCCACCCCACCACAGTCCCCAGAGTGTGATATTCCCCTTCCTGTGTCCATGTGATATCATTGTTCAATTCCCACCTATGAGTGAGAATATGCGGTGTTTGGTTTTTTGTTCTTGTGATAGTTTACTGAGAATGATGATTTCCAATTTCATCCATGTCCATACAAAGGACATGAACTCATCATTTTTTATGGCTGCATAGTATTCCATGGTGTATATGTGCCACATTTTCTTAATCCAGTCTATCATTGTTGGACATTTGGATTGGTTCCAAGTCTTTGCTATTGTGAATAATGCTGCAATAAACATACGTGTGCATGTGTCTTTACAGCAGCATGATTTATAGTCCTTTGGGTATATACCCAGTAATGGGATGGCTGGGTCAAATGGTATTTCTAGTTCTAGATCCCTGAGGAATCACCACACTGACTTCCACAATGGTTGAACTAGTTTACAGTCCCACCAACAGTGTAAAAGTGTTCCTATTTCTCCACATCCTCTCCAGCACCTGTTGTTTCCTGACTTTTGAATGATTGCCATTCTAACTGGTGTGAGATGGTATCTCATTGTGGTTTTGATTTGCATTTCTCTGATGGCCAGTGATGATGAGCATTTTTTCATGTGTTTTTTGGCTGCATAAATGTCTTCTTTTGAGAAGTGTCTGTTCATGTCCTTTGCCCACTTTTTGATGGGGTTGTTTGTTTTTTTCTTGTAAATTTGTTTGAGTTCATTGTAGATTCTGGATATTAGCCCTTTGTCAGATGAGTAGGTTGCGAAAATTTTCTCCCATTTTGTAGGTTGCCTGTTCACTCTGATGGTAGTTTCTTTTGCTGTGCAGAAGCTCTTTAGTTTAATTAGATCCCATTTGTCAATTTTGGCTTTTGTTGCCATTGCTTTTGGTGTTTTGGACATGAAGTCCTTGCCCATGCCTATGTCCTGAATGGTAATGCCTAGGTTTTCTTCTAGGGTTTTTATGGTTTTAGGTCTAACGTTTAAGTCTTTAATCCATCTTGAATTGATTTTTGTATAAGGTGTAAGGAAGGGATCCAGTTTCAGCTTTCTCCATATGGCTAGCCAGTTTTCCCAGCACCATTTATTAAATAGGGAATCCTTTCCCCATTGCTTGTTTTTCTCAGGTTTGTCAAAGATCAGATAGTTGTAGATATGCGGCATTATTTCTGAGGGCTCTGTTCTGTTCCATTGATCTATATCTCTGTTTTGGTACCAGTACCATGCTGTTTTGGTTACTGTAGCCTTGTAGTATAGTTTGAAGTCAGGTAGCATGATGCCTCCAGCTTTGTTCTTTTGGCTTAGGATTGTCTTGGTGATGCAGGCTCCTTTTTGGTTCCATATGAACTTTAAAGTAGTTTTTTCCAATTCTGTGAAGAAAGTCATTGGTAGCTTGATGGGGATGGCATTGAATCTGTAAATTACCTTGGGCAGTATGGCCATTTTCACGATATTGATTCTTCCTACTCCTGAGCATGGAATGTTCTTCCATTTGTTTGTATCCTCTTTTATTTCCTTGAGCAGTGGTTTGTAGTTCTCCTTGAAGAGGTCCTTCACATCCCTTGTAAGTTGAATTCCTAGGTATTTTATTCTCTTTGAAGCAATTGTGAATGGGAGTTCACTCATGATTTGGCTCTCTGTTTGTCTGTTGTTGGTGTATAAGAATGCTTGTGATTTTTGTACATTGATTTTGTATCCTGAGACTTTGCTGAAGTTGCTTATCAGCTTAAGGAGATTTTGGGCTGAGACAATGGGGTTTTCTAGATATACAATCATGTCGTCTGCAAACAGGGACAATTTGACTTCCTCTTTTCCTAATTGAATACCCTTTATTTCCTTCTCCTGCCTAATTGCCCTGGCCAGAACTTCCAACACTATGTTGAATAGGAGTGGTGAGAGAGGGCATCCCTGTCTTGTGCCAGTTTTCAAAGGGAATGCTTCCAGTTTTTGCCCATTTAGTATGATATTGGCTGTGGGTTTGTCATAGATAGCTCTTATTATTTTGAAATACGTCCCATCAATACTTAATTTATTGAGAGTTTTTAGCATGAAGGGTTGTTGAATTTTGTCAAAGGCCTTTTCTGCATCTATTGAGATAATCATGTGGTTTTTGTCTTTGGCTCTGTTTATATGCTGGATTACATTTATTGATTTGCATATATTGAACCAGCCTTGCATCCCAGGGATGAAGCCCACTTGATCATGGTGGATAAGCTTTTTGATGTGCTGCTGGATTCGTTTTGCCAGTATTTTATTGAGGATTTTTGCATCAATGTTCATCAAGGATATTGGTCTAAAATTCTCTTTTTTGGTTGTGTCTCTGCCTGGCTTTGGTATCAGAATGATGCTGGCCTCATAAAATGAGTTAGGGAGGATTCCCTCTTTTTCTATTGATTGGAATAGTTTCAGAAGGAATGGTACCAGTTCCTCCTTGTACCTCTGTTAGAATTCAGCTGTGAATCCATCTGGTCCTGGACTCTTTTTGGTTGGTAAACTATTGATTATTGCCACAGTTTCAGATCCTGTTATTGGTCTATTCAGAGATTCAACTTTTTCCTGGTTTAGTCTTGGGAGAGTGTATGTGTCGAGGAATTTATCCATTTCTTCTAGATTTTCTAGTTTATTTGCGTAGAGGTGTTTGTAGTATTCTCTGATGGTAGTTTGTATTTCTGTGGGATAAGTGGTGATATCCCCTTTATCATTTTTTATTGCGTCTATTTGATTCTTCTCTCTTTTTTTCTTTATTAGTCTTGCTAGCAGTCTATCAATTTTGTTGATCTTTTCAAAAAACCAGCTCCTGGATTCATTAATTTTTTGAAGGGTTTTTTGTGTCTCTATTTCCTTCAGTTCTGCTCTGATTTTAGTTATTTCTTGCCTTCTGCTAGCTTTTGAATGTGTTTGCTCTTGCTTTTCTAGTTCTTTTAATTGTGATGTTAGGGTGTCAATTTTGGATCTTTCCTGCTTTCTCTTGTGGGCATTTAGTGCTATAAATTTCCCTCTACACACTGCTTTGAATGCGTCCCAGAGATTCTGGTATGTTGTGTCTTTGTTCTCATTGGTTTCAAAGAACATCTTTATTTCTGCCTTCATTTCATTATGTATCTAGTAGTCATTCAGGAGCAGGTTGTTCAGTTTCCATGTAGTTGTGCGGTTTTGAGTGAGATTCTTAATTCTGAGTTCTAGTTTGATTGCACTGTGGTCTGAGAGATAGTTTGTTATAATCTCTGTTCTTTTACATTTGCTGAGGAGAGCTTTACTTCCAAGTATGTGGTCAATTTTGGAATAGGTGTGGTGTGGTGCTGAAAAAAATGTATATTCTGTTGATTTGGGGTGGAGAGTTCTGTAGATGTCTATTAGGTCTGCTTGGTGCAGAGCTGAGTTCAATTCCTGGGTATCCTTGTTGACTTTCTGTCTCGTTGATCTGTCTAATGTTGACAGTGGGGTGTTAAAGTCTCCCATTATTAATGTGTGGGAGTCTAAGTCTGTTTGTAGGTCACTCAGGACTTGCTTTATGAATCTGGGTGCTCCTGTATTGGGTGCATATATATTTAGGATAGTTAGCTCTTCTTGTTGAATTGATCCCTTTACCATTATGTAACGGCCTTCTTTGTCTCTTTTGATCTTTGTTGGTTTAAAGTCTGTTTTATCAGCGACTAGGATTGCAACCCCTGCCTTTTTTTGTTTTCCATTTGCTTGGTAGATCTTCCTCCATCCTTTTATTTTGAGCCTATGTGTGTCTCTGCACGTGAGATGGGTTTCCTGAATACAGCACACTGATGGGTCTTGACTCTTTATCCAATTTGCCAGTCTGTGTCTTTTAATTGGAGCATTTAGTCCATTTACATTTAAAGTTAGTATGGTTATGTGTGAATTTGATCCTGTCATTATGATGTTAGCTGGTTATTTTGCTCGTTAGTTGATGCAGTTTCTTCCTACTCTTGATGGTCTTTACATTTTGGCATGATTTTGCAGCGGCTGGTACCGGTTGTTCCTTTCCATGTTTAGTGCTTCCTTCAGGAGCTCTTTTAGGGCAGGCCTGGTGGTGACAAAATCTCTCAGCATTTGCTTGTCTGTAAAGTATTTTATTTCTCCTTCACTTATGAAGCTTAGTTTGGCTGGATATGAAATTCTGGGTTGAAAATTCTTTTCTTTAAGAATGTTGAATATTGGCCGCCACTCTCTTCTGGCTTGTAGGGTTTCTGCCGAGAGATCCGCTGTTAGTCTGATGGGCTTCCCTTTGAGGGTAACCCGACCTTTCTCTCTGGCTGCCCTTAACATTTTTTCCTTCATTTAAACTTTGGTGAATCTGACAATTATGTGTCTTGGAGTTGCTCTTCTCGAGGAGTATCTTTGTGGCATTCTCTGTATTTCCTGAATCTGAACGTTGGCCTGCCTTGCTAGATTGGGGAAGTTCTCCTGGATAATATCCTGCAGAGTGTTTTCCAACTTGGTTCTATTCTCCCCATCACTTTCAGGTACACCAATCAGACGTAGATTAGGTCTTTTCACATAGTCCCATATTTCTTGGAGGCTTTGCTCATTTCTTTTTATTCTTTTTTCTCTAAACTTCCCTTCTTGCTTCATTTCATTCATTTCATCTTCCATCGCTGATACCCTTTCTTCCAGTTGGCTCCTGAGGCTTCTGCATTCTTCACGTAGTTCTTGAGCCTTGGTTTTCAGCTCCATCAGCTCCTTTAAGCACTTCTCTGTATTGGTTATTCTAGTTATACATTCTTCTACAGTTTTTTCAAAGTTTTCAACTTCTTTGCCTTTGGTTTGAATGTCCTCCCGTAGCTCAGAGTAATTTGATTGTCTAAAGCCTTCTTCTCTCAGCTCGTCAAAGTCATTCTCTGTCCAGCTTTGTTCCGTTGCTGGTGAGGAACTGCGTTCCTTTGGAGGAGGAGAAGCGCTCTGCGTTTTAGAGTTTCCCATTTTTCTGTTCTGTTTTTTCCCCATCTTTGTGGTTTTCTCTACTTTTGGTCTTTGATGATGGTGATGTACAGATGGGTTTTTGGTGTGGATGTCCTTTCTGTTTGTTAGTTTTCCTTCTAACAGACAGGACCCTCAACTGCAGGTCTGTTGGAATACCCTGCCGTGTGAGCTGTCAGTGTGCCCCTGCTGGGGGGTGCCTCCCAGTTAGGCTGCTTGGGGGTCAGGGGTCAGGGACCCACTTGAGGAGGCAGTCTGCCCATTCTCAGATCTCCAGCTGCGTGCTGGGAGAACCACTGCTCTCTTCAAAGCTGTCAGACAGGGACATTTAAGTCTGCAGAGGTTACTGCTGTCTTTTTTTTGTCTGTGCCCTGCCCCCAGAGGTGGAGCCTGCAGAGGCAGGCAGGCTTCCTTGAGCTGTGGTGGGCTCCACCCAGTTCGAGCTTCCCAGCTGCTTTGTTTACCTCAGCAAGCCTGGGCAATGGCGGGCGCCCCTCCCCCAGCCTCGCTGCCGCCTTGCAGTTTGATCTCAGACTGCTGTGCTAGCAATCAGCGAGACTCCATGGGCGTAGGACCCTCCGAGCCAGGTGAGAGATGTAATCTCGTGGTGCGCCGTTTTTTTAAGCCGGTCCGAAAAGCGCAATATTCGGGTGGGAGTGACCCGATTTTCCAGGTGCGTCTGTCACCCCTTTCTTTGACTTGGAAAGGGAACTCCCTGACCCCTTGCGCTTCCCAAGTGACGCAGTGCCTTGCCCTGCTTCGGCTCGTGCACGGTGCGCGCACCCACTGACCTGCGCCCACTGTCTGGCACTCCCTAGTGAGATGAACCCGGTACCTCAGATGGAAATGCAGAAATCACCTGTCTTCTGCGTCGCTCACGCTGGGAGCTGTAGACCGGAGCTATTCCTATTCGGCCATCTTGGCTCCTCCTTCTGTGTTCCAAGTTTCTAACTCCTGCCTCAGAGCTGTAATGAAAATGGAAGTTTGTGTCTTCACAGAACCAACCGATGCTTGCCTTGCTGTGACTCGCTGTGAGCCAATATAGGTGCAGTTACGTGCATTTTAAACTTTTTTGTTCTACAGATGTCTGTTCAGTCTTCCTGTGGTAAGACTAATTTCTTTCCTAGAAGCATCTCAATACTATCATGTTTCAAATCCCATTATTAGCTGTGTGTGGATGTGGCATCTGTAGGAGTCTTACGGTTTTAGACGGTTTAAGTCAATATCATTGTGCATGAAAATTTAGAATTTTTCTAGCTCCCTGGTGCAGTTCCTTTCTTCATAACATAATAACCATCTTTATCCTTAACAAATTTTTTGCCTCAAACTCCATTTATTTTGATATTAACATAGCTATTCCAGTTTTCTTTTGATTTGTATTTTTCCAGTATATGTTTTTTATTCTTTTAATTTAAACATTGATTTGTTCTCTTGATTTAAATGTGTCTACTCTAAAGAGCACAGAGGATGATTTTGCTCTTTTAATTAAATCTAGCAATCATTTTATATGGACAAGTTTAGTCCACTTATTACTGAGGGATTTTGATTTATTTCAATCATATTGCTTTGTCTTTTTCCTGCCTTTTCTGTTTTTCTTTTCTTCTTATATTTACTGACAAATGTTATTTTATTTTTGTCTAATGTTTTAGTGCCATTTTGTATTCCTGTTGCTTTATTAGTTCAGGTTCTCCAGAGAAACAGAACCAATAGCATGTGTGTGTGTGCATGTGTGTGTGTGCGTGTGTATATACCCTCACCCAATATATGAATATATATATGTGTGTATGTGTGTGTGTGTGTGTCAGCCTCCACAATTGTGTGAGCCAATTCCTTAAAATAAATCTCTCTTTCTCTCTCTCTCTCTATATATATGCCAGCCTCTACAATTGTGTGAGCCAACTTCTTAAGAAAAATATCACGTTTTCTCTCTCTCTCTATATGAGACATATGTCATATATATATAACACATATATATAAAATATGTCAGCCTCCAAAATCATGTAAGCCAATTCCTTAAAATAAATATCATTTCCCTCCCCCCACCATCTGAGAGAGAAGCTGAAAAGTCCAAAATCCTCAGGGTAGGCCCACAGGCTGGAGACCTAGGGAAGAGTTGCAGTTCGAGTCAAAGGCAATCTGTTGGAAGAGTTTGCTTTGCCCTGGGGGAAGTGAGTGTTTTTCTTATGTCCTTCAGCTGTTTGGATGAGGCCCATCTACATTATGGTGGGCAATTTGCATAGTTCAAATGTTAATCCCATCCAAAGAAAATACCTTCATAGAAACATTGGTGGAGTTTGACCAAATACTTGGGTACCATGGCCAAGCCAACTGACACATAAAATTAACTATCACAATTTCTCATTGGTTATTATTATTATTGGTACTTTGTAGAGTCTGAGATTTGTTTAGATTTACCTACATGTTTACCTTTTTATTTTCTGCATGTAATTCACTTTTTTTCTAGACTTAAAGTACTGAACAAAAAATAACTATCAAACCCACAATGTCTTTTTTTGCCCAGACATGCTATTGTGAGTTAGAGACAATATGAAGACATTTTATCAGACATTTCAGAAAGTTTACCCTTACCAGAACTACTAAAGGTTTACTTCAAAATGAAGTACTTTGAAAATTATTCCATGACTTCAGGATTTTAGTTTATTTTAAAAAGCCTGCTGTTAGCCTAGCTCTTGCTTCCATCCCTTCTTCCTTTTTGGTGGGTAATCCATTTTTTCTCTCTAGCTGCTTTAAGATCTCTATTTCTTGTGTCCTATGGTTTCACCAAAGTGAATTTAGATATGAAAATTTTATTTATCATACCTTGAAATTATTATGCCTAATGTGTCTAAAAATCATGTTTTTGATCCATTCTGGAAAATTCTGAAAAATTTTCAGATGTTATTTTAAATGTTGTCTCTCCCCTAATTCTCTCTCTTTTTTTAAAAAAAATTTTAAGTCCCATGGGACATGTGCAGGATGCGCAGGTTTGTTACATAGGTAAACGTGTGCCATGGTGGTTTGCTGCACCTATCAACCCATCACCCAGGTATTAAGCCCCCAGCATTTTTCCTGATGCTCTTCTCACCCCTACCTGGGCCTCCCCTGACAGGCCCCAGTGTGTGTTGTTCCCCTCCCTGTGTCCATGTGTTCTCATTGTTCAGCTCCCACTTATAAGTGAGAACATGCGGTGTTTTGTTTTCTGTTCCTGCCTTAGTTTGGTGAGGATAATGGCTTCCAGTTTCATTCATGTCCCTGCAAAGGACATGATTGCGTTCCTTTTTATGGCTGCATAGTATTCCGTGGGGTATATGTATCATATTTTCTTTTTCCAATCTATCATTGATGGATATTTAGGTTAATTCCATGTCTTTGTGAATTGTGAATAATGCTGTAGTGAACATATGCGTGCATGTATCTTTATAATAGAATGATTTATAATCCTTTAGATACCATCTCATGCCAGTCAGAATGGTGATTATTAAAAAGTCAAGAAACAACAGATGCTGGTGAGGTTGTGGAGAAATAGGAATGCTTTTACACTGTTGGTGGGAATGTAAATTAGTTCAACCATTGTGGGAGACAGTGTAGTGATTCCACAAAGATTTAGAATAGGAAATACCATTTGATCCAGCAATTCTCTTTTTAAGATTAGTTATTTTGGATCTTTTGTCATTCTTTCCTTCGTGATTCTTAACCTCTTTTTTCATATTATCTCTTTGTATTGCTCTATGCTACCTTTGGAATTATTTACTCATATTTATTTTTAGTTCACTTTCTTTCTTTGATACGATTCACTGGCAGTTTGAAACGATTGAGCTTTTAATTCCAATGCCTTTTACTTCTAGAAGCTCTATTTTTCTTTCAATTATATCCATTCTTTTTAGATATTGTTTTGTGTATTTTTCTTGCTCTTAATTTCTCTTTTAGGTATTCTTTTAAACATGTTAATTTTATAGTTTCCTTCCTTTTAATAGTTCTAGGATCTAGCGTTATTGGAGTTTAATACTGCTCTTTGCTGTATCTGCTTCAGTGGTTCATTCTCAATTGTTTCCTTCAGTGCTTTGTAATTTTGGATTGTAAGAAATCTTAAGGCGGGCTTTGCTTGAAGACTTATCTGGCCTGTGTTGAAAGTATGCCCCTCAGGACTGGTTCTATGTCTGTTTATGCCAGGCATCCCAAGGGTATCATTGTCCCTGGGTCTATTTATATGTTATTTCTCACCTGGCAGATTCTGGACCAAGCCAGAAGTATAAATTTGAACCCCAAACCCAAGTGTGGCCTGCCTAGGGTTTGGCCACTTATGTAAAGTGGCCACTTACGTAAAGTCTTTTCTTTCAGGAAAGACCATTTCACTCACTCAGATCCCAGGCACAAATAGACAAGCTTGCTTCTTATTTCCCTAGGCTAGTGTAAGAATTTTTTTCTAAAATACCTTTTCAGTTAAGGTATAGATCTTCCAACTTTATGTGAAGGTCTTAATTCCACTGCCCTACCTGTTCCTATGCAGAGATTAAAACTTCAGCTCTTTGGATTCCTGGGGCTGGCAAATCATTCCAAGAATTATCACTATGGTTTTTACTTTTTCCTTCACGTTTGACCCCTAGAGATTTTCTTTACCGTTTTTGTGAAATCAGCTACATATTTAAATATTTTTCTTTTTTTTTTTTTAAAAAAAAGCGGGAAGTTTTTGTGATTATTTAGTTACACAAAATTGCTAGAAAGAGAATTATAAATGACTCTGTAAACTCCTACCGTGACTTTCTGCTGGTCAATAGAGCAGGATGATGCCTCATGTTTCACACCACTTTAGAGACTTTGCTGGCTTTTCCTAAATGTACTCTTTCCACAAAGATGCATGTTTGCCTGCCTGTCTTTCTCCCTTTTTCTGCCTCTATCTCCAAGAAAGATGAATAGAGATAGAGGCAGAGAGGCTGGATGTGGTGGCTCACACCTGTAATCCCAGCACTTTGGGAGGCCGAGGCGGGTGGATCACGAGGTCAGGAGTTCAGGACCAGCCTGGCCAAAATGGTGAAACCCCGTCTCTACTAAAAATACAAAAATTAGCCGGGCCTGCTGGCAGATGCCTGTAATCCCAGCTGCTTGGGAGGCTGAGGCAGAGAATTGCTTGAACATGGGAGGTGGAGTTTGCAGTGAGCCGAAATTGTGCCACTGCACTCCAGCCTGGGCGACAGAACGAAACTCCTTCACAAAAAAAAAAAAAAAAAAAAAAAAAAAAATCATTGTTTTCTCCAGTAACCGGCTGGCCTTTCTCATCTTGTCAAAGCTATTTTTTTTTTTCACCTTAACAAGTTAACATAAGGCTCCCATTCAGTAGATCAGAATCTCCCAGTAGATCTAAAAGTTGCTTCCTGCTGGAGCAAACTTTCTCCTGTTCTTTATTTTTCCTTGAATCCTAAAGACAAGCTGAGCACAGTTCTCAGTGTTGTCCTGCCTCTGTTTCTAGAGAATGATGGCTGTGACCAATTCAGAGTCATGTCAGTCAACAGCACAAAGAGTACAAAAAGAATGCTTTTTGACATGAATATACTGTTCAATTCCAAGAAAAAAACCTCAAATGCCCATGAACTTTAGAAACCGAAGTTTAGGTCGGTTGCGAAAGGTATTTCTAAGTGACCCTCAAGGTTTATTTTTAAGTAATAAATTGCTTGTTTCAGAATCATGTTATTCTGAAACTGAGCAAGTACAGAAGCCATTGGGGAAATTGGTGAATTCACTAGATTTTGGCAGAGTACGTAGTTCTGTTGCAATCTTTACTTTTGCTGCATTAAACATCAGGAAACTACTTTGTATATGCTGAGCTCTTCTTCTGTTTGCCAAGAGAAAAGTTTCACAAGTAGAGCAGATGCATATCTATTAATTTATAGCCAAGAGGTTAAAAAACTTAGGGTCTGTTATGTCTAAAGCTCATGTTTTAAATGTGAGAGATAAGTTACCAGTTCCTATAAAATAGGGGCATATTTAGCATAGTCAATTTATTATTATTATTTTTTTCGAGATGGAGTTTCACTTTTGTTGCCCAGGCTGGAGTACAATAGCACGATCTCGGCTCACTGCAACCTCTGCTTCCTGGGTTCAAGCGATTCTCCTGTCTCAGCCTCCCGAGTAGCTGGGATTACAGGTGTGTGCCACCACACCTGGCTAATTTTTGTATTTTTAGTAGACATGGGGTTTCATCATATTGGTCAGGCTGGTCTCGAACTCCTGAGGAGGCCGAGGCAAGGACAGTCAATTTCTGATTATCATTTCTCCATGAATTCCCCACTTACTTCTTCCTATATTAGGTGATTAGAAATTTTGTTCAAAATATTTCTGGAACTCGATTTTTGTAAACAACTGTATTTGCTCTCTACATCCATTAGCCTTTTCTCACCATTTATGTTGCTTACTGGTAGGTATCCTCCAGTATCTATTCTTCCATCCTCCTCCTCTACCTGCTTTTCCTTCTCTTTCTTTTAGTATGACAAACCATGCATTTAGCTTGGCGTGTGGCCAATAGCCAGAGATTACATTCCCAGCCTCCTTTGAGGCTAGGTATGGCCAATGGGATGTGAGCAGAGGTGATGCAAGCATCTCCTGGTTCATGATCTTAGAGGGACTTCTAGACACTAAGGGTACCCAAAGATCTTGCAAGAGACTACAGAGAAAAAGAAGAAAGAAACAAAGGCCCATGAGTTGCAGGAAAGGGGCAAAAGTTTTAGAGACTTTCTTAGGAGAAGGCAAAGGATTTTACAGAGTCTTTTGATTTATATTTATAAACTTTGAAATATTCTTATATACTTTTATATAGTATTTCCTTGTATATAATTTTTTTTCTGAAAGAAATTACGTATAATTTTATTTTACATAATTAGACAACTATAGTATGGTGGGATAAGGTCTGTAACACAAGTATGAACCAACACTGCAAGAGCAGAGGAGGGGAGAGCAGCCCAGACTGGTGAGGCTAAGGAAAACTTTCTGGAGAAAAATTAGCTCAACTATGAAGAGTGAATAATCTTATCCAGGAGATGTCCCCATGCAATCAGTGAGGGGAAGGGCGCTCCAGGTAGAAGGGACAGTGTAGGGAAAGCCATGGCCACAGGAGAGAGGATGGAGAATTCTGGGAACTGCAAATGATGCATTATCATGAGGACATAGGGTAGGAGTAGGGGAGTAAAGGTGGTGGAGGACAGGGGAGAAGGCTTTGTATGCTATGCTAAGGTGTTTGAGTTTTATATGAAGTCTATGAAGATGGAGGGATTCTGAACAAGGAAGTGACATGATTGGATCTACATTTCAGAATGGCCATTTTCTGGCAGCATTGTGGAGAATGTACAGACAGGCCCAAAGGCTAGAAGAAGAATTTAAAGTATTATTTTGAAAATCATTCCTAAGGATAAAGTTGTAAGATATCTTCATGAAAAAAGGACTTTGTTGATTAGATTCACAAAAGAGAGAGCAAGATGGTTGTAATGATACGAGAGTCTGCTGCATTTTTTTTTCCCAGACAAGAGGGGAGCTTGATATCTTTCTGCTACATAATTATGAGAATCTACCCCTTTGAGATGCTACCTCTTTGAGATTCTTTCCCAAAGGGCCAACCCTTTTTCATTCTGTGTCATGGACTTCTTGATAAACTGCAATAAAGTTTCTCAATGTCTTTATCCTTTTAAGAAGTGAGGACTTCAATGTGACCTTATGCATGTGTCTCTCAAGGGTATTGGGAGGGGAGATGGGAAGGTTTTTACTGTCTATCTTAATTTACTGTTTGACATTATTGATGCTAGTTTATAAGCCCATACCCTAAGGTGTTAGTTAAACATTTAACGCCAAGATTATCTCCTATTCCTCCAAAAATGGATCAATTAGGTATCTTATTTTGGCTTGGAAATAAATGACGAGGTCACAACTCTGCATATAGTATGACAATTTGCTGAGTATGTTTCCATTAGCTAGAAAGACTTTGAGGGCATGAAGAGTAGGCACTTTTTGGACTAACACCTGGTGTTATGTGAGCAGTGGTGTTGCTCTAATTTATTGAATGTCACAATTCTGTAAGGGAACAAAGAACTCTGTTAGGCAGATATAACCTGGGACTATTGCCAAATTGCTTTCTGTGGTGGATATGAAAATCAATGAATAGGGTGGATGTGCAGCATAATCAATGGAAATGTGCTTGATGATGGTCACTGGTATGTAGCCCTCTTGCAGGTATATTCAGGGAAAATTCTACCTATGACATACTTGTAGAAGTACAAGGTGAGCCAACATTTTTGCTGTATGTTAGCTGGCATTAAGTAAGAAAACACCGCTGGATTTTTTGCAGAAAAAAGTCACTAGACTCAGAATTTTGGAAGATGGTTTTAGTCGTTTTCTGGATATCTGCACATAGGAGGAAGTCAGGTTGAATGATCACCCTACTGTTTGTCACACATCCAATCACAGGCTATCTTTATATGTGAATACAACCTAAGAATAACTCCACATCCCAAAATGGCTTTGTGGTCAGCAGAAGAGATGGGACCTTGGACATTTAGGTAGGATGATACTGTGACATTTAACAGAGGCATGTAAGCTAGACCCGAAGTCACAAGTTGGGAAACCTTAAAAACCATTAGACTGTAATCCTAGCACTTTGGGAGGCCGAGGCGGGCAGATCATGAGGTCAGGAGTTTGAGACCAGCCTCGCCAACATGGTGAAACCTTGTCTCTACTAAAAATACAAAAATTAGCTGGGCGTGGTGGTGGGCGCCTGTAATCCCAGCTGCTCAGGAGGCTGAGGCAGGAGAATAGTTTGAACCCCTGAGGCAGAATTGCAGTGAGCTGAGATCGCGCCATTGCACTCCAGCCTGGGCGACAGGGTGAGACTCCATCTCAAAAACAAAAACAAAAACAAACAAACAAACAAAAAACAAAACAAAACAAAAACCGTTAGAAAAGGGAAAGGGATAATCTATACTTGGAAAAGATCATAGTGCTTATCTGTTAAAACAAAAGGAGTCCTAACTGTTTTCCAGCCGAAAGAAGGGAGAGTATAACACTGAAGATTGCAAAGGGGTGGCAATATTTGTTCATGGCAGTAAAACATTAGAAGTCTTTTGTTTTAGTTGAGATTTTAACTGCATATGTGATATGAAGTTCTTCTAACGTGGCAGTTGCTTTCTTTTGTAGAGGCTTCCAGGTCCTCAGAGGTTCCTGGAAGAGCTCAGTGCCAGTCACAGGACCAAACATTGCAACCTGAGATGCAATCTCAGGGGTGACCCTCTTTAACTTCTGGTAGACCTCCCCCAGGGGTCTGTAGTATACTTCCCAGCTGTGACCGATTCCTATCAGTAGGTTTCCTGGTAAGTGGAGTAGGGTTGGGGAAGCAGGGGATAATGGAGAAAGAAAACTTTTCTTCAGCCTTGTATTTCTTTTAATATTCCTCTTTGATTGAGGTTGATTTTCTCATTTGGTTCAAGAAAGCATTAGCTGTGTCCTCATTTTGGGCATATAGAAAAATTTTCTTTTTACAACCTAGATTCTTCCTTTGAGTTCATGACTTCTCTCCCTCCTTCTAGCAACAATTTTGGGCAAAATGAGGTCAGCTTGGTTTATAGTTTTAGAAGGAATTGCTGATAAAGTGGCCCTTGGTAAGTCACCCCCTTCTTCCTGTCACGATAATGGTCTTGGCATCATGAGGGCTTCATCGCAGAGTTTTGCAGTGGTAACCGGCTGGAGAGAGGATAGAGACAGACAGGCATGCAATATGCACATACATATGAACACATGTAATTGAGGAATGAAAACATATATTAATAAATGTGCCAGTGGTTGGACTGGTGGATAGTTATATGTTAGGAAGTGGGTGACTTCTGACAAGTTTGAAATTTAGAGCAAAGCTTGGGGTCAGAGACAGTATCCCTGTAGCCAGGACAAGTGGGCTACTGGCTTGGCCCTGTGCTTCAGAAACTCTGGGCTTTGGATTCATGTTCTCCAGCTTTTCTAAGTGTCCCTCTGGTGCTTGGGAGAGCTGGAACTGGCAATGTACTTATGGGTGGGGTGATCCCAACTAGATCACTCCATTGCCCAGCAGGGTCTTTCTTTTTTAGAATGGTATGAAATTAGGCCACCAGAAGGGTGCTAACAGGCTGATTTTTGGGCGACTCAAGTTGTTTATATAAACAGGGATAGGCAAAAACCATTTACCCAAGCCGAGTGGCCCTGGCTGAAGACACAAATGTGGAAGTAGTTTGTTAATAAAAATCATAAATATAGATGAGATCATCCAGGAGTGAGTGTGGATAGAAAAGGAGCTCACACTTTGGGGGTTCTGGGGTTGGCATGTCTGTGTTCTTGACTTCCTCTGTTGCATGCTTTCAATTGAGATCCTCTCTAGTAGTGATGGGAGGTTCTGCTTTGTCTAGGAGGGATTTTCTTACACAGATGGGCTGCCAAACAAAAATGAGACCTTCATAGCAAATGCAGGCAGGCACAGAAGGCCATCTTCATGTGATTGCCTGGCCAGATGGCTTTTAAGTTTAATTATTTCCTCTCCTCATTTAATGTGGGTAGACTGAGCAAATATAAACCAGCTTATAGGTATAATTATTTAGATAAACCACACTAAGTTATTACTATTGAGAACAAGGGGAGAGGTTTTATAGGGGAAAGAATAGGACAACGAATGTGTATGACTTGGAGGGGGCAGAATGGGGGCTGATTTATTTGGCTTTTCTATTCATTTCTACTTATTTCGGTCTATTTTACTTACATGATTTCCTGGAGCCTGGATTTATTATCTGGATGGACCAAAAACAACTGAATATCTAACGCTTTACTTTTGGTTTTGTAGATATAGAACTGGCATTTTTATCTGAATATTTTTAAACATTAGCCAGTCTGCCATTCTTCCTTCAATTGTCTGGAAGTTTTAGTTTTGGATCAGAATTATCAACACTTGCTTGAATTCTTTCCTTGACTGCTTATATGAAGTAAACACCTTTCCATTTTCCTGGTTCCTAGCATAGGGACTTGCAAAAAAGGGACCTCAATTAGGGTTTACTGATGCTCTTACCACAGTTTGGTAAGAATTAAGCACAGAATAAGAATTGGAGAAGGACGATTTTCTACAATTTACATGTATGAAAGCCCAAAAGTTAAAACAATCATCCTTCCCAATGAACGCATAGCTGCTTGAATTAAATAGGTCAAAAATATTTTCTTTGAGGCAGTGGTTTTGTATGAGATGCAGCTAATTAGAACAATTTTGGCTTTCAATTCAGTGAAGTTGGTACTCTGGAATAATGCTCAAGGAGTTTCCATGTCAAACAAAGCATTTGCTCCTGATGAATTTACCCTTGGCTTCCTGTGCCTGTTGTACTCTAAGCTTTCCAAGATGACATCTTAGCACCAGCAGGACAGGGAGATTTACTGTATGTGAGTGAATCTATCCAGAGTTGTCTGGGAAACATTAATCACTCCAGGACATCCCTCACTGTCCACTAACGGGTCACACACAGAAAAGATCTAATGGGCCGCTCTGAATGGAAAGAAAAGCCACAGAAGAACATAATGTAGGTTTTTTATTTTTCCTGAGATAGGAGAGTAAAGGCAACTGCTGACAGTGTTCTGGGTGTGATCACAGGCAAAGAGGAGAGCTTGGTGTTCCAAAGTCCAAAGGATTATATCCTCAGACAAGGCTGATCGAAGGCAAGAGTGTAGGTGAAGGAGTGAACAAGGAAGAAGAAAAATGTTGTTGGGAGAATGGGACTGGGATGCAGTCAGGGTCAGATGCCACATATATTTAGACTCTAGATTTGCTGCTTCATGTGTATACAAGTTGAACTAAACACTCTTGATAGCTATAGGATGAGCCAGTTATTGACCTACTATGAGCTGTGGGCTCTGCCTGACTGGTCTTAGTGTAAGTGGGTGATGAGGTAACCAGGTGTCCATCAACCAGGCAGTGTGCCATATGATCCCCTGTAATTAAATGTATTCTTTAGTCATCTGTGTTGGTGCTGCCTTGTTGTTGTTGTTGGGGTGTGTGCGTGTATGTGTGTGTGCATGTACGTGTGTGTATTTGAGTTACCGGTCTGTGTGGAGCCTGTAGAAGCTTCATGCAGCATTAGGATACCCAACATCTAACGGCCTTGGAAGGAGGCTGTGTATCTACCAAGGGTGGGAGATGGGGTGGGGAAACAGTTTTCTTCATTTACAGTTTTGCCTAGGCTGGCTTTCACCATTGGAGGTCAGTGCTCCTGGGATGAGAAAGTCCTGAGGTAAATAAGCTTGTGCTATTAAAAGAAATTTCTTCCCAAGGGGATCTTTATTCATTTTTGGATTTTCCTCTTGTAATTCTCCAGCTGAATTCCTTTGAGTTGAGATATAAGGAAAAAAGAGGTAGGAAACATCCAAAAGTGAGCTTGGGGAACAGTAGTTTTGCAACTTATTAAAAAGAGGACTTCTGGGAATGTTGTTCTGCTGAAATAAACCCAACCCTGTTTGGCTTTACAGAAAACATGATCTTTTCTTGAACAGATACTCTCCCCTAGCAGTTTAGAAGACTATTAGCTTCCCTTTCTTTGCCCTTTTAACTGGGGGAAGGTTGTTAGGTTGTCTTTGAGTCCTGGTTACTCCTGCAAATCCTAATGGACCTTCCACATGGAAAATGCATAATTTCTGAGTGGGGATTTGGGAACATAGGCATCTTTTTCAGCCAAAGAATCACATCAAACCTGGCTCTGAGAAGCTTGAAATATAAAAATGAGGCCATATTCCTTCCCCCTTTCCTTACCCATTTCTTTTATGAGATGTATAGTCATATAGTCCTTTTCCCTAGGCAGGTGATGTGTTGGAGGGAAAGTTGATGGGCTGTTGTTTATGAGAGGTTTTGTCTGAATCCTGACCCCATCGCTTATTTTTGATGCAAAGTAGACACCAACCCCTCTCAGCATCTGTTTCCTCATCTGTAAAATAGGGATCATAATATCTGCTTAGTTGTGTTATTGTGTGGATTAAATGAGAGAGCGAGAGAGAGAGAGACAGAGAGAGAGAGAGAGAAAGACAGAGACAGAGAGAGAAGAGAGACTGGATAGAGAAGGGCTAGGAATATGGACTCTGGAATCAAACTGCCCAACATCTAGTCCTGACTCGACCACTTGCTAGCTGAGGATCTCAGCCAAGTCACTTAATCCTTCTTTGTCTCCCTTTCTCATTTGTAAAATGGTGATACTAGTATCTTCCTCACACGTTGTTGTAAGGAATAAATGTCATAATATATACAGAGTGCTTAGAAGCCTGGCACATAATAAGGGTTGGCTGTTGTTATCGAAATGGTGTTCACATAGGAACACGTGAGCAGTTCAGGAGGTGTTGCTCAGCTCCTGTGTTGGTGATCTGTATAGGATGGTGTTCAGTACAGGATGGCTGTTAGAATTATTATTAAACCGATAGGTTTGACTTTTCTTGCTCATTTGAGTAACAATAGCCGTTTCACAAAGACCCTCTTTTGCTCAGAATTTCCACCAGGATCAGTCATGGATTTTCTTCATCCTTTGCTCCAGATTACTGTATCTTGTGTGTGTATGACCTCATCTCTCCTGCCTCTGATTAGGAGTGGCCTCTGCCTTCCTTTCCAGGATCATATCGCAACTGTTCTCAGCGTCCCATTTCTAAGTGTGTAGGCAATGAACCCCGCTAGCTTATGAAGCCGCGTGTTATTGAAACATGTTGCTCACACTTCTGTCCCTTGCTTTCTTCATCCCTCCTTCCCTCTAAGCCCTATTTGTCCCCTTATGTTTTATGATGCCTCTGTCTAATAAGGGAACTTGAAAGGCAGCCCCTCTGGTATTTCCAGAGCTCTATTTTGCAGGTAAAAGGCAAAGATTACTTTCTACTGCACAATTAGAAGGAAGCCAGCACATAAAATCGTCCATTCATTGATTCTAGCTGATTTGTGGTCCTTATGCACCAGCCACATATTTCAGTACTTTAAACTGCCACTTCTTCAACACTCTATTCCCTTGGCTATGTTACCTTTAGTTTATTAGGAACCGTGTAGGAGGTTAGTGAGAGGCAGTGGAGCCACTGTTCCTGGAGTAAACACCACCCAGGAGTGTAAAGGTCCATTTTACAAAGGCAGGGGGAGGGCTCACACTTTACTCTCTTCCAAACAGACTCTAGCAACTCCAGCCATTCAGAAAGAAGACCTGGATGCAGGGAGATAATGTAGAAGATAGAACTGGGGAAAATTCACCTTGCAAATTATGACAAAGGAGTCTTTCCATTTCCTTGGTCTGCTTTGGAAAACAATGAAGCAGACAGTCAAGAAAGAAAATGTTCGTGTTGAGAAAATGAAAACACCTTACATTTGTGAAGGACAGAAGGTTACTTATTGGGGGCTTAGGCAAATCACTTAATCTCTTTGAACTTTATTTTCCATCTGATAAAATGAGAATAATATTGGCTGAGCTCACTGAGAATTAAAAATACGTATACGTATATATATACTTTACAAACTATGAAGTTCCATTTAAATGTAAGAAACTATGTTTTTCTTTCTTTTTTCTTTTTCTTTTTCTTTTTTTTTTTTGAGAGGGAGTCTCGCTTTTCTGCCTAGGCTGGAGTGCAGTGGCGCGATCTCAGCTCAGTGCAACCTCTGCCTCCTGGGTAGGTGTCTCAGTCTCCCGAGTAGCTGGGGTTACAGGTGCGTGCCATCACGCCTGGCTAATTTTCTGTATCTTTAGTAGAGACGGGGTTTCACCATGTTGGCCAGGCTGTTCTCGAACTCCTGACCTCGTGATCCGCCCACCTCGGCCTCCCAAAATGCTGGGATTGCAGGCGTGAGCCACTGCGCCTGGCTGAAACTATGTTTTTCAAGGTGCTTTCCAATATTTAATGTGTTTTGCTTTCTCTCATTTGTTAATTTAACAAATGTGCCAAGGACTCTGCAGGATGCTAGGGACACTGATCTGGCCTTGCAAGAGCTCATGGCCTGAAGTGTGGATGTGTGTATCAGTTGGGTGGGCTGTCTGTGGGGTTACAGACACATACAGAAGCACTTAAATACTTGGGAAATGCAGAGTATTATGCTTCTCACAATTATCCTATTTTACAGGTGAGAAAATGTTGAGGCGCTACAGACTGGACCTCAATTTGAGTAGATTTCTTGGCTATTAGTGTGGTCTTTACTATCTCATGTTTCCTCTTGAGTTTGGGCTGTAGTGAAGACCCAGGAGGACAGTGGCTGCCTGGCTATAGGTCTAGGTTGGGGGTGGGTGGTGGGGATGGAGTCCTTCTCCCATAAGTATCTCCAGAAGAGCTTTCTAGTGTGTTTCAAAAGGAAAACAGCCAGAAAGTCTTCAGCAACATAATCTCCAGAGAGCACTCCCAGTTGTACTAGTCTCTGAAAACATACTAAAATCGGCCTCTGTCTCCAGGTGTAGTAACTCTGTAACCAGGTTGTTCTGAAGGGGCTGGGAGAAATGCCTCTTCAGGTGTCTCAAAACAAGTAGATTCTCTAGGGATGCAGAGCTGGACTCCAAGTTGTGGCCAAGTTGGTTTCTAGGGAGTTAAAACTCACCTATACAGTTATTTTTATGTAGTTATGTGTGTGTGTGTGTGTGTGTGTGTGTGTGTGTGCGCGCGTGTGTGTGTGTGTTACAGTTTTCTCACCTGTAAAATTGACTTAGTAATTATCTGCTTCAAACTCTCATTATCTCATCCTGAAAACTAATTTTTAAAAAAGCCATTTATTTATATGTCCATAATAGCACTCCTTACTTAAAAAATTTCATTATCACCATAATAAACATGAGAAATTATGAGACCAACTTATACTGCTCCTTTATTGTTTGATAACATCACAAATAATAACTTTGTGAACATAAAGGAAAAACAAAATAAAGCATGAGATCAACTCAAAATTGCAACCTGCATCTTTGCTCATTCCAGAGAAAATTACACTAACTTTATCAATACAGTCATGCATTGCTTAATGATGAGGCTACATTTTGAGAAATGCATCCCTAGGAGATTTCATCCTTGTGCAAACATCATGGAGTGTACTTCACAGATCTAGATGGTGTAGCCCACTGTACGTCTAAGCTATATGGTATAGCTGATTGCTCCTAGGCTACAAGCCTGTACAACATGTTACTATACTGACTATTGTAGGCCATTGTAACACAATGATAAGCATTTGTGTGTCTAAACATTTCTAAACAAAAAAGATACAGTAAAAATATGGTATTATAATCTTACAGGACCACTGTCATATATTTGGTCCATTGTTGAGCAAAACATTATGCAGCATGTGACTGTAGTTTTAAATAGCAATGTAGATGAAAGTCTTGTGTTTTGGGCCTGAGTTGGGACTGGAATGCTGTGAGTCCTGAGTAAACGTAGTCTTCAAGTTTGCAAATGATACTTAATATTTGTTAATAATAAAATGCCAAGAGGGGATTAAATGGTAGATCTTTTGTGTACTATGTGCTAGGACTTCTATCCTTGCATCCTTCTAATGTTGATACTGGAACCTATTTAGGCCCCATCTCAGACTCAGCTGAGTCTTAGAGAGTAATCATTGTCTTTTGCAAAGGGGTTTGGGAGGACTATGGGCAGTAACTCCTGAGATCAGCATCAATGTAGGCTTGAAGCTATTGCTGGTGTCACCTTAGTGCCAGTGCCCATTACTTTTGTTGATTTTTTGGCTCCATTTCTGTATTACAAGGGGCTGGAAGCCTGTGAACTACATTTATTTTATTTATTTATTTTTTAAATTATACTTTAAGTTCTATGCTACATGTGCACAACATGCAGGTTTGTTACATAGGTATACACGTGCCATGTTGGTTTGCTGCACCCATCAACTCATCATTTACATTAGGTAGTTCTCCTAATGCTATCCCTCCCCCAGCCCCGACCCCCTGACAGGCCCTGGTGTGTGATGTTCCCACCCTGTGTCCATGTGTTATCATTATTCACCTCCCACTTATGAGTGAGAACATGCAGTGTTTGGTTTTCTGTCCTTGTGATAGTTTGCTAAGAATGGTGGTTTCCAGCTTCATCCATATCCCTGCAAAGGACATGAACACATCCTTTTTGATGGCTGCATGGTATTCAATGGTGTATATGTGCCACATTTTCTTAATCCAGTCTATCATTGATGGACATTTAGGTTGGTTCCAAGTCTTTGCTATTGCAAATAGTGCTGCAATAAACATATGTGTGCATGTGAAATTTATAGTAGCATGATTTATAATCCTCTTGGTATATACCCACTAATGGAATGGCTGGGTCAAATGGTATTTGTAGTTCTAGATCCTTGAGGAATCACCACACTGTCTTCCACAATGGTTGAACTAATTTACAATCCCCCCAACAGTGTAAAAGTGATCCTATTTCTCCACATCCTCTCCAGCATCTGTTGTTTCCTGACTTTTTAAAGATTGCCATTTTAACTGGTGTGAGATGGTATCTCATTGTGGTTTTGATTTGCATTTCTCTGATGACCAGTGATGATGAGCATTTTTCCATATGTCTGTTGGCTGCATAAATATCTTCTTTTGAGAAGGGTCTGTTCGTATTGTTTGCCCACTTTTTGATGGGGTTGTTTGTTTTTTTCTTGTAAATTTGTTTAAGTTCTTTGTTGATTCTGGATATTAGCCCTTTGTCAGATGGGTAGATCACAAAAATTTTCTCCCATTCTGTAGGTTGCCTGTTCACTCTGATGGTAGTTTCTTTTGCTGTGCAGAAGCTCTTTAGTTTAATTAGATCCCATTCGTTAATGTTGGCTTTCGTTGCCATTGCTTTTGGTGTTTTAGTCATGAAGTCTTTGCCCATGCCTATGTCCTGAATGGTATTGCCTAGGTTTTCTTCTAGAGTTTTTATGCTTTTAGGTCTTACGTTTAAGTCTTTAATCCATCTTGAGTTAATTTTTGTATAAGGTGTAAGGAAGGGATCCAGTTGTAGCTTTCTACGTATGGCTAGCCAGTTTTCCCAGCACCATTTATTAAATAGGGAATCCTTTCCCCATTTCTTGTTTTTGTCAGGTTTGTCAAAGATCAGCTGGTTGTAGATGTGTGGTATTATTTCTGAGGTCTCTGTTCTGTTCTATTGACCTATATATCTGTTTTGGTACCAGTACCATGCTGTTTTGGTTACTGTAGCTTTGTAGTATAGTTTGAAGCCAGGTAGCATGATGCCTCCAGCTTTGTTCTTTTGGCTTAGGATTGTCTTGGTGATGCAGGCTCCTTTTTGGTTCCATATGAACTTTAAAGTAGTTTTTTCCAATTCTGTGAAGAAAGTCATTGGTAGCTTGATGGGGATGGCATTGAATCTATAAATTACCTTGGGCAGTATGGCCATTTTCACACTATTGATTCTTCCTATCCATGAGCATGGAATGTTCTTCCATTTGTTTGTGTCCTCTTTTATTTCGTTGAGCAGTGGTTTGTAGTTCTCCTTGAAGAGATCCTTCACATTCCTTGTAAGTTGGATTCCTAGGGATTTTATTCTCTTTGAAGCAATTGTGAATGGGAGTTCACTCATGATTTGGCTCTCTGTTTGTCTGTTATTCGTGTTTAGGAATGCTTGTGATTTTTACACATTGATTTTGTATCCTGAGACTTTGCTGAAGTTGCTTATCAGCTTAAGGAGATTTTGGGCTGAGATGATGGGGTTTTCTAAATATACAATCATGTCATCTGCAAACAGGGACAACTTGACTTCCTCTTTCCCTAATTGAATACCCTTTATTTCTTTCTCCTGCCTAATTGCCCTGGCCAGAACTTCCAACACTATGTTGAATAGGAGTGGTGAGAGAGGGCATCCCTGTCTTGTGCCAGTTTTCAAAGGGAATGCTTCCAGTTTTTGCCCATTCAGTATGATATTGGCTGTGGGTTTGTCATAAATAGCTTTTATTATTTTTAGATACGTCTCATCAATACCTAACTTATTGAGAGTTTTTAGCATGAAGGGCTGTTGAATTTTGTCAAAGGCCTTTTCTGCATCTATTGAGATAATCATGTGGTTTTTGTCTTTGGTTCTGTTTATATGCTGGCTTATGTTTATTGATTTGCATATGTCGAACCAGCCTTGCATCCCAGGGATGAAGCCCACTTGATCATGGTGGATAAGCTTTATGATGTGCTGCTGGATTCGGTTTGCCAGCATTTTACTGAAGATTTTTGCAGCGATGTTCATCAGGGACATTTGTCTAAAATTCTCTTTTTTTGTTGTGTCTCCATCAGGCTTTGGTATCAGGATGATGCTGACCTCATAAAATGAGTTAGGGAGGATTCCCTCTTTTTCTATTGATTGGAATAGTTTCAGAAGGAATGGTACCAGCTCCTCCTTGTACCTCTGGTAGAATTCAGCTGTCAATCTGTCTGGTCGTGGACTTTTTTTGGTTGGTAGGCTATTAATTATTGCCTCAATTTCAGTGCCTGTTATTGGCCTATTTGGAGATTCAACTTCTTCCTGGTTTAGTCTTGGGAGGGTGTATGTGTCCAGGAATTTATCCATTTCTTCTAGATTTTCTAGTTTATTTGTGCAGAGGTGTTCATAGTATTCCCTGAAGGTAGTTTGTATTTCTGTGGGATTAGTGGTGATATCCCCTTTATCATTTTTTATTGCATCTATTTGATTCTTTTCTCTTTTCTTCTTTATTAGTCTTGCTAGCAGTCTATCAATTTTGTTGATCTTTTCAAAAAACCAGCTCCTGGATTCATTGATTTTTTGAAGGGTTTTTTGTGTCTCTGTCTCCTTCAGTTCTGCTCTGATCTTAGCTATTTCTTGCCTTCTGCTAGCTTTTGAATGTGTTTGCTCTTGCTTCTCTAGTTCTTTTCATTGTGATGTTAGGGTGTCAATTTTAGATCTTTCCTGCTTTCTCTTGTGGGCATTTAGTGCTATAAATTTCCCTCTACACACTGCTTTAAATGTGTCCCAGAGATTCTGGTATGTTGTGTCTTTGTTCTCATTGGTTTCAAAGAACATCTTTATTTCTGCCTTCATTTGGTTATGTACCCAGTAGTCTTTCAGGAGCAGGTTGTTCAGTTTCCATGTAGTTGAGCGGTTTTGAGTGAGTTTTTTTTTTTTTTTTTTTTTTTTTGAGACGGAGTCTTGCTCTGTCGCCCAGGCTGGAGTGCAGTGGCGCGATCTCGGCTCACTGCAAGCTCCGCCTCCCGGGTTCACGCCATTCTCCTGCCTCAGCCTCCCGAGTAGCTGGGACTACAGGCGCCCGCTACCACGCCTGGCTAATTTTTTGTATTTTTAGTAGAGACGGGGTTTCACCGTGTTAGCCAGGATGGTCTCGATCTCCTGACCTCGTGATCCGCCCGCCTCGGCCTCCCAAAGTGCTGGGATTACAGGCGTGAGCCACCGTGCCCAGCCTTGAGTGAGTTTCTTAATCCTGAGTTCTAGTTTGATTGTACTGTGGTCTGAGAGACAGTTTGTTGTAATTTCTGTTGTTTTACATTTGCTGAGGAGTGCTTTGCTTCCAACTATGTGGTCAATTTTGTAATAAGTGCAACATGGTGCTGAGAAGAATGTATATGCTGTTGATTTGGGGTGGAGAGTTCTGTAGATGTCTATTAGGTCTGCTTGGTGCAGAGCTGAGTGCAATTCCTGGATATCCTTTTTAATCTTCTGTCTCATTGATCTGTCTAATATTGACAGTAGGGTGTTAAAGTCTCCCATTATTGTAGTGGGAGTCTAAGTCTCTTTGTAGGTCTCTAAGGACTTGCTTTATGAATCTGGGTGCTCCTGTATTGGTTGCATATATATTTAGGATAGTTAGCTCTTCTTGTTGAATTGATCCCTTTACCATTATGTAATCTCTTTTGATCTTTGTTGGTTTAAAGTCTGTTTTATCAGAGACTAGGATTGCAACCCCACTATTTTCGTTTTCCATTTGTTTGGTAGATCTTCCTCCATCCCTTTATTTTGAGCCTATGTGTGTCTCTGCACGTGAGATGCGTTTCCTGAATACAGCATACTGATGTGTCTTGACTCTTTATCCAATTTGCCAGTCTGTGTCTTTTAATTGGAGCATTTAGCCCATTTACATTTAAGGTTAATATTGTTATGTGTGAATTTGATCCTGTTATTATGATGTTAGCTGGTTATTTTGCCTGTTAGTTGATGCAGTTCCTTCCTAGCATCGATGGCCTTTATAATTTGGCTTGTTTTTGGGTGGCTAGTACCAGTTGTTCCTTTCCATGTTTAGTGCTTCCTTCAGGGGCTCTTGTAGGGCAGGCCTGGTGGTGACAAAATCTCTCAGCATTTACTTGTCTGTAATGGATTTTATTTCTCCTTCACTTATGAAGCTTATTTTGGCTGGATATGAAATTCTAAGTTGAAAATTCTTTTCTTTAAGGATGTTGAATATTGGCCCCCACTGTCTTCTGGCTTGTAGAGTTTCTGTGGAGAGATCAGCTGTTAGTCTGATGGGCTTCCCTTTGTGGGTAACCCGACCTTTCTCTCTGGCTGTCCTTAACATTTTTTCCTTCATTTCAACTTTGGTGAATCTGACAATTATGTGTCTTGGAGTTGCTCTTCTCGAGGAATATCTTTGTGGCATTCTCTGTATTTCCTGAATTTGAATGTTGGCCTGCCTTGCTAGGTTGGAGAAGTATTCCTGGATAATATCCCGCAGAGTGTTTTCCAACTTGGTTCCATTCTCCCCGTCACTTTCAGGTACACCAATCAGACGTAGATTTGGTCTTTTCACATAGTCCCACATTTCTTGGAGGCTTTGTTCATTTCTTTTTACTCTTTTTTCTCTAAACTTCTCTTCTTGCTTCATTTCATTCATTTGATCTTCAATCACTGATACCCTTTCTTCTAGTTGATCGAATCGGCTACTGAAGCTTGTGCATTCCTCATGTAGTTCTCGTGCCATGGTTTTCAGCTCCATCAGGTCATTTAAGGACTTCTCTACATTGGTTATTCTAGTTAGCCATTTGTCTAATCTTTCTTCAAGGTTTTTAGCTTCTTTGTGTTGGGTTTGAACTTCTTCCTTTAGCTCGGAGAAGTTTGATCATCTGAAGCCTTCTTCTCTCAACTTATCAAAGTCATTCTCCGTCCAGCTTTGTTCCGTTGCTGGTGAGGAACTGTGTTCCTTTGGAAGGGGAGAGGCACTCTGATTTTTAGGATTTTCAGCTTTTCTGCTCTGTTTTTTCCCCATGTTTGTGGTTTTATCTACCTTTGGTCTTTGATGGTGGTGATGTACAGATGGAGTTTTGGTGTGGATGTCCTTTCTGTTTGTTAGTTTTCCTTCTAACAGTCAGGACCCTCAGCTGCAGGTCTGTTGGAGTTTGCTGTAGGTCCACCCCAGACCCTGTTTGCCTGGGTATCAGCAGCGGAAGCTGCAGAACAGCGAATATTGCTGAACAGCAAATGTTGCTGCCTGATTGTTCCTCTGGAAGTTTCGTCTCAGAGGGGTACCCAGCCGTGTGAGTGTCAGTCTGCCCCTACTGGGGGGTGCCTCCCAGTTAGGCTACTCGGGGGTCAGGGACCCACTTGAGGAGGCAGTCTGTCTGTTCTCAGATCTCAAACTCCGTACTGGGAGAACCACTACTCTCTTGAATGCTGTCAGACAGGGACATTTAAGTCTGCAGCGGTTTCTGCTGCCTTTTATTCGGCTATGCCCTGCCCCCAGAGGTGGAGTCTACAGAGGCAGGCAGGCGTCCTTGAGCTGTGGTGGGCTCCACCCAGTTTGAGGTTTCTGGTCACTTTGTTTACCTACTCAAGCCTCAGCAATGGTGGGCACCCCTCCCATAGCCTCACTGCCACCCTGCAGTTGGATCTCAGACTGCTGTGCTAGCAATGAGTGGGACCCTCCGAGCCAGGTGTGGGATATAATCTCCTCATGTGCCATTTGCTAAGACTGTTGGAAAAGTGCAGTATTAGGGTGGGAGTGACCCCATTTTCCAGGTGCCATTTGTCACAGATTTCCTTGGCTAGGAAAGGGAATTCCCTGACCCCTTGGGCTTCCCGGGTGAGGTGATGCCTCACCCTGCTTCGGCTCATGCTCGGTGGGCTGTACCCACTGTCCTGCATCCACTGTCTGACAAGCCCCAGTGAGAGGAACCCAGTACCTCAGTTGGAAATGCAGAAATCACCCATCTTCTGCGTCACTCACGCTGGGAGCTGTAGACTGGAGCTGTTCCTATTCAGCTATGTTGGAACCGCCACTCTCACATATTATTTTAAACATAATTTTAAATGAAGGTATAACTGACCACTGAGATTTTTCCAACGATGCTTATTTTTTTTAAAAAGATTCCCTTCTTATTGAACATTTAGTTTTTATACAGTATCCATCATTATTATTAATATTGTAATAAACTTCTTTGGCTATAAAGATGTTTCCATATTTTAAATTTTGGTCTTAATGAGGCTTCATAGATGTGAATTACTGGCTAGAACATAGAAAATTATAATCCAAGAAATGGCACTTGGAGAATGGAATGTGATTCATTCCTTTAAGTTTGCCCAACGTGAGGCTATGGTAAAAATTCTGAAGCCAGATCGCCTGTGTGCACATTTGGCACATGTGGCTCTACCCCTCCCTTGTGACCTGGATTAAGTTACTCATTTCTGTGAACCTCAGTTTCCTTATCTGTAAAACTTTTGTAAGTTGTCCTGAGGTTTAAATAAGCTAATATCTATAAAGTGCTTACAGTCATGTCTGGCACATAGTAAACAGTATATAATATTATTCAATGTTATTTTATTAATATAAAACTGAAGCTATAAACAAGAAGTTGAGCTGAGATTCTGGAAGCTTTGACCAAGCTGACAAAAAAAGTGGATTGGAGGCTTTTAATGTGCTTCAGCCACTTAAAAATAGCAAGATAGTGCATAAAGATCAACTCTGTGAGCTTTAATTCAAGAAGGAAAATGGGAATCCACCAGAATTGTAAAGGACACCCAGATCCTTGGGAATACTGGTAAACAGCCCTTGTGATGGCATCTGGCTGATAAAAGTGACTGAAACGCCAGCATGTGAGAGAGGCAGTGAGCCTCCCTCTGTGACTCACCTTTCCACTGGGGACCCAAGCAACCCAGGTAGAGGGAGGGCATCTTGTTTCTCCAAAGCCCTGGAGCTAATATGGTGAGTGCCTTGGAGATGCTGTGAGGGAAAGACGTAGGGAAAAGTTGCAGACACTAACCCCAGACCTGGGACTGACCGCAGGATGTCATTTTGAATTTAGGCATATACAAAGTCAGCCATTCTTTGGTGACCTAGCAGCATAGCTGCTTGGCATTTTAGTCTTGGGCCAGAGACTAGAGTGCCTTCTCTGGCAGGATAAGGGCCTTCATAGCCAGAACTGTGAAAAGCACCTCAGTAGTAGGCTGTGGGATGGTGCTCTCCTCCATCGCAGGCCAGGGATAGAAGGAGAGCTGCTATGGCTGAAGTTTCTCCTCGGTGATGAGATTTGCAGGCAGGGCCAGATTGGCAACCTGGAACCTGTCTGCATGTGCCATTGCTGGTTGTCCCAGTCTGCTCCCTTGAGATCGAGGTGCAGTGGGGCTCTCTCTGCTCCACCCCCAGGCAGAAATGTAGGCATTTGGAATGCTCAGTTGCCTGGAACAGCATGAGCCACCCCACCCTTCATGGACATAGACCCTAGTACAGTGAGGCACTCTCTGCTCCACACCCAGGCAGATCTCCAGGCATTCAGAGCACCTACTCATCTGGATCAGCAGCTTGGCCCACTCCACACTTCCTGTGCAAAGGTCCTAGTGCAGGGAGGCCCTCTCTGCTCCATGCCCATGTAGATCTCCAGGCATTTGGAGCGCCTGCTCTCTTCAATCAGCAGCCTGAACTGCCTCACCTTTCCTGTGCAGAGATCCTGGTGTAGGGCAGGGGGACCTTTCTGCTACATGCCCAGGCAGATCTCCAAGCATTCAGAGCACCTGCTTGCCTGGTTCAGGCTTGGGTCATCCCACACCTCCTGTGAAGAGATGTTGGTGCAGAGGGTCCCTCTCTGTTGCATGCCCAGGCAGATCTCTAAGCACTTGCAGTACCCACTGCCCTAGATTTTAGGAGTTTAGGCTGCTCCCATCCCCATGTAGAGATCTTGAGGCCAGTGGAGTTTCCCAGTTCCACGCCTAGGCACAGTACTGGGAGCTTGGTGGCTGGCACTGGATTCTCCCTTGGTGCTGGTGCTTGTGTCTGCCCTTTCTGGATCTGTAGGCGAACCTGTCTGGTTCTGCCCTACCTGTCATGGTCTCCGTTCCCCCAGGGCTGAGCAGGGAGCTCAGATCACTGTCTACTCCATGGATCAGCCCATTGCCTGAGACAACGAAGAGCTTCTGCCCGTAAACAAGGATCAATTATATACCCAGCTGCATTGGCCATAGTCCACTCTTAGCTGTAAGCACCATCTACTGGCTTGTAGGTCAGACTGCACAGCCCAATATAAAACCTGGCGAAAGAAGTGCACAGAGCTATAGAAGCAAAGCCAAAAGATCCTACACAGCATTCTCTACAGTTCCGCTCCCTACAGAGGGAGGGAAAGGGAAAAAAATATAGAGAAAGAAAAAAAGGAAAAGTCTTACCTGCATGAAAATGATTATGAAAATTAGAAGGGCAAGTATCTTCAGATGAGAAGGAACAGTGCAAGAATTCTGACACCATGAAAAATCTGAATGTAGTGACATCACCAAAGGATTGCACTAGCTCTCCAGCAATGGTCCCTAACCAAAATGGAAACTCAGAAATAACAGATAAAGAATCTAAATCATGGATTGGAAGGGAGCTCAATGAGATCCAAGATAAGGTTGAAAATCAACAGAAAAAAACTTCTAAAGGAAGAGATAAACATCTTAACAAGAAATCAATTAGAGCTTCTGGAATTAAAATACTCACTTAAAGAATTTCATAATACAGTTGAAAATTTTGATAGACTGGACCAAGCAGAAGAAAGAATTTTGGAACTTGAAGACTGGTCCTTTGCACCAACTCAGTCAGATAAAATTAAAGAAAAAATATTTTTAAAAAGTGATGTAAGTCTTTGAGAAATATGGGATTTTGTAAAGTGACCAAACATACAAACTGTTGGCATTCCTGAGAGAAAAATACGCTTAAATACATAGTTCACAGACCCTATAAAGCAACCACATAATAGAAACTACAAAGCAACCAGCTAATAACTTCATGATAGGATCAAAATCGCACATATCAATATTAACCTTGAATGTAAATGGTCTAAATAACCCACTTAAAAGGCAGAGTGGCAAGTTGAATAAAAAAACAAGACCCATCTATCTGCTGTCTCCAAGAGACTCATCTCACACATAATGACACCCATAGGCTCAAAATCAAGGGCTGAAGAATGACCTACCACACAAATGAAAAACAAAAAAGAGCAGAGGCCACGATTTTTATATCGGATAAAAGAGTCTTTAAACCAATAACAGTAAAAAAAGGACAAACAAGGGTATTATATAATAATAAGGGTTCCTAAATATATATGCATCCAAAGTTGGAGTACCCAGATTCATAAAACAAGTACTTCTAGAACTGCAAAAAGACTTAGACAGCCACACAATCATAGTGGGGGACTTTAACACCCCACTGACAGCATTAGACACATTATCAAGGCAGAAGGCTAACAAAGAAATTCTGGACTTAAACTTGACACTTGACCAGTTGGACCTAACAGACATCTACATAATGTAGATGTTGATGTGCTGTTGGGTTTGGTTTGCTAGTATTTTGATTGTCCACCCATCAACCACAAAATATACATTTTTCTCATCTGCACTTGGAATATACTCTCAGATGAAACACATGGTTGGTCATAAAGCAAGCCTAAATATATTTTCAAAAAAACTGAAATCATGCCACCATACTCTCAGACCATAGTGGAATAAAAACAGAAATCAATACCAAGAAGATCTCTCAAAACCACACAATTACATGAAAATTAAACAACTTGCTCTGAATAACTTTTGGGTAAACAATTAAATTAAGGCAGATATACAAATTCTTTGAAATAAATGAAAACAGAGACACAGCATACCAAAATCTCTGGGATGCAACAAAAGCAATGCTAAGAGGAAAGTTCATAACACTTAAACGTCTACCTTAAAAAGTTAGAAAGATCTCAGATTAATAATCTAATATCACACCTAGAAGAACTGGAAAAATAAGAACAAACCCAACCCAACTCTAGCAGAAGAAAAGAAATAACTAAAATCAGAGTGATACAAAGCATCAGTGAACCCAAAAGATGATTCTTGCACAGCATAAACAGGATCAATAGAATACTAGCTAGGTTAACAAAGAAAAAAGAGAGACGATCCAAATAAGCACAATCAGAAATGACAAAGGTGACATTACAACCGATTCCACAGAAATACAAAAGATCCTCAGAGACTATTATGAACATCTCTGTGTATACAAACTAGAAAATCTAGAGGAAATAGATAAATTCCTGGAAACATACAATCTCTCAATATTGAATCAGGTAGAATATGAAACCCTGAACAGCAATATTGAGTTCTGAAATTGAATCCATAATAAAAAACCTACCAACCAAAAAAACTCTAGACTAGATGGAATCACAGATGAATTCTTCCAGATGTACAAAGGAGAGCTGGTACCATTCCTACTGAAACTATTCCCAAAAATCTAGGACCCCTCCCTAATGCATTCTATGAAGCCAGCATCACTCTGATATCCAAACCTGGCAAAGAGTCAACAACAACAAAAAAAGAAAACTATAGGCCAATATCCCTAATGAACTTAGACACAAAGATCCTCCACAACATACTAGGAAATCAATTCCAACAGCACATCAAAAAGTTAATTCACCATGATCAAGTAGGCTTCATTCCTGGGATGTAAGATTCGTTCAACACAGACAAATCAACAAATGTGATTCACTACATAAAAAAAATTAAAAATAAAAACTATATGATCATCTCAATGGATGTGAAAACATCCCTTCATGAGAAAAACCCTGAAGAAACTGGGCATCAAAGGAACATACCTCAAAATAATAAAAGCCATCTATGACAAACCCAGAGCCAGCATCATACTGAACAGGCAAAAATTGGAAGCATTCTCCTTGAGAACTGGAACAAGACAAGAATGCCCACTCTCACCACTCCTATTCAACATAGTATTGAAAGTGCTATCCAGATAAATAAGATAAGAGAAATAAAGAAAAGTCATGCAAATGGGAAAAGAAGAAGTCAAACTATCTGTCTTCATGGACAATATGACTCTATACCTAGAAGACCCTAAAGACTCCCTCAAAAGGCTCCTGGAACTGATAAACGACATCAGTAAAGTTTCAGGATACAAAATCAATCTACAAAAATTAGTAGCATTTCTATACACCAATATCATTCAAACTGAGGGTCAAATCAAGAATGCAATCCCATTTAAAATAGCCACAAAACAAAATACTTAGGAGCACAGCTAACCAGGGAGGTGAAAGATCTCTACAAGGATAACTACAAAACACTGCCAAAAGAAATAATAGATGACACAAAGGGAAAAACATTCTACACTCATGGATTGGAATAATCAATATTGTTAAAATGGCCATACTGCCCAAAGCAATCTACAGATTCACTGCTGTCTTATTCCTATCAAACTACCAATGTCATTTTTCACAGGACCTGAAAAAACTATTCTAAAATTCATATGAAACCAAAGAAGAGCCCAAATAACCAAAGCAACGCTAATCAAAAAGAACAAAGCCCGAGGCATCACATTACTCAATGCCAAACTATACTATAAGGCTACAGTAATTAAAACAGCATGGTAGTGGTACAAAAACAGACACAGACCAATGGAACAGAGTAGAGAACCCAGAAATAAAGCTGCATACCTATAGCTATTTGATCTTTGATAAAGTTAACAAAAATATGTAGTGGAGAAAGGACTCCCTATTTAATAAATGGTACTGAAATAGCTGCTTAGCCATATGTAAAAGAATGAAACAAGAATACTACCTTTCACCATATACACAAATTAACTGAAGATGAATTAAAGATATAAATGTAAGACCTCAATCCATAAGTATTCTAGAAGAAAATCTAGGAAACACCATTCTGGACATTGGATTTGGGAACAAATTTATGACTAAGTCCTGAAAAGCAATTGCAACAAAAGCAAAAACTGTCAATTGGGAGATAATTAAATGAGAGAGCCTCTGCACAGCAAAAGAAACTATCAACAGTGTGTAAACAGACAACCTATGGAATGGGAGAAAATGTCACAAACTATGCATCCAACAAATATCTAATAACCAGAACGTATAAGTAAGTTAAACAATTACGCAAAAAACAACCCCATTAAAAAATGGGCAAAAGTCGTGGACACTTCTCAAATAGAAGACATACAAGCAGCCAACAAATAAATGAAAAAATACTCCACATCACGAATCATCAGAGAAATGCAAATCAAAGTCACAATGATATATAAACTCACACCAGTCAGAATGGCTATTATTAAAAAGTTAGAAAACAGGCTGGGCGTGGTGGCTCATGCTTATAATCACAGCACTTTGGAAGGCCCAGGTGGGTGGATCACCTGAGGTCAGGAGTTTGAGACCAGCCTGGCCAACATGGCAAAACCCCATCTCTACAGGAAAATACAAAAATCAGCTGGATGATATGGTTTGGCCGTGTGTCGCCACTCAAATCTCATCTTGAATTGTAGCTCCCATAATTCCCTCATGTTGTGGGAGGGACCAAGTGGGAAATAATTGAATCATGGGGGTGGTTTCCCCATACTGTTCTCATGGTAGTGAATAAGTCTCACAAGATTTGCTGGTTGGGAGGCTGAGGTGGGTGGATTACTTGAGGTCAGGAGTTCGAGACCAGCCCGGCCAATGTAGTGAAACACTACCTCAACTAAAAATACAAATATTACCCAGGCGTGGTGGCATGTGCCTGTAACCCCAGCTACTCAGGAGGCCAAGGCAGGAGAATTGCTTGAACCCGGGAGGCGGAGGCGGCAGTGAGCTGAGATCATGCCACTGCACTCCAGCCTGGGTGAAGAGCAAGACTCTGTCTCAAAAAAAAAAAAAAATAATAATAATAATAAAAGAAGTCAGAAAACAACAGATGCTGGCAAGGCTGCAGAGAAAAGGGAATGCTTATATACTGTTGTTGGGAATGTAAATTAGTTCAGCCCCTGTGGAAAGCAGTTTTGAGATTTCTCAAAGAACTTGGAACTACCATTCAACCTACTGAGTATAAATCATCCCACTACTGAGTATAAATCCAAAAGGAAATAAATCATTCTACCAAAAAGACAAATGCAATAGTGTTGCATGTTCATTGCAGCACTATTCACAATAACAAAGATATGGAATCAATCTAGGTGCCCATCAACGGTGAACTGGATAAAGAAAATGTAGTGCATATACACCATGGAATACCATGCAGTCATAAAAAGAATGAAATCGTGTTCTTTGCAGCAACGTGTATATGGTTGGAGGCCATTATCCTAAACAAATTAATGCAGAAACAGAAAACCAAATACTTCATGTTCTCACTCAGAAGCAGGAGCTAGATGTTGGGCACTCACGGACATAAAGATGGCAACAATAGAAACTGGGGATTATGGGGTTGGGTGAAAGGGTTGAAAAACTACTGGGTACTAATTATTTGGACCCAAACCTCAGCATTGTGTAATATACCCAGTTAACAAACCTGTACATATACTTCCTGAATCTGAAATGAAAGTTAAAAAAAGAAGGGATTATCCTCCAATTGTATGTCTTTTAGAGTACCAGTTCTCATAGAGGAAATCCAGGAAGAGTATATTAGAGCTGTGTGAAGTACAGAGGGCTCAACTTGTGGAAGGTTTTACAGTTTCCAAAGTCTTTTGATGTTGGTATTCCCAGACACCACCTCTCCCACCCGCCCACAACATTCTTGTGAAGTGTAGGTCATATTTGGTCTATTTTACAGACAAGAAAGCTGAGGCTTAGAGTCATGGAGTGACTGAACAAAAATCCATAGTTACTAAGTGGAAGATCCATGACCTGACTTCAAGTCTTCTACCTGCTATCATAACAGTTGATGACATTACAGAATGAGTCCAGACAAGCGGAATATGAATGAATTTATACAAATTCTCGAACAATTGAATAAAAAGGCAATTTTAGGATAAATGATAGAAAATATTCCTATTTGTCTATAAAAATGGAAAATGCTAAATGTCTAATTCCCCACAGGATAAATTCTTGAAGAAATTCCATAAATGTCATGGCTTCACATCAAAACACTTCAATGGCAAAATTAATTGTCTCTAAATCCTTTGTGTGATGGTTACATCATAGGGTTGGTTTACCATAGGTCAAATCCACTGTGGTTTTTTTTTTTTTTTTTTTTTGAGATGGAGTTTTGCTCTTATTGCCCAGGCTGGAGTGCAATGGTGTGATCTCGGCTCACTGCCCTCTCCACCTCCTGGGTTCAAGCGATTCTCCTGCCCCAGCTTCCCAGGTAGCTGGGATTACAGGCATGCGCCACCACACCCGGGTAATTTTTTTGTATTTTTAGTAAGACAGGGTTTCACCATGTTGGTCAGGCTGGTCTCAAACTCCTGACTGCAGGTAATCCGCCTACCTCAGCCTCCCAAAGTGCTGGGATTACAGGCATGAGCCACTGCGCCTGGCCTGCCACTATATATATATATATATCGTATATATATAAAAATATATATATTTATATATAATATATATTATATATTATATAATATATATAATATTATATAATATATAATATTATATATTATATATTATATAATATTATATATTATATAATATATTATATATTATATAATATATTATATATTATATAATATATTATTATATTATATGTTATATAATATATTATTATATTATATGATATATAATATATTATTATATTATATGATATATAATATATTATTATATTATATATTATATAATATATTATATATATGTATATATATGTATAATATATATGTATATAATATATTACATTATAATATATAATATAATATTATATTATATATAATATATTATATATTATATCATATAATATATTATATATAATATATTATATAATATAATATGGTATATTATATATTATGTAATATATTATATATATTATGTAATATATTATATATAAAATATATATAATATATATAAAATATATAGATTATATTTATATATTATAATATACAATTATAATATATTATATATATTTTAATATACAATTATAACATATATATTTTAATATAATTATAATATATTATATATATTTTAATATATAATTATATTATATATATTTTAATATATAATTATATTATATATATTTTAATATATAATTATAATATATTATATATATTTTAATATATAATTATAATATATTATATATTTTTTAATATATAATTATATATTAAAAATATATATATATTTTACAGCAGAAGTTATTGCTCCCAACTTACATAGGTAGTAAGAATTGTTCACACCTGATGTGTTTTATACTAAATTAGATACAGACCAAAGAGCTTTTATTAATTGCTAAAACTTTGAAAATTTATACCTTTCTGGGAGAATCGGCAAGTAGGAAAACATAATAGCAATTTAATTAATTAATTAATTTCATTAGCCTTCACAGAGCACTTTGTATAGAGTGAGGCACAGAGTGGCTGGTGAAAGAACTAAAGGTGACAAATGGAGGAGTTTTCCAGGCAGTGAATCGGTGCATCTTTCCAGATTATGAGCAGCAGAGCCTGTGGTAGGTAACACTGCTCTGATTCTATGCCTGATTCTGTCTTTATGGAAGAGCTTAAAATTGGTTTTGGAAGAGCGAGTGTGTGGACATAAAGTTTTCATTTGGTTTCATTTTCCTGAAACCAACTTAATTCTGATGTGACCTTTCCAACTGAAACGCTGCTCCCCCGCATGGCCTCAGAGAGGCCCAGCATCCATCTGTGTTGTATTAAAAGGAAAGACAAACAGTTTTGGACTTCACATTCATGGTGGCTTAGTTTTCAACAGAAACGGAAGATTTAAACAAAAGGTTTCTTGTAAGGAAAGCCTTTTCTCCTTTATTGTTAGATATTATAAAAATATAAGCTTTTCCTCAAGTTGATGTCATTGTACTCCCACTCTTAATAAAAGAAAACAGAATAGAAAATTTAAATAGCCCTGTATCTATTAAAGAAATTGAATTTGTAATGAAAAACCTTCCCGTAAAGAAAAGGAAATAAGACATGACTTGATGAATTAACATTTTGCTTTCAGAAACTGGTTTGTGTATTTTGGCAGTTGAATAAAATTCTGCTAAACTCTGGAGCAAAATGAAGGTCCCTGTAATGGCGGCTAAATAGGGATGTGGCGATTCCCTGAATGGGGACGCTGACTGTATCACCCTCACAGAGGGGCCTATTCCAGACTTAGCTTACACATGGCTGAAATGGTCAACTAAAGGGTTGTTTTGTTCCATTTGATCGCTTTAGTGTGTGAAGATACAGTTCAAGCGTCATCAGGAAAAAAAAATGTGTAATACAAAGAAAAGTAGTAAATAGAAAATTGACATCTTGAACGGTGACTGAGTCTGTGAACTCCAGCCCTTGCCACACATGAGGTTCAGTGAAGGTCTGGGTTTGCACGATCTGGTGGACTTTTGGAAGAGCCATTTTCTACACCCTCCATCCGACTTCAGCCTTTACCTCTATGCTGAAGATGTCCACATTTAAAGTTCATTTCTTAGTCTTGCCCTCAAGATCCATTTTCCTGTGGCATATATTTTATCTGTCACAACAGACCTTAAAATCAGGATGTTTAAAACTGAAATTTTCATTTCCTCTCATAACATTCTCTCTTCTCAGTAATAGCGTGTCCATTCTTCCGGTCACCCACATTTGGAAATCTAAGCATTCCCCCTGCCATCACCTTCTTAGCTGACTTCCAGGCAGCTGTTAGGAGAGTAGAATACACTGGCATCTGCAGATCCTTGACATTTCCTGGGAATGGATTCCTAAGACTTCCAGAACCTGTAGATATTCAAACAGTACTATAATAGATTTTTGTACCATAAATTGCAGCAAAATTAAACTTTTGCTACTAAAGACAAAGAAAACAAAAAGCCACAGTATAGAGAAAAGACTGAGCAATCAGCTGATCTTACTCACTGGCTAAACTATTCCTTCCAATGTAATGTGCCTGAGCTAAGCTACCAACTTAGCAAAATGGTATATTACAGGGGGCCCTTGGAGATGTAACTTCTGGGCTTCGCTGAGTATTAGGACTCTGAAGGTCCGTGAAGTTTATTAATTTTGTTAGGCCAATATAACAAAGGCATTGCATGAAATGACTCCAGCCATTGCTCCAGCCAGCACAAGAATTGTTCAACAGGGGAGGCATTAAACTTCAATGAAAGTGGAAAAGGCAGTTAACTTGTGGTGTGAGGATATGCACAGGAGACACACAACTCTTAATGGAAATGAAAATAAAATGTTGAAAAAGCCAGAAGCGCATGTAAATATTTCTGTGAAGGACCAATGAAATTGTTTCAAATTTTCATTTATATGTTAGTACTTTTTGGGGAGAAATTATATGTGAAAGGTGCACTGTGACTGGGATTTTTGACTGTCTGGAGATGTGTTCTCTCAGAGTGCTAAGGAGCTACAAAACTATATGTTGTGAATCTTTGAGGTTGCTCACAAGTATTAAGATCTATAATATTTCAAAATAAATATGCATATAGCCACATATACATATATATATGTATAAACACACGTACATAGATGTACTTATATACTAAATGCATGTAGATTTCCTTGATTCTTTTGGTGCTCTTATGTGTCATAGGTGAAAATTCTCAGTCAATCCTACAACCTAGCATTTTGATGTGTATCAATCCTAACATGAAATAACTAAATTAATCCTTAGGCCCCCGTTTAGACTCCCAAACATTGTAGATGTTTATTTTCCTTGCTAAAAATTGAATTTAGCCCCCCATTACACTTCATGAAGATTAGCAGATGGTAATTGCTTCCCAGTTGAGTTGGGTTGGGTTTGAACCAATGACATTTTTTTTTTTGAGTCTCTTTATTCAGCCATTTGCCTGGTTAAAATCTCAAAGTTGAAAAAAAAACTCTTGAAAATACTCCATGGGTTGTCTTGATCGTTAAGTTGCATGTCCCAATATAAAATCAATTTATAGAGCAGCTTTGCTAAGTGTTCTTTTACTCCTGATGTTTTAGAACAGTTTTTTTAAAAAACAAGTTTTATGGTAGGAATTCAGAATGACTTTCCAAATGTTATGTAAAGTGGTAGGCAGGATAGGTTGTTTTAGTCTTGATATTTTATTTAAGTGCTGTTTTCTATAAGCACTTAAAAGTTTATTGTGCAGGGAACTGAGTTCCCCAAATGAAGCACGGAGTAGTTCCAATGAAATTTACTGAGAATTTCAGGCTACTGTGAAATCTCAGTGTCCTTTTAAAAATGGAAATATGAGAAAACTACTGTCATGGTGGTCTTTAAGTTTTTCCCTTTGGCCTGAGCATTTGCCATGGGAATAAAGAAAAAACAAACACAAGAAGACTTATTTTCTATGGCTTGTCAATATGGATATCAGAAGCTTGATTGATTTGTGTGGGGATCAATTAGGTCATGTGTAAAAGGCTGATGGATTTCTAGACCTTGTTGCTTCAAACATTACATAAACCAGGTTATATCCTTCCCAGAAGCTGTAGTCTGGTTACAATTCAAGGTCTCTGTAATTAACTCATGACCCAAACTTCTTTCTGGTGGAAAATAGTGCTTTTCCTTTTCTCAGTAAGAAAGCACACTGGAATGATGAATTTGAGTAGATCCACTGAACAATAAGGTCTTCCTAAGCTGATCTGTCCTATATCTGCTGCTACCAGTGCTGACTCATGGCATCAACTCTGGCAGCATTTCCTTCACTGCACCTTTCCATCTAACTGATCCTTGAATCTTCCTTTTTCATTTCCCCTTCTCTCCAGGACTCATATCCCTCCAGAGGCCCGCTACTTAATCTATCAGAAGCTCTGTAAACTCTATATTTAGTATAGACTCTGTCTGGTTTACTTATCTGTATTTTCGCTATCATCCCCCTTGTTCAGGACAAGGGTGTGGGTCTTTGCTTCTCTCCTGGGCCAATACTACGGCTTTCTAATTGGAATCCTTGTTTCCCCTCTTGTGCATGCAATCTATTCTTTACACAGAGCTAGTCGTCTTTTTTTTTTTTTTTTTTAATGTGCATTGTGAATGCAGCTGGAGGCCATTATCCTAAGCAAATTAATGCAGGGACAGAAAACCAAATACTGCGTGTCCTGACTTAGAAGTGGGAAGTGGGAGCTAAACACTGGGTACACATGGACATGAAGATGGGACAACAGACACTGGAGACTACTAGAAGCAAGGGAGAGGGAGGAGACAAGGGCTGAAATCTGCCTATTGGGTACTATGCTCACACCAAGGGTGACGGAGTTATTCATACTCCAAACCTCAGTGTCATGAAAATACCCATGTAATAAACCTGCACACATACCCCCTGAAACTAAAATAAAAACTGAGATTATAAAAAAGTACATCAAATTATATATCTCTCCTGCTTTCCACTTCCATTTAGCTTAAAATTCAAATTCCTTAACCTTGCAAGATTTATATCCTATCTCAATCTATGCCTCTTTCTTCTTGGACCACTGTGCTGTCTACTCTGATTTTTTTTTTTTGACTTCTCAGAAACACTAGACTTAAATCTAGACCTGTGTACTAGAGTTTCTCTCTAACAGAGACTATCTCTCTGTTCTCAACCTCCTTCCCACCCCATATATTTATTTTATAGCTTCCCCTCCTTGACATTCAGATCATGTCAAATGATATAGCCCCAAAAGTCTTCCTTTGACCACCCAGTATACAGTAGCTATCAAGTCACTCTCAGACAAATTATCCTATTTTAATCATTAACATCATATGATATTTTAAAATCTATCAATCTTCTATTTATCTAATCTGTCATGTATCTTTTTATTGTCTTCTTTTACAGAAATGGGTTATAGTAACCTCCATGAGAATATGAATCTATCTTTAAGGTTCAGTGCCTAGAACTATGAGCTTGGTACATAGTAGGTGCTCAATAAATGTTTGTTAATAAATAAATAAACTTGTGGCATCTAGGCTAGTTATGATTCATCAAAGCTAGAAAGATGGGTTTGTTCATTTTTCTGCCAGGATCAAACAACCCTGTTATCGCAATTTTTCCCCAAAATACCTCCATTATTATCCTTTATTCTCTATTCTCACTCCACACCCTGATCTAACTCCATGTCACTTCCAGCCGGGAATCTGTTACCAGCCTCCTATTTAGATTTTATAACCGTAGGCTCTTAATTCTTCAATAGATCCTGTTTTTATCATATTATTGCCATGAAAAAACATTAAAATTCTGTAACAAAAAAAGGATTTATTAAAACACTATTAAAAGTGTGAAGGCAACATTGAAAGAGAACAAGGAAAAGAAATCACACTTAACCAATATTCTAATAAGATTGTCTTTCCTTTCTTAGTATTTATGTTCCAATCTATCCATTCATGAGTTATTTTTACATGGCCGTACATGTGAAAATAAGTGTGCACACACTTTTGTTTTCTACATTTTACTTAATAGGTCATAAACAGTTTCATGTTACTTCGTAGTTTCCCTATTTTGCTTGTTATGGTCACATAATGCTTCATTGATTATGTTCATAATTAAATGTCCAATAACAGGGAATGATTGGACTATTTCCAGTTTTTTCTTAATGTAATATGGCTATGAATGTTGTTCAAATGCCTTTTTTCTTTTCATTTTTTTTTTTTGGAGAAATTCAAAGTGGTAGGATTAATGGGCTATTGGTTATGATCATTTTGTCTATCTGTCTATCTATCTACCTATCTGTCTCTGTGTATGTATATATATTATATATAATTATAATATACATGAATATATTATATATAATTATACATCAGTATATAATATATGATTATAATATACATCAATATATGTTATATATGATTATATATATCGATATATAATATATAATATATTATATATTATAATATATTATATATTATAATATATTATATGTTATATATAATATATAATATATTATATATAATATATTATATATTATATATAATATATAATATATTATAATATATAATATATAATATATTATATATATTATATATATTGATATATTGATATATTATATATATCAATATATATGATAATATGAGATATATTATATATCAATATATATTACAATATATGATTACAATATACAGATATATATTATAATCATATATTATAATATACAGATATATATTATAATCATATATTATAATATACAGATATATATTATAATCATATATTATAATATACTGATATATATTATAATCATATATTATAATATACTGATATATATTATAATCATATAATATACTGATATATATTATAATATACTGATATATATTATAATCATATATTATAATATACTGATATATATTATCATATATTATAATATACAGATATATATTATAATCATATATTATAATATACTGATATATATTATAATCATATATTATAATATACTGATATATATTATAATCATATATTATAATATACTGATATATATTATAATCATATATAAAACTAACATATTATATATGATTATTATATATAGGTATATATTATATATGATTATTATATATAGGTATATATTATATATAATTATAATATATATCGAAGTATGTATGTCACCAATACCAATAAGATTTTATTGGAATATAGAATGTGAACAGATGTTTTAAACAAATAATCTACCCTTACAAAAATACATGGCATTATTAAATAGTTAATAAAGAAATCTTAAAGTGTGATATGGTAGACACCTCTAGTTCTAGCCTAGGTGTGTGAAGTCCCCAGAGCTGTGACATGGCCCTGCAGCTGGGGTGAGGGGACTGCCTACAAACCATGTTGGTGATGAGTCCCCAAAATGAAATCAGCCCTAGTTTTTTTAAACAAATTCTAGCTTTCTCTGCTAACATGAAAGTTAGCACAATGAATCCACAATACACACACACACAGTATATGTGTGTGTGTGTATATATATATACATATATATATACTGAATATATATAATGTATTGTCTGAACACACGGTATATATTAAATATATAATACATATATATATAGTGGTTTTGCATGAGTGTATTACTAAATTCCCCTTCAAAAGTCTTATACAAATTTTCAATGCTATAAACCATGTATAAATACAATAATTTCTCCTGAAACTTGGCTAGATTGGGTTTCCTCTGTAAAATTTTGGCTAATTTAACAGTTGAATTCTGGTTTTCATTTGCAGTTCTGTTTCTTAATTTTGAGTTGTAAAGTTGAATGTATTTCCATATGTTTCTTTCTTATTTGTTTTTCCCTCATGTGAGTTCAACTGTTCACACATTTTGTCTATTTATTAATAGAGGTCTTGGTGTTATTATATATTTATATTAACCCTTTCTTGAACTAAATTTTTGCCATACTTGTCTGCTTCTATTTTCTAACGTGGCTTCACCTTACCTCCCAGCCCCATTGACAACTGCTCTACTACAGCTGGTCAGGTCAGCTTTGCTGACTTGCCTCCACCAGGTTTCGGCAAGCTTGGTGTTTATTCTTATTGCTGCTCATGTTGCAATCTTGCTTCCTTCGATTTATGTAGCCATTTTATCCCTTCTTTTCTAAGTCTTTTTACATCCACAAAATTCCAGTTGATGAAAACTTCCTTAACTTCACTCTGTTGACTTCTTCTCTTATAATCTATAGCAATATAGCACTTACAATGATAAAATCCAAGATTAGAGACCCACAGAGCATCTCTAATAGAGAGATGCATAAACAATTGACAAGATTCCCACTTTCTACTTTAACACTCCTTTAATGGTGGCTCATTCATAACTTCTCTCCCAGAGACTTAGGGTAACTAAAATCAGGTCAGAGTGTGTGGAATCACAGGTGACAGATCAAATATGATCTATGCAATGGAGTCCTTAGGTTTTTATTGTTTTAAATTGTTATCTTTATTGTAGTATTATTTGCTCATGATCAGAGAAAACATACATTTGTGATGTATATTTCACAATTTGTATAATTCATTTAATGTAATAACATTATATTTCCAATAGGTGAAACACATTTTTTTTTTTTGCCTCTGGCAAAGTAATATAGCTCATTGGACTATTGTGGAAAGCCAATAGTGGTATGTGGAGTTATATCCTTTTTTCACCACTGCACTGTTCCCTGATACTACCTTAATTTATGTTTTAACATTGGATTTAGTTTTGCCTTCTTATACATAATGGAAACATATCTCCTTCATTTTTTAACACATGCCAATCAGCCCTTCAAATATTTGCATATAATTATCGGTGTTCTATTTCCAAGACCCTTTTTCAGGTTCAGCAGCTCCAGTTTCTTCAACTAATCTTTGTATATCATGATCTCCAGTTTTTATCCTCTCTTTCTTCTTCCTCTGGTCTTTCCCTCTTCTCTCTCTCTCTCTCTTTCATTTAAGGGATATCTTAAAAGAGTAGTACCCAAACCGAGGAAACCATTCTAGTCACAGTTAGAGCATTACTAATTGTACCAAAAATATGGCATTACTCTTTTTCCTAAAAATTGTGTAGTTCAGGACAGCATGAGAGGCATTTGTTGAACACTTTCTCTGATAAACATTGCGCTAGACACTGTTGTTTACATGGGTTTCACATGTTACTTATCTCTCACATTAGGATGTAAGCACTTTGACAGTAACCAAACAATGATCATGTTTGTGACATCCCCCTTCATATTGTCCACAGGGCTGAGCCATGTAAGGTGCTCAATAAATACTTTCAGATTACTTGCTCATTTCTTTGAAGCTGTTGTGAGCTCTTTTAGAGACTGTTCAGAGGACTGACATAATATTGCATGTTGCTTTCTTCACAAATGCCGTCAACCAAAAGGATGGACATTGTTTTCCCAAGAATAGAACAAGAAAGGGAAGCCGAATCTAGAAGGGAATTGAGGAAGAGTCATGTGAATGAAAACAGACCACTTTAAACTAGCCTTTGACTTCTAAATTTCAAAGATCAATCTGTAAAAAGGACTCAGCACATCTTTTTTTTTAATTATTATTATTATTTTTTAATTATACTTTAAGTTTTAGGGTACATGTGCACATCTTAAAAAACAAAAATTTCCTGAAAATGAGCCAAATCATCTTTACTAATGTGAAAGTCTTCTATCAGTACATCCTGTTGTTTATGGTGTATCCTGTCATTTACAGTTCTTCTACAAACAACATAGAGAAGGAAAACTACAAAGACTGCATCTGGAGCAGTTGAGCAAAGGGAACATGTCAAATTATGACAGGCAAGTAGAAAATTCCTAGGTCAGGGAAGCCTGTGGTCACCTGGTCTAGCCCTCTCATTGAACATTTGAAGAGTTTGAGACCCAGAGAAGTAAAATGACTTGACATAGATCATACAAGTAGGAAGAAGGGGTAGAAATAATGTAGGATACAAGTATCCTGACTTCCATATAAATGTTTTCTTTAAAGTACATTATACTGTTTTCCATGTTTTATTTGACAATAATTTCTTATTTAACAATAAAAGATGTATAGTCTAATCTAAAAATCTAAAATCTCTCTAAAATCCAGTAATATCTCACTGTTAAAAATGTTCTAGCTATGAATGCCAGGCAGATCTGAAAGCCATGTATCAGACCTGGTTACTGTTGTGCTTTGAGGGTCCCTAGGGTTACTTGACCTTCATCATTGAACCTCAGGAAGCAGACAAGGGCTGCCACTAATGGCTTGTAAAACAGAAGCGGCCACACACTGTTGCTCAATAATTTACAAACTGAATTGGAAAGTGAGGCTTCAATAAACTTTAACTGTGAATACTAATGGCTGGATTTTTATAAGTTAGAAAGCACCCAGATACAGTTGGGTGAACATTTAGAGAATAATTATTTATTTCATAGGTTTATACAAGTTCAGAGCGAATGATTTTCTCTTAGGGAAGCTGTGCAGCTGGGTTTTAGTTTTTTAAACTGGATGACTGGACTTTTTGTCTGTCTCTGGTATTAGTTTCCTCTTAGCTTTCAAATTAGATGATAGAGTAATCAGGTAGATTATGGACCAGCCATACAGAAGAAATAAAAAAATATATAAGATGGTATTTGGCTTTTGGAGAAAGTTTTCAGTCAGATCTTGTTGTTATGTATATATTATTTGGTTTTCCATATCAATGCTGAGGATTTTCCTTTTTAAAATAAAAATTGTGCTGGGCATGGTGGCTCACGCCTATAATCCCTATACTTTGGGAGGCTGAGGTGGATGGATCACTTGAGGTCCGGAGTTCAAGACCAGCCTGGCCAACACGGTGAAACCCTGTCTCTACCAAAAATACAAAAATTAGCTGGGCATGGTGGTGGGTGCCTGTAATCCCAGCTACTTGGGAGGCTGAGGCAGGAGAATTGCTTTAACCTGGGAGGAAGAGTTTGCAGTGAGCCAAGATAGTGCCACTGCACTCCAGCCTGGTGACAGAGTGAGATGCCATCTCAAAAAAAAAAAAAAAAAAATTGAGTTCATGAAGAACATGAAGAACAAAAGAATTAGTTTCTAATAGATTTGCTGATGGCTTTCAGCCTCTCTTTCTGAAAGGGGCCAGCTTACATCACTTAGTGTTTGAGGTGGTCTGAGGTACTCACAGGAGAGTGGTGACCTGGGATACAGGCCCCCTTTCTGCTCTTGTCACTGAGTGGACAGTCTAAGCTTGTACAGGTCATGTGATTTCTCCCCTCAGGCTCAGTTTTCTCGTCAGTAAGTAGGGTATGAGCACTGACATTCCAGCATCCTCTGACCCATTGGAAGAGCCAGCTCATTCCAGGCAGGCAGGTGCACAAAGCTGGACCCCAAACATCTGAATGACTCTGACTCTGAATCCTGGAGTACAGTAGGCTGTAGGGAGCTGGGCTTCTCATCTCCTGGGCCTTAGAGGGAGGAAAGAGACTGTGATCCCATTGACCCTTGGGAGAATGGTTTTCTCTTATACATCAATGTCTTGGTCTTGGGGATGCCAAGGGTGGAGAGCGGTCATTGTCTTTTTTCTCATATCTCCAAAAAGTAAATATGTTCTGTTTTTTGTTAATCATTGAGTTACATGATAGAGATGGAAATATCAAAGTTGAACATGCTTTTTGTTCCCCAAGGTTACTGATTAATGTTTTACATTATCCTCAAAGGCAATTTTTAAATTTAAATTGAAGGGATGAACATGCTTTTTATTTTCACATTGTAGTCCTCTACTTTCATTGTTTTTCCATAGCTAATGTCTCCCATTGTTTTAGCTTCTTTCTTTCTTCCACTTTGGTTTATTAGAGAAAATCTTGGTCTCCCACACCTCATATCCACACTTCATATTAGAAGACCTTGAACAGCTCTCACTGATGGCTAAAGAGAGGAAAATGTTTCTTGGCACATTGTTAGCAGCTAATTAGAAAAGGTTTTGTTTTAAGTCTAGGAAAGGCACTAGATAATGATTCTACAACTTTTATTCGAAGTTATGTATTAGAGAAATTTTAGCATTACTCTAAAGCAGATGCTATTGGAAGAGAACAGCTTTGTGTAGCTATCAAGTACATTTTGTCACTCAGGTTTCATTTTCAGGACTACATTAAAAAGGTCTCCATTTAAGCTACTTTGCCTTCCTGGCAGCAGCTAGTTTATACATGCTAGCCGTGGCAGTCCTGATAAAGTTAAATGTGCCTTGGATGTAAGGCAAGGTAAGGGGCTGGGAGAAGAGGGATATGGGGAGGTGATGGGGTAGATATTGGAGTTTCGGGACCAGAGTGGTCGAAGAAAACTGTATTAGTGTGCTAGAGCTGTGGTAATCATATGCCACAGACTGGTGGCTTAAACAACAGAAATTTATTTTCTCACCATTCTGGAGAATGGAAGTTCAAGATCAAGGTGTTGACAGGGTTGGTTTCTGGTGAGGTCTCTCCTTGATTTGCAGAGGGCTGCCTTCTTACCATGCCCTAACATGGCCTTTTCTCTGTATGTGTGCTCTGAGAGAGAGAGAGAGAGAGAGAGAAGAGATCTCTGGTGTCTCTTTCTCTTCTTATAAGGACACTAATCCTGTTGGATTAAGGCTTCACTTTTATTACATCATTTGACCTTCATTATCTCCTTAAAAACACCATCTCCAAATGCAGCCACACTGCAAGTTAGGGATTCAACATAACCAGGACCCATATAGCCACCCTGGCCTCAACATTCCCTTGCAGTCGTGCAAAGGTTGCCATGGCTCTGTCAGTCAGTTGTAATCTAGTTCAGGGGTAACAACCAGATGTGCTTATGTTGAAAAACCACACCTGGGGGATAACCATACCCATGTAAGGGACTAAGGCCAGGTAGCCTTCAAAAGTCTCAGGAAATCTTCAGGATTGGAGAAATCCTATGTGAATTAGAAATCCTGGTCGGGCATGGTGGCTCACACCTGTAATCCCAGCTCTTTGGGAGGCCGAGTTGGGCGGATAACTGAAGACCAGCTTGGGAAACATAGCAAAACCACATCTCCACTAAAAAATATAAAAATTAGCCGGGCCTGGTGGTGCATGCCTGTAATCCCAGCTACTCAGGAGGCTGAGGCAGGAGAATCGCTTGAACTCGGGAGGTGGAGGTTGCAGTGAGCCGAGATGGCACCACTGCACTCCAGCCTGGGAGACAGAGCAAGACTCTTTCTCAAAAAATCAAAACAAAACTATAACAAAAAGAAATCCTCATTCATTTCCTGATACCTACATGCCAGGATGAAGATGAGGAACCTCACCAAGTGACCATGTCAGTGGAGGTGAGCATTCTAGAATAACCATTTAGAGTGTGCTGCACCATGCATCTAGTTCATCATATTGCTTTCCTCCTATTTGCCCCAAGTTTGGGACATCTGTTAATTTCAAATGAGGCCTTTTCATTGACTCCATGCTTTGTGGGTGACTGATTACCTCATTGAGGGTGAGTTTGAGATTTAGTAATTCATTTTAGAAATAGGTGGTGGGAAATTAATGTCTCTTTTAGAATATGTGGCAGCTAATTTATATAAATCATTATAACCTGCTGAGCATATACGTCAAGGTCTCCTACAGCCAAGATGTTAGATACTGCTAATCAGTCTTTTGACACTTGGGAGATGGAGACAGTCAATCTATATTTGATGATGATTACTTCAGATATATGATGCAAGGCTTTTGTGTTTTCATCTAGATTTTAAAAGTATTACTGAAATTGGGCTATAAAAGTGCCTCTCCTTGAAATAATAAAGTCCTGTTTATATGATATTCACAGCACATTCCTTCAATGACTTTTTGGAGCAAACCTATTTCTGGAGGTTCAACATTATCTTAGGATAACACTCTCAGAAATAAAACTTTGATCAAGCATTAATTCTTTGATTTGACACACATATATTGAGTGCTTATTCTGTGTCAGGCACTGTGCCTAGTGTTGACAAGAGCAGACAGACAACTTGCTTATTTTTGGAGCTTACATTTTCATGTGGAAATAAACACTGAGCAAACAAATAAATACACAAAAGAAAGATCCAACAATAGTTAGTACTATGCAGATAATTAAAACAGGGTGATTTGAAAAGTGGTCAAGGGATGTCTTAAATGCTTAAGGCACCAGCGGTGCACCAATCAGGGGAGCGGTGTGGCAGGCAAGGAGCCCAGCAGACGAGAAGTTTCCACAGCTGGGACAAGTGTGGTGTGCTTAAAGAGCTGAAAGAAGGACATTGTTGCTGGACACAGAGGGTGAGAGGAGAGAGTGGTATAAAACAGTGATGGTGTTGGAACTAGACTCTGTAAGAGAAGTGGAGAGTTCAGATTTTGATCTAAGAACTGTGGAAAACCACTTGAGGTTTTTGAAATACCACTTTTCCTGCTGGCAGGGAGAAAGGATGGGAGAGGGACAAGAGTGAAAGCTGCAAGACATGCCGAAGATTTTTGCAAGAGGTCAGGCTGCGGACGAGAAGAATGGTTTAGACTACGGTGGTGGAATTGAGACTTGAAAGAAAGTCATGGGTTTAGGTTGCATTTGGGTTATGTGTGGGTGGATGGTGGCATCTTTAACTGAGCTGGAGAAGGCAGAGAGAGGGGCAGGATTAGGTGGGAGTAGGGAAGGAGTGGAAACCAGGATTTATGTCTTCCTTCATAGAAGGCATTCCTCCCCCAGTGTTTGATATTTTAAAAAAATCTTAAATTGTTCTTTTCAAAATGGCTTGCTACTAATCAATACTCTTGCTTTAAAAAGCAATTTAAATGTATTGGCTGTGCTCAGGTGTTTTATCCTCTTTGTAAGCGTTAAGATTATTGTATCCAACTACACCTTGTATTCCCTGTCTACCAACATAAAATGACAAATGACCTCCATTGAAAATTCAATTAGAATGACATTATCTTTATTAATTTTGAGAAAATTAATCTTTTTAATATGCTGTCTTCCCATTAATGAACATGAACATGGTGTATCTCTCCCTGTGTTCAAATTTTGTGTCCTTTAATATAATTTTATAATTTTCTTCATGTAGGTCTTGTGCTTTACTTGTTAAATTTATTCATAAGTATTTTTTAGTACTGTTTCTATTTCAAACTTTTTTTAAAAAGCTATCTTCTTCCTTTAGGTGATTATAGATAAAATGAAGAAAAAAACTATTTCTTTTTTTTGGTATTTATCTTGTATTCTATGACTTACCAAATTTTCTTATTAATGCAACTAATTTTTTTCATACCTTAGATTTTCTAGTCATTCAGTTATATCAACAAAAGAGACATTTTTATTTCTTCTGTTCTATGTATACCAGCTATTTAATTTTTTTGTATTTATTAGAACTTCTGAAACAGTGCTAAATAATAATAGGAATGACTAATTTTAATTGAAATTATTTTAGTGGCTCATGATTAGGAATATACTGTTGTTTTTTGTTTTTAGTGAATTATCTTGATTCTATTAATTTTATTCTACTGATAATTTTTATCACTAATATTTGTTGAATTTTATCAAATACATTTTTCAGTATTTATTGATATAATATTTTTTCATTTTGTAGGTATGATAGGTTATATTGATAAAATTCCTGAATATGTTGATATATAGATTATGTTGATAATAAGTAGTTCTTGGTCACACAATGTATTAATCTTTTGATATATTGCTGAATACTATTTGCTAATACTTCATTAAGCATTGATATACAGTCGGATAAATCAAACTGGACAAATATGAATAAGGACATAAATGAAAATGAAAAATAAATGAGGATATAAAGAAATGTTAGGCCAGGTGTGGTGGCTCATGCCTGTAATCCCAGCTCTTTGTGAGGCTGAGGTGAGGGGATCACTTGAAGCCAGGCATTTGAGACCAGCCTGGGAAACATAGGGAGACACTCCACCCCATCTAAACAGAAAAAAATTAAAAACTAGCTGGGTGTTGTGGCACACACCTGAGTCCTAGCTACTCAGGAAGATGAGGTGGGAGGATCACTTGAGCCCAAAAGTTGGTGCTACAGTGAGCTATGATCATGCCACTACACTCCAGCCTGGGTGACAGAGTCAGAGCCTGTCTCTAAGGAAAACAAACTTAAAACTTTGTATTTAAAAATTTAAAATACAGCTTATAAACTGGATTGAGCAGATACATAGAAAGACCCTTGTAACCCTCAAATATAATATACCTTTTCAAACTTATAATATTTGAATATTTATAAAGATTGATTTTGTACCTGCCTATGAATTTCAAAAATGTCAATATTTTACAGGCTACATTTTTCTTCATAATCTAATGAAATTAAAATGAATAGTTAAGTATGGTAAAAAAATATCTGAAAAATAAGAATCACATTCCCTGACAACCCTTGAATCAATTTTTAAATCAAAATTATAAACTCTATAAAAGCAATGAAAAGGAAAACGCTTTATACAAAAATCGATGGAACGTAGTGAAAGATGGATTTGGAAAAAGTTTTGTCTTATGTGCTTTCATTTTTAAAGAGATGAAAAAATCTTTAGAAAGCACCATAAGAAATTAGAAAAAGAGCACAGATTTTCAGGATTTATACTTCATCACCTCTTTTTCTTTCCAATGTCCATCTTTTTGCATTTCTGTGCCGTGCTTTAACATATATCTGCCATATGGTCTTCCAGACCTCTAATATGTGTCTGTAACTTCTCCTTCAATACATCCACTCGTTATTACAGTAGAAATTACAAGATGATTTTCTTTATGTTCAGAAAATGTTCCTTTGTGCTGTATTTGAATTTGTTTAAGTCCCTCAAAGAGCTCTTTTAATTTCCCTTCACTTATGCTTCAGCCATTCTACTGAGCTGGGGTTCCATCCATTCTAACTGATTTTTCTCTTTGTTGAGCTGGCATGCAGTCTTCTGACTCTGGAGAGGAAGACAGATCTGACTAGGTAGTGGGGGAAAGTGAGTTGTGTCTGGGCTTCTCCTTCTCCTTCTCCTCCTCCTCCTCCTCCTCCTTTAGAATTGTCTACTCTCCTTTGACTTAATTACATCTTGTATTAGGCATTTTGTTTTGTGATAGACATGGCAAATGTGACCAGCCAGTTTTCACCAATGATGGAGGCAACAATGTTAGGGACATGGTAGAAATTAACCATGGGTACTAAGAGAGAAAAGATCATAATACATACAAGTGGTATTTGGAGGAGATGGAAGGTCGGCGTGTGTTAGATAGCAGGTAAAGCACCATGGCAAATGTGGAACTTGAGATGGCAGGTTATGAAGAAGGAAGGAATAAAGTGAATGGGTGGAGACAAGTAGTCTTATGGAGAACCATTAATTCCAGGCTAGATGCTCTTGATCCTAGAGGCTTAAGAATATTTCTTTAATGTTTTGGTTAGGTGTTATAAAATCAACATTTAACAATATTAGTAAGATGGCCTGGAGTGCAGTGGGAATGAGATAAACACGTCTTATGGGTTGAAGAGGAGGACTCCAAGTTGCCTGTAAGGAATAAAACTTCGTAGCTCATGAATTCCATTATTTATATCTATATTTTCCTATTGAGAAACATCTATTTGATTTTATTAAGAATATAGTATTTTTATAAACCAAAATGGCATAGGAGAGGAGTTCATAGCAAGCCACTGTGACTGGAAGTGGTGACTGGAAGCGGGAGCCAGCGAGGGGAAGTGGATCTTATCCAGGGTGAATAGGAAAACAAAAGGCATTTCTAAAGCAGGGTAAAAAGAAGCGGAAAGTGGGAATCCAAGGAGAGCCATTAATTACAGGCTCTAGAGATGCACGAGGACCGCTTACTTTCCCAGGCTTGGGTTTAGTATTGAGCTGGTTCTTTGGCTGCCAGCTCCTTCTCTGATATCAGAAGGTTTTCAAGAAAGGATATTGGTTTTCTTTGAAAATAAATATACTTTCACGTATTCATATCACAGGAAAGAGAAAAGTATCAGGTCATAAAGCATCAAAGAATTACTTTATCATCTGTCTTACTCTATGAAGGGTCTTCAAAAATTTATGGAAAATGCATATTATGAAAAAAGGATTGATGGATTTCATTTTTTTTTGCAACAAAATAAATGCATACTAACTTGTTATAACATGTCTGAACAGCATCTAAGGCACTAAGAGGGATAAAATACCAGTTTAATAAGAGTCCCTCGGGAGGCTGAGGCAGGAGAATGGTGTGAACCCGGGAGGCGGAGCTGGCAGTGAGCCGACATTGCGCCACTGCACTCCAGCCTGGGCGACAGAGCGAAACTCCGTCTCAAAAAAAAAAAAAAAAAAAAAAAAAAAGAAAAAAAAAAATTAGTCCCTATCAGAGCCACATAAGTTCTACTAAAATTGAAGCAAGAGCAAACATCGAATTTATAGTCAATCTTGGGTGGAAAAATGATGAAATCTTCCTTGCTTTGTAGAAAGTTTAGGGGGACAATATCCTAAAGAAATCAGCTGTTTATAAATGGATAGTTTTAAGAGGAGACCATGAATGGAGCTGGAGGCCATTATCCTTAGCAAACTAATGCAGGAATAGAAAACCAAATACTGCATGTTCTTACTTATAAGTGAGAGCTAAATGATGAGAGCACGTGGACACATAGTGGGGAACAACAGACAATGGGGCCTATTCGAGGGTGGAGGGTGGGAGGTGGAAGAGGTTCAGGAAAAATAACTAATGGGTACTAGGCTTAATACCTGGGTGACAAAATAATCTGTACAACAAATCTCCATGACACCAGTTTATCTATATTACAAACCTTCACATGTGCCTCTGAACTTAAAAGTTAAAAAAGAGATGGGATGAGACAGTGTTGACAGTGAAGCCCACAGTGATAGACCATCTACATCAATTTGCAAGGAAAAAATTAATCTTGTTCATGCCCTAATTGAAGAGGACCAACGACTAACAGCAGAAACAATAGTCAACACCATAGTCATCTCAACTGGTTCAGCTTACACAATTCTGACTGAAAAATTAAAGTTGAGCAAATGTTCTACTCAATGGATGCTAAACCCACCACACCCAGATCCACTGCAGACAAAATCAGAGCTTTCCATGGAAATTTTAAATAAATGAGAGGAAGATCCTAAAGCATTTCATTGAAGAATTGTAACAGGAGATAAAACATGGCTTTACCAGTACAATTCTGAAGACAAAACACAATCAAAGCAATGACTACCAAGAAGTGGAAGTGGTCCAGTGAAAGCAAAATTGGACCAGTCAAGAGCAAAAGTCATGGCAACAGTTTTTTGGGGATGCTCAAGGCATTTTGCTTGTTGGCTTTCTGAAGAACCCCAAAATGGTAACATCTGCTTATTATGAGGGTATCTTGAGAAATTTAGCCAAAGCTTTAGCAGAAAATCCCCCAGGAAAGCCTTACCAGAGAGTCCTTCACCATGACAATGCTCCTATTCATTCCACTTATCAAACATGGGTGATTTTGCAAGAGATTTGATAGGACATCATTAGGCATCTATCATCTTACAGTCTTGATTTGGCTCCTTCTGCCTTTGTTTCTAAATCTTAACAAGTTTTTAAATGGCTCAATTTTTCTTCAGTTAATAATGTAAAAAGACTCTGTATGCATGGTTCCATTTTCTGGACTCTATTCTGTTCTATGGGCCCGTTTTCTATCTCTGTACAAATACCACATCATACAAATTACCATAGCTTTATATTATATTTTATACTTGCCCTTTGGTAGAGTAAGACCCTCATTTTGTCATTTTGTTCTTTGTCTTCAAGAGTATCTGTTTTATCTATAAACTATCATCATCTCTTCTTTTTTCCCCCTAGAAGTTAAGGGACAATCAATCTGTCATTTTTAAAGCAAGGTGACCTAGAATTTAATCTATCACTCGTTACTTTTTAAAATCATCTATCACTCTTTAAAATTCCTTATTTGTAAATGGGAAAATTAATAGTATCCTCTCAGATGATGGATGTTAATGCATTTGAACTTAGCAGTTAGGATTGTAATCGCACACTGTCTGGGTTTGAATTTCTACTCTCCCGTTTACAAGATGAGACCTTGAACAAGATTCTCAACCTTTTGAAACCTCAGTTTCCTCATCTGTAAAATGGGGATAATACATTATTTTTTAAATATGAGATTATATATCAACTTAACCACAGTATTAGTATATAAACAATAAATAAATGTCACTATTTTGATTTGTTCTCTATTGAAGTCATGAATCAAGATATGGAGGTGGGAAAACTAAAGGCATATACAGAGGTTTTGTGTAGGAAAAATAATATGGCAAAGACAGATGAAAATTGGAGAACAATAAATTAGAAAGGAAGATGGGGTCAGATTATAAAAGATATTCAAAAGTTGGTGAACTTAGGGAAGAGAACAGACTGGTAGAAAGCATTTATTATTTGGTTATGGCTTTTCATATTTATTTATTTCTCTACTCACCCTGGTGAGATTTGATGATTATAGCCATTTTATACATGACATCAAACAACTTAGCCAAGTCATGCAGATGGTAAGTGTTTGAACCAGGGTGTGGGCCTGTGTATGATTCTAAATCTTTTGTTCTTCTCTCTGCGTAAGGCAGAAAGAGTTTGGGCTACATCATAAATGTTTTAAAAAGAAGAAAAATGTAGTAAAAATAGTGTTTCACATAGATGGATTCGGCAGTATGTGCAGATTGTCATGTGAGGTGTGGCTGGGAAGTGACACTAGGGGCTCAGAGGTAGAAGGGCCAGGCTGACTATTTCACACTTGCGGAGACAAGGAAATGAAGGCTTAGATGCAGGCAATGGCAGCAGGGATGGCAAGAGAGGGCATGCAATCTATCAGATACTTGTCCTGCTTGTCCTTTGTGCCTTGTCCGTTAACACTGGACTAAAGATATGTCACCTATTCAGTTAATGCCTTTTGATTCACTAAGCCTTTTATTTCAAGATTCCTTTTGAACTGAACTTTATTTGAAGTGTCTTTTAAAATTTTATTTTCTTCTAAAAGGCTAGCTTACAAGTGATTATACAAAAAAAAGAAAGCTATTAAACTAAACTATACTAAATCCTAAAATATTACTAAATACAACACTAAAATCTGAAAAGTATTCATAATTTCATGGAGGGTGAATTATAAGAAAATGAAAATTTGTGTATAATAGAGAAATACCTTTTCAGTATTTTTAGATCTGTAGAGTATTTAGGGCATTTCGTTAGTTCAGATGTACCAATACTTTCCATTTGAATTAAAAAACAGAAGTTAGATTTTTAAGGGGAAATGAACACTTCCTTGGTTTGTAGTTCATTTTGATGCATGTGAATTTGTAGAATTTTTTGCCCAGAAGACAAGCAAAGCAAAATAAGCTGTGGTGACTCCTCTTATATTCCCTATTGTTACAGACAAAAGCAAGGAAAATCTCGCGGACTCATTTTGGTTTTAAATAGTAAACCTTCTATGGAGCTTCTGTAGTTAACTGCAGATAATCAAAACTAAACCGAAAACCAACCAAACAAATAAATAAAAAAACTACATTAAATTAAAACATGGATGCTAATAAAAGTACTTAATCTTTCAAAAACCAGTTAGTAGATTTCACACCATATTTATTATGTTAATTAATTGAGCCATTTTCTGAAATAAAACATTTTTAGTGTTCAGAGTTATTAATGATTTCATTTCTTTCTTTCTTTCTTTTATTTTCTTTTTGAGATGGGGTCTTGTTCTCTTGCCCAGGCTGGAGTGCAGCGGATGCAATTGCGACTCACTGCAGCCTTGACCTCCTGTGCTCAAGTGACCCTCCTGCCTCAGCCTCCTGAGTAGCTGGGACCACAGGCATTGTGCCACCATGCCTGGCTAATTTTTGTATATTTTTTTGTAGAGGTGAGGTTTTGTCATATTGCTCAGGCTGATCTCAAACTCCTGAGCTCAAGCTTGGCCTCCCAAAATGCTGAGATTACTGAAAAAACCAAAACCCTAGCTTCAAAGGAGACTGAGATAGGAATAAAATGTAAGATGATAACTACATTTCACTTTCTTTTAAATAATATTATTGCAAAAGAAAATTAATAAAGACCAGAGACCAAAGGTTGAGTTCTGAGTGGGGAAGTTCTGCTGCAGGTAGGGTGCCTGACCCAGCGCTCAGAGCCCAGTCCCTGGGGAGGAGATTTGAGAAGGGGAAATGGCCAGCAGGTCTTTCAGAGCCAGAAGACCATCATTTCTCTCCCACGTTGGGAAAGCAAGGCCTGTGGGTGTTGCGGATTGGTTGGAGCTCTCTGGGCTCATATCTTAGATGAGCTCTGAGCTGACTGGAGGTGGGCTCTTGTGTAAGTGAGGAGTGTGTCTCACTCAGGATTCAGGATTCCAGCTGCCTCAGCCATGTAGGGGAGGGTCTCCAGTCAGGAGAATGGCACACTGTCTGGTCTGCCTCACTGTTAGCTGGCTAGACAGCTGGTTGAGATTTGTCATGATCTTAGTATTCCTTTGCATGCTTCTTCATGAGGGAACAGCGAACTTTGGATAGTTTCCACATTTGGATAGAATCTGACTACTACCTATAATCTTTCATGTTTCTTTTCTTTTTTTTTTTAAGACAGAGTTGTCACTCTGTCGCCCAGACTGGAATGCAGTGGCACAATCTTGCCTCACTGCAACCTCTGCCCCCCAGGCTCAAGCGATCCTCCCACCTCAGCCTCCCAAGTAGCTGGGACAACAGGCGTGCACCACTACATACAGCTAATTTTTGTAGTTTTAGTAGAGATGGGGTTTTACCATGTTGCCCAGGCTGGTAAGCCACCATGCCCGACCATGTTTCTTTTTCTAAATTGGGTAAATTGTATTTTTATTACCCAATTTTGTGACTATAAATTAAGAGTATAAGAATCATATAGTTACAAGTCAATGAACAAAATTCATTGTCCATATTCAATGAACAAAATTTAGAAAACACAGATATGTAAATTTTTTTTTTTTTTAATTATACTTTAAGTTCTGGGATACATGTGCAGAATGTGCAGGTTTGTTACATAGGTATACACGTGCCATAGTGGTTCGCTGCACCCATCAACCCATTATCTATATTAGGTATTTCTCCTAATGCTCTCTCTCCCCTAGCCCCCACCCCCTGACAGGCCCCGGTGTGTGATGTTCCCCTCCCTGTGTCCATATGTTCTCATTGTTCAACTCCCACTTGTGAGTGAGAACATGCGGTGTTTGGTTTTCTGTTCTTTTGTTAGTTTGCTGAGAATGGTGGTTTCCAGCTTCATCCATGTCCCTGCAAAAGACATAAACTCATCCTTTTTTTATGGCTGCATAGTATTCCATGGTGTATATGTGCCACATTTTCTTTATCCAGTCTATCATTGCTGGGCATTTGTGTTGGTTCCAAGTCTTTGCTATTGTGAACAGTGCTGCAATAAACATATGTGTGCATGTGTCTTTATAGTAGAATGATTTATAATCCTTTGGGTATATACCAGTAATGGGATTGCTGGGTCAAATGGTATTTCTAGTTCTAGATCCTTGAGGAATTCCCACACTGTCTTCCACAATGGTTGAACTAACTTACACTCCCCCCAACAGTGTAAAAGTGTTCCTATTTCTCCACATTCTCTCCAGAAACAGATAAGTAAATTTTAACAGTGACTATAAAAATCAATTGCTTCTCCTATCTGTGGAATTCCTACACATTTTCACTTTCCTCAGGTCACTTCAGCCCAGCTTCTGTCTCCTGCACCTCTTCCCCAACTCCCCTCAGTCTAATTTATCAAGGCTGTCCCATTTAATGCTCCACCTACGTTTACCAATGTTTAGCAAGGGTCAAAGCCCAAGGACTAGATCTATGTAGTGGATACCAATTTTTTTCCCACTGTTACTGAGATTATGGGCTAATAAATGACACACAGCAAATAGGTAAATGAAGAGACAATTTCATAATTACAAATTGCAATGACTGCTGTGAAGGGAAAGATCCAGGGGCTATGAGTGGAGTAACTCTGTAATTCATTATCCAAACTGGGGCACTCTTGAGAGTGGAAGGAGGCATCATTAAGTATTATATTGGAAAAACAGGTGAAAACCAGACTATGCCAGGTAAGTCAGGATCCATGGTCACCATTCAGGAAACTGGACTTTCATTTGACTATACAGAGAAGAGAGACCCAGAGGATCAGGACTTAGCCATGCAAAGAGTCTCAAAAAGGACAATCTGGGCAGAGGAACAGAGAATCAAGAAAGTTTGTGAGTTCGAGGAACTGCAAGAAAGCGTGTTTGGAACAAAATGATCAAGGCATAAAGTGATGTCAGGTGAGGCTGAGGCCAGATCACTCAGGGCTGTAGATCAAATTATGCAGATTGGATTTTTTATTTCTAAATATAGTATTTGGCCAGTGAAATACTTTATTAAGCAGGGAAGGTGATAACAACTAGAGTTTTTTTTTTTAAAAAGATTATTGTGCTTATTGATATAGGAAGGATTTCACAATTCATTACATGAAAAAAATTGGACTGCAGAGTTGTCTGCATAATATGATTGCATTAGTGTGTTTGTTTGTGTACATGTTAACATATACATAAGCAAACAGATAGCAGATGGCCTGGAGAGACCTTTAGCAAAATGAGATTACCCATGCTTAAAAATGTTACTTATCTGTATTTTCTAAATTTTATTCATTGTATATGAATTATACTTGTGATAATATTTCTAAACTGGGCAAAACCAAAACCAAAAGGTTGCTTTGATTACTTTTGGAAAATAGACGGGAGAAAAGTCCTGCATCTCATCTTCTCACAGCTCTTCTGGGATATCGCCCATCAATTATTCTTCTTCTAGACTACAGCTTTAATCTCCATTTTTCAGGCTCATTTTTCACTGAGAATTCTCCCAAATTGATTTGTCCTACTCTAAAAGAATCCTTCCATCTACTTCACCTTCTCCCTTCTTTCTCTCTACCAAATGTCTTGAAAAGGAGCAATCTGTACTCATTGCTTTCTCTATCTCCTCCCATTGACTCCTTTTCAGTAAAGCTTTCATTTTCCCATTCTCCTCTTTCCTCCAAGGTCACCATTGCCCTCCTAGTTGCCAAATTTGATGGCAATTTCTTGATTCTTATCTTGCTGGAGTATCTGAAATGATCAAATATCATTTTAAAAAATGTTTTACTATAGAGAATTTCAAATATGTACAAATATAGAGAAAATATTATTAATAAACTCTCATATATTCTTTTGGAGAAATGAGGCAATCCTGGCCCTGACCCCTCTGTACCAATACAGAATAAAGCAAGAGCACAATTTATTATTGGGTAAGCACTAGCAGATTTATGTACATAAGACGGCACAAAAATGACTGCAGTCTGGACAGAATTTCACACAAAGTTATACAGTAAAGTAGGAGAAAGAATAGCTAAACTCTTTTCATCTTCTTGAGAGATAAATGTTTGCTCCTTGGGACTGTCTTCTGTATACCTCCTGGGAGACTACTGAGTTAAATTCATAAATAGGTGCTTACAGTTCCAAGGGTCAAAAAGCCTACAACTTGGCAATAAAAACCAAGAGGTTGGGCCTCTTTGGGGTGGATTATGTTTTCAAGGAGAGAAGAGTGAGAAGCAGCTGCCTTGTCCTGATTTCATCATGTTACCCTTACAATCCATCATCTTGCTTCAGCTACGATCACAGCATGGTCTATCTTATTTCATCTGTACTTCCACTGGTTTCTCCCAGACCCCAAACTTTCCACCATTGTGTTGTAAACATTTCTGTATGAAACTTCTAGATATTGTCTAAAATTGTTACATGTAAATACAGTACATTCTGTAAACTCCCCAAACATCAATTCATTAATATAATCAAACATTCAGTATTCACATGGTCCTATATTTTTGTATCCCCCCTTCTCTGGATAATCTAGAATATTCCTCATCTCCCAAGGAGTTTGCATATATTCTTCCCCTCTACCTTTGCTTCTGCTTGTTTTTCTGTCTGGAACATCCTCCTTTGTCTCTGCCATAGGTCACCCCCCAGCCTTCAAGACCTAGCTGAAATATCTGCATCCCTCTCTTTCAGATAGAAGGTACTAATCCTTCTTTTGAACTTTCACAGCATCTTTGTAACAGGTATGCATCCTAGTCCCTACATCCAGAGGTGTGAGAAATACCACCTTATTGCCTTTAATTTAATTTGATTTCAACTCTGAACCTACGTGATAGGGCAGGAGTCCCCAACCCCTGAGCCACAGACCAGTACCAGTCTGTGGCCTGTTAGGAAGCAGGCCACACAGCAGGAGGTGAGCAGTGGGTAAGTGAAGCTGAGCCCTGCCTCCTGTCAGATCAGCAGCAGCATTAGGTTCTTATGGGAGTACGAACCCTATTATGAACTGTGCATGTGAGGGATCTAGGTTGCATACTCCTTATGAAAATCTAATGCCTGATAATCTGTCACTGCCTCCCATCACCCCCAGATGGGACCGTCTAGTTGCAGGAAAACAAGCTCAGGGCTCCCACTGATTCTACATTATGGTGAGGATGTAATCATAACAGAAGTAAAGTGCACAATAAATGTAATGCACTTGAATCCTTCCCACCCCTCTCCCACATCTGTGGGAAGATTGCCTTCCATGAAACCTGTCCCTGGTGTCAAAAATGCTGGGGACGGCTGTCATAGGGAATAGACAGTAAATTCCACCTCAATCATTATTGGAGTCCCTTCTGCCTCTCAGCATCATACCTCTCCATTCTTTCATCTCTTCAATTTCCCAGAAGATGGAGAAGTACCTTTAATCTCCCTCTCATAATATCCCTGATGACTTTATAGTCTTGGGTCTTGGTGGCCCCTTGAGGTTGAGAAGTTCTTTCCTTCCAGATGGCATGTGAGGCTCAGGAATCCTTGCCAAAGCTGGCAACTCACTGCCGAAATTCTTGCTCTCTTATCCCAGGAAGTAGCCAGCCTGACTGAGATTGCACCATGAAGCACAGCATGGGTACCATTCACCTCCAGGAGCCACAGTCCTCTCTCTCCTTCCCATACCACTCCCCTGGTATGTCTCTCCCTCTTGCCTGCCCTTTAATAACTCCTGGTGTTAATCTCTTCCAAAAGCTTTCTAACTTACAAAAGACAGCTCTTCTTTTTGTTCCTGCAAAAATAATTCCCCAAGTTGCATGGTACAAATTGGAGTGATATCATGAGGCTCCACATTATGTCATCTTCCTGGGACAGGTGTGTTCAAGTTCCATTTCTTTTCATTCTTATTTCTTTAGTTAGCCATTTGCAATTGCAATCCTGTTCTGTGTTTGCTAAGATGACAACAGTATTCTGTCCACTATGCATAGTGAGGTGACTAAATCTCAACCTCAGAGCCAGACACCCTGGGAAGGAAGCCCTGCTACACACCTTACTAGTTGTGTGATCTTGGGTGAGATAACCAAACTGCTCTTTGCCCCAGTTTCTTCATCTCTAAAGAGGAGATAAAAATGTTTCTCAGCTCAGGGAATTGTTACAAAGAATAAAGAAATTAATATTTGTGGTGTGCTTAGAAGCCTTGCACTTGGCATCATATAGGTCAATAAGTAAAATATGAGGTAAATTGCTACTATTTCATTTTAAGATGTGACAACTTAACATAGGAAAGTTAATTGCCCAGGTTCACACAGCAGATAAGTGGGAGGGCAGAGAAGGGATTATAACTAAGTTAAGCAATTGAAATATCTTATGCTAACTAACTTTATTTAAAAATCCTTAACCTTCAAGCCATATAAATTATGCAGTAATTATCCTAATAAATTGTTAGTCTTATGTCCTGGCAAATAACTTGCTTTCTAAATCCAAACACAGTTTGCTTCCCTTATATATAATTGAATGACATTTTCTTCCAAATTACACAATCTCTTTTCATTGTTTATAGGGTCCTATTATGGAGTGAATCTATACCTAATTATAGTGGTTTGCTATTTCAGGATTTGCTTCTTTGACTCAGTAGATTTCAGAATATAGACTGATTGGGTATTTCAGCCTGTCAGTTTATAGAATTGATATGGACCAAAAGTTTTCCATTCCACATGAGAAATTTCATTCTAGTCATTAGATTTGACTAGTCACTATATTTGGTTTGCACATGCAGGGTGATCAACATTGCTCTGATTTTGAAAGTTCCCACAGCTGTTACTTCCTCACTGCTGAGTGGGTTGTCAGCACCCTTGCGATGTCTTCTCCCTGTAATGGAAGATTTAAAAAGAAGAATTATGATGTTACCAGCCTATATGATAAACTAGGTGTATTAGTCTGCTGAGGTGCCTTTAAAAATACCATATATGGAGTGACAATAACATATTTCTCACAATTCTCGAGCCTGGAAAGTCCAAGATCAAGGTGTCATTTGATTTGCTTCCTGGTAAGGGCCTGCGTCCTGGCTTGCAGATGGCCATTTTCTTGTGTTCTCACATAGTAGAGAGAGAGCTCTTTCTCCTTCTTTCTCTTACAATGCCACTAATCTCATCATAGGACTGCTACCCTCATGCACTCACTTAACTCTAATTAACTTCCGAAGGCCTCATCTCCAAATACCATCAAATAGAGGGTTAGGGCTTCAGAAGATAAATTTCTGGGGGACACAATTCCATCTATAGCACTAGGTTCAGGAGTTTATCATTTAGAGAATTAACAAGAGCAGTAAATGAACACATTATTGGTCTCTCAGAGCCCTCTCAGCCATTCAATTCATACAGCACAAACTTGCAAAATTTAGATTTGAAGTGAAGGCTGTATGTACATGAAATGTGTCAGAGATCCTAAGAGATCATTCGTTTGTTCATTTTCTAACCCATGATTTTTAGTGTTAGATGCTGAATATATTCAATGACCTGGCTGCCACTGGCCTGGTATAGCTTGTAATTTTGCTATTATATGACATCAATTTTAACCAAACATTCAGCATTCTCAGAGAAGATACAGTACTAATGTAAGTGCCTAGTTTGTATTTAAGAGAGGCATCTGAAACAGAGTTACCTGTTTCTTCTAGATCTGCATAATCCTGAAGAGTGGAAGCTATCATCATAGTGTGAATTTAGAGACCTAGAAATATCTCCTGCCCCCTACAGGAGGCAAACTTGACTGAAATGGTATTATTCTATCATCATACCACAGACTCATTTTTTAAGACATTTTGTAAACAAATAACTTGTATTATTGAATGCTTCTTTTGTACCTGATAATATACTAGATACTGGGAATACAAAGTGAACAAGACAGACAAATGCAAGACAGATACTGGGAATGTAAAACTTCCTGCACTGAGAGAGCTTACATTTGAGAAGGCTGGGAGTGAACAGTTACAAATAAACCAATAAATCAAAAAATAAATAAAATTGTAAATAGAGTAGGAAGAAAATAGAATGCAAGGATAGCATGAGTAATCAAAGATGATCTCTCTGAAGAAGTAAAATTAAGCTGAGATCTAAAGAATGAAATGGAATAATTATGTCAAGAGCACAGGAGTAAGTGTTCTAGGCCGAAGAAATAGAAAGTGCAAAAACCTTGATGGAGAGAGAGGCAAGAATTTGTAGGAGTCCAAACTACAGATAATTATGGTTTGAACTAGGGAACTAGGGTAGTGGTAGTGATAAGGAAGAGAAGTGGAGAGTATAAGAGTTTTACATATGCAATAAGATTTTTATGGCAGGAAAGTCAGGTCTTGATGATTTGGATTTAGGAGTGAGAGATGACTCCTAGGATTTTGATTTGACAACTGGGTGTATAGAACTCCTTTTTACTGTCAAAGGGAATAAGTGAAGAAGACCCATGTCTAGGGAGAAAAACCAAGAGTTCCAGTTTAAGTTTGAGAAACCTCTAGACATCCAGTGAGATGTCATGTTGTTAACTGGATGGATGAGTCTGGAACCCAGAGTAGAGGTCTGGGCTATAGAAATAAATTAGAGTGGTGAGCATGTGACTGCTATTTAATGTCATGAGAATTAACGGAATCACCTCAGAGGAGGAAGAAAAGGAAATAGAAAAGGTGGCCTAAGATAGAACTCTGAGGACCCATTTAGAGGTAAGAAAGAGAAAAAGATGACAGCAAAAGAGACTGAGAATAAACTGTTACCAAGGGAGGGAATTTAAAAAGGGGAAGAGGGGGAAGGGGTGGAGCATTATAGCAGAGCTAAGTGAGGTGATAGTTTCAACATACAAAAAATGTCCAAAACAAGAACATTTCAATGAAGAGATAAGGCTAGATGTCAGATTAGAATGGGTTTAAAGGTAAAGTAGGACTTAAGTTTCTGACAGTATAGCAGACTAAACACCAGAAACCTTGTCCCAGTAAAAACAACAAAAAAAAATTCTGGATAAAAAATTTTTTTGAGAAGCTTTATAATTACATAACTGGCAAGAAAGTAAAATCCTCAGATATGAAATGGACAAGGAAGCATGAATTCAGAGAGGTCAATAAATCATCTCGGACAAATGCAAGTCTTGGGTGGGATGGAGTTTGGGTTTTTGGGAACACCTATTCCAGCCTATGGCTGATCTAAGGTGGGATAATAAATCCAAGACCCATGCACAAAACTGAGACTACTGAATGACAATCCCTTTAGAGGCTGAGTTTAAAACAAATCCCACTCCACAGAAAGCCATAGAAAGGAAATGTGCCTTCTTAGCCTTGCTTCTGAATAGAGGGGGAGAATGTCTACCCTTGAGAATTTCCAACCACAAGACCACCCTTATGTATGCTTGGAGAAATAATTTATGCTATTCCCAAGTAGCTCAAAAAAACTTGAAGCTGAAAATTTAAAGTAGTGTTCAATTGGAAATATACTTCTTCTCCCTTTCCAAGCTTGGCAGTTGCAAATACAACTTAACTCTGAAAACAAAAAAAAATTTTAAAGAATTCACATGGATAAAGGTCCAAATAATTAACTTCACAATTTTAAAAATTACGAAACATCTGAAGAAATAAACCACCAAAAGCTAAAAACAACAAATTGTAGAATCAGACATAAAAATACTATAGATATTGGCTAACTCAGATTCAGTTGTATAAGTTTACTTGTTTAAATAAATAAAGTATAGAATTGAAAATGTTAGCAGAAAATAAGAAATTATCAAAAATTACCATACAGATTTGAAAAAAACCATAATTGAAACTAGACACTCAATAGACATATTAGACACAACTTACTAGGGAATTAGTTTGGAAGATAAATCTGAAAAAATAAAAGCTAGCATTCATGACAGGGATAGAAAGAGTTGGAAATATGAAAGACATATTAAGTGACATGGAAGATAGAGAGAGATGGTCTACCATATAGTTAATTGCATACTAGAAAGAAAATAGAAAAAATGATTAAGAGAAAATCTGCAAAGAAATATACCTGATGATTTTTCAAAAATTAATGAAAGATATGAATTTACAGATTTAAGAAATATAAAATAACATGTTTATCTAGAAAAAGTTTAGCAAAACTGCATAATATCTAAGAGAGATCTTAAAAATATCTTAAAAATATGAAAGACAAATGGCCTACATTGATTTATAAAACAATAGTTTTAAGATTTAATTTGTGGAGTTAATGAAAAACAAGCTAAAATGCTTAAGAAAATAAATCTTGTAAACCAAGAGGAAGGATTAGGTGTAAAACATACTAATTCCTTGTATTATTTAACAGGAAAGAAAAGTAAATAACTTACACTGTTTATATTGGATTATGTATGTATATTAAAATTTGTAAAGCCATCAACTAAATGAATGTAAGAGGGTATATGTGTTTTGAACAATAGGAAAAAATGAAATTTATTAAAAAAGTAAGAAAAGAAGGCAGGAAACCAAGAAAGAGAAGAAAAATGAATGCAGAAATGTTGGGACAAAAAAAAAAGCACCCTAAATAGGTAGTAATAAATCTGAATATATCAATAATAATAGTTGTAAGGTGAGCTCTCTAGTAAAAGGTATAGATTATCAAGACTGGATTTTAAAAAATCCAACCATATACTGTTTGTAAGATCATATCTAAAACATAAAGACCAAAACGTTTTAAGTAAAACAACAGAAAATGATAAATGCAATAATATAAGTTATATAATAATCGTATAAACAATAAAATGCAAACCAAGAGAAAGTTGGTATAGTTATATTGTGGAAGATAAAATCGACTTCAAGAAAAAAAGCATTATATAAGTTATGAGGTCATTATATCGTGATACAAGTTTTAAATCACTGGTAGGAGGATTGTGATGTGCTACCCATATCCCTCTTCAGGATTAAAGGACTTATCATTTCAGTGGCTGGGAGTGTCACCAGCAGATAGCCCTTAACTGCCAGTTTCTTAAGAAGACGGGGGCCTCCTCAACCAACTTCACACCCACTTTCCAGGGCAGCTCAAACGAAATGACTGATAGACCAACATGGTGCACTCCGAATGGTCAATCGATCTTTAGAACTCCCCACATGGTCAGTTCAGGCTTTCCATTGAGAATGCATCACATCTTGACTTCCCTCTCTGGCCAATCCTGCTCCCTCCCCTCCCCTCCCCTCCCCTTCCCTTTTGAGACAGAGTCTCGCTCTGTCATCCAGGCTGGAGTGCAGTGGCGCAATCTTGGTTCACTGCAACCTCCGCCTCTCAGGTTCAAGCGATTCTCCTGCCGCAGCCCCCCGAGTAGCTGGGACTACAGGTGCGGGACACCATGCCGAGCTAATTTTTGTATTTTTAGTAGAGACGGGGTTTCACCATGCTGGCCAGGCTGGTCTTGAGCTCCTGACCTTGTGATCCACCCGCCTCGGCCTCCCAAAGTGCTGGGATTACAGGCATGAGCTACTGCGCCTGGCCTTGCCTTTCTCAATAAACCTCCTGCATGCTAATTTCTGTCTCAGTCTTGGCTTCCTTGGAAACCCAATCTGCAACAAATGGTACCTGAGTGGCCAAAGAAAACAAACTTGGGAATGAGATTTTAAAGCTGTATCATTGACTCTCAGCTGGCCCTGGAGACTTCAAAACTGATGGTAGGTGGAACACATTTAGCTCCTGGCATAAAATAGAAAATGGTTTAATTGTTAGAACTTTCTGTGGTGGAGAGTTGGAATGATCTATCAATGGAAAGAAATGCACTAGTTTGCATGATGTTTCTAGCACTTGAAAATTACAGGAAAATAGTAACTATAAGGACAATGGAATTGGATGACCATTGCTAAGCTCAACTGATGCTCTAGAGAAAACAACAAAAAGCTAAGACCATTTAATTGACAATTAAAAGCTAAGTGTGAAAGCCAGAGGGTCTCCTTGGTAACATATAAAGCAACAATTCATCTTCTACAGTAGAAAGGCAGAGAGAGCCCAACACTTAGTTATGAAATTAGTAGAGCTCCAAAGTGAGTTAAACATCCAGCCAAAACATATCTGGTATGGTAGGACTTCAAAACTATAGAGGCATGGTGCTAATATATATATCTTTGGACTCAAATATTACAATGAGTGGCAAGGTTGGAGGGGCTGCTACAGGAGCCTGAGCCACAGAGAGTTTTGGAGATGGCTAATAGAACATGAGATCCCTAGGGGCTAAATAGATGGGCAGCCAACAAGGACATTACAGAATCTGTACTATCAAATGAAACCAACGACAAACAATCAGGAGGCTGAGGGCAGGCCACCCAAAAGTCATAATCCCTTGCCCAGCTTCTGGACAGGAGTCAGTTTTTGAATTCAGAACCCACTGAAAATCAGTTTTAAAGAAGTCAAGAAAAGGTTTATTCCCAATCCATAGTTATAAAACCACTAGTTGAGGAACATGCTTTTCACTATAATCAGAGCAGAAAACCATATCCTTTAGTTTTCTTCAAAAGAGCCGTCAGCACATTCTGAGTCACTTTTTTGCCCTTTGGACAGCCCTAAAAGAACATTTCTTTAGAAAACTGTTCCTGAGATGCAGTCTGGAGGTTTATTTTAGATGTGGCCACCTGTGTGAGGTGCAGGGGTTATTTTAAAAGGAGTTCTTTCATTTGTCTTTGTGGGAGAGAGGTTACTCCAATCAAAATGACATCACATTCATGGGGCACCTGTGAAACTGTGCAGAGGTTGGCTCAAGACAAAAGAGTTTGTTTCCTTTTTCTTTCCTATGGTAGTTAACTTGATTTCTTCTTTCCATAAATTCTTTAATTAGTTTAATAAAATACACAGCAAACTGTGAGTGCGCTTTTCTATTACTGCATTGGGTCCATTTATATAGTTAAGTTCAACTAACCAAAACATTGCATTTTGTGCAAAAAAAAAAAAATTAAAGGTTTCAGAGCAGCTAGCAAATGCTTAAAAGAAGATAAATTTTAAAGCAGTAAAGATTTCTTTGATAATTCTCACGTTCACATTCATTGCTCTTAAATAAAACCTCCTGTGGCATTCTGCAGGCAATGAAGAAAGCATAATCCCTCTTTATTTTTATTTCTGTAGCATGTGAAATTTTACTACTGAGGGTGTTAAGCTTTTTTTTTTCTTTTCTTTTTTTTTTTTTCAGATAGAAACAAGAGAAGGGATTTAGTATTAATTATTGCTGTGCCCTAAGGTTAATCAGTCAGCTGGGGACTGCCCCCAAATTAATGCAAGAATATAGCACTTTCCAGGAAAGGCTTAATTTTTCTTTTGAGGGGGGATCTCATGCAATAAACAGAAATAGTGCAGGAGGTCAGAATTTCAGATAGATTATGTGGTCAGATTCATTACTGACCGTTCAAATGACTTCAGGTTAAGTTTCAGTTATTCTTAAGAGGTAACATTCAATAGCTTCCTTCTTCCCTTCATTCTGCCCTTCCTTCTTCCCTTCCCTTCCCTCTTTCCTCCTTCTCTCTGTCTCTCCCTCCTTCAGTTTCATTCCTTCCTTCCTTCTTTTTTTAGCCAAACTCATAAGAATTAACCTTTCTTTCTTTCTTTTATTTTCTCTCTTTCTTTCTTTCCTTCTTTCTTTCTTTCTTTCTTTCTTTCTTTCTTTCTTTCTTTCTTTCTTTCTCTTTATTTCCTTTCTTTCTCTCTCTTTTCCCTTCTACCTTCCCTTCTTCCCTCCCTTCCTTCCCTTTTTCTTTCTTTCTTTCCTTTCTTTCTTTCTTTCTTTCTTTCTTTCTTTCTTTCTTTCTCTCTTTCTTTCTTTCTTTCTTTTCTCTTTCTTTCTCTCTCTTCCTTCTTCCTTTCTGCCTTTCTTTCAACTTTCAGTTATTATTAAAATTCAACTTTTTCCTTCCTTCCTTCCACCTTCTTCTGCACCTTTTACTTTGGCAAAGTGTGATTTTGCATATTTGATGCAAGCTCTAAACCATTTCAATTCTATAAGACCATTTTCTATGCCAGGTCTCTTAGTGTCTAAAATGTGACTACATAGTGGAGGTAGAGATCAAGATGATGAAAAAGGGAGGGAGCAATGAAGAAAGGAGGGGGGGAAGGTAAGAGAAATCAAGAAAATGAAAGAGAAAGTAGAGAAGAAAAAAAGAGAGAAAAGAAAGAAGAGCAATAAAGGGCAAGGAAAAGGGAATGGTGGATTAAGTATGCTGCTTGGAGAACAAGTGAATGAGAAAATAGACCTGGTCTTTATTTAAGGTTTGATCTTCTGCAATTGGCTGCTACTTTATGTTCTGAGTCTGATATTTTGTAAAAGCAGCCTTCTTTGAGGTGGAAAAATCAATCAATTATATAGTCAAGACTAGGATGATGTTGAGAAGATGTATATTAAACAGAAACAGGAATGGATTCTGATTTTGTGGACCTAAAGCTTATGCCATTTGGGTGATCCTCTTTGAGAAAAATAATTTAAAATTACTAATTCAAAATTAGATCTAAAAACGAATATTTATTTACAGTAAGAAATAGCCAAGTACACAAACTTTCAAAGCTAATACCACGAACGTCACAAACTCCAGAAAATAACATATGTATATTAACTGCCTGACACACCTCTATAAGAACTTTTTAATCTACATTTTTGACTACATACATCTAACTGCATCTTCATATGATAACAATTTTGTATAGCGAGAACAGAAAGATGTCTCAGGTTCTAGCATGGTTAATTGAATTTTTTTTAAATTTACCATTTATAGTTTAGAAAGGTTTCTTTCTGTCTTACAAATTGTCACTGGTGATAGCACAAAAAAATTTTAAAGTTAAAATACAGTTTACATATAGTGAAATGCACAGATATTGTGTGTATACTTATATGAGTGTTGAGAACGGCATGAACTGATGTAACCTCTATCTCTGTCAAGATATAAAATGTTTCCAACACTCTACAAAGATCTTTTATGTTCTCTTCCCAGTCAACCCCAAGACATTCCCCCTGAAAAGTCAACCAGTATTTTGTTTCACCATAGATTATTTTTGCTGCTTTTAGACCTTCTTGTAAATGGAGTCATAGAGTATACATATTCTTATGTGTCTGGACTCTTACTCAGCAGAATGCTTCTGAGGTTTATCTATGTTATTGCATGTATCAGTAATTCATTTCTTTTCATTGTTGTCTATTATTTCATTGCATAGATATACCATCATTTGTTTATCCGTTTTCTTTTCTTATTTTAATTTTTTAATTTTTTTATTATTATACTTTAAGTTTTAGGGTACATGTGTACAATGTGCAGGTTAGTTACATATGTATACATGTGCCATGCTGGTGCGCTGCACCCACTAACTCGTCATCTAGCATTAGGTATATCTCCCAATGCTATCCCTCCCCCCTCCCCCCACCCCACAACAGGCCCCAGAGTGTGATGTTCCCCTTCCTGTGTCCATGTATTCTCATTGTTCAATTCCCACCTATGAGTGAGAATATGCGGTGTTTGGTTTTTTGTTCTTGTGATAGTTTACTGAGAATGATGATTTCCAATTTCATCCGCGTCCCTACAAAGGACATGAGCTCATCATTTTTTCTGGCTGCATAGTATTCCATGGTGTATATGTGCCACATTTTCTTAATCCAGTCTATCATTGTTGGACATTTGGCTTGGTTCCAAGTCTTTGCTATTGTGAATAGTGCCGCAATAAACATACGTGTGCATGTGTTTTTATAGCAGCATGATTTATAGTCCTTTGGGTATATACCCAGTAATGGGATGGCTGGATTTCTAGTTCTAGATCCCTGAGGAATCGCCACACTGACTTCCACAATGGTTGAACTAGTTTACAGTCCCACCAACAGTGTAAAAGTGTTCCTATTTCTCCACATCCTCTCCAGCACCTGTTGTTTCCTGACTTTTGAATGATTGCCATTCTAACTGGTGTGAGATGGTATCTCATTGTGGTTTTGATTTGCATTTCTCTGATGGCCAGTGATGGTGAGCATTTTTTCATGTGTTTTTTGGCTGCATAAATGTCTTCTTTTGAGAAGTGTCTCTTCATGTGCTTTGCCCACTTTTTGATGGGGTTGTTTGTTTTTTTCTTGTAAATTTGTTTGAGTTCATTGTAGATTCTGGATATTAGCCCTTTGTCAGATGAGTAGGTTGCGAAAACTTTCTCCCATTTTGTAGGTTGCCTGTTCACTCTGATGGTAGTTTCTTTTGCTGTGCAGAAGCTCTTTAGTTTAATTAGATCCCATTTGTCAATTTTGTCTTTTGTTGCCATTGCTTTTGGTGTTTTAGACATGAAGTCCTTGCCCATGCCTATGTCCTGAATGGTAAAGCCTAGGTTTTCTTCCAGGGTTTTTATGGTTTTAGGTCTAACGTTTAAGTCTTTAATCCATCTTGAATTGATTTTTGTATAAGGTGTAAGGAAGGGATCCAGTTTCAGCTTTCTCCATATGGCTAGCCAGTTTTCCCAGCACCATTTATTAAATAGGGAATCCTTTCCTCATTGCTTGTTTTTCTCAGGTTTGTCAAAGATCAGATAGTTGTAGATATGCGGCATTATTTCTGAGGGCTCTGTTCCGTTCCATTGATCTATATCTCTGTTTTGGTACCAGTACCATGCTGTTTTGGTTACTGTAGCCTTGTAGTATAGTTTGAAGTCAGGTAGTGTGATTCCTCCAGCTTTGTTCTTTTGGCTTAGGATTGACTTGGTGATGCGGGCTCTTTTTTGGTTCCATATGAAATTTAAAGTAGTTTTTTCCAATTCTGTGAAGAAAGCCATTGGTAGCTTGATGGGGATGGCATTGAATCTGTAAATTACCTTGGGCAGTACGGCCATTTTCACGATATTGATTCTTCCTACCCATGAGCATGGAATGTTCTTCCATTTGTTTGTATCCTCTTTTATTTCGTTGAGCAGTGGTTTGTAGTTCTCCTTGAAGAGGGCCTTCACATCCCTTGTAAGTTGGATTCCTAGGTATTTTATTCTCTTTGAAGCAATTGTGAATGGGAGTTCACTCATGATTTGGCTCTCTGTTTGTCTGTTGTTGATGTATAAGAATGCTTGTGATTTTTGTACATTGATTTTGTATCCTGAGACTGCTGAAATTGCTTATCAGCTTAAGGAAATTTTGGGCTGAGACGATGGGGTTTTCTAGATATACAATCATGTCATCTGCAAACAGGGACAATTTGACTTCCTCTTTTCCTAATTGAATACCCTTTATTTCCTTCTCCTGCCTAATTGCCCTGGCCAGAACTTCCAACACTATGTTGAATAGGAGTGGTGAGAGAGGGCATCCCTGTCTTGTGCCAGTTTTCAAAGGGAATGCTTCCAGTTTTTGCCCATTCAGTATGATATTGGCTGTGGGTTTGTCATAGATAGCTCTTATTATTTTGAAATACATCCCATCAATACCTAATTTATTGAGAGTTTTTAGCATGAAGGTTGTTGAATTTTGTCAAAGGCCTTTTCTGCATCTATTGAGATAATCACGTGGTTTTTGTCTTTGGTTCTGTTTATATGCTGGATTACATTAATTGATTTGCGTATATTGAACCAGCCTGGCATCCCAGGGATGAAGCCCACTTGATCATGGTGGATAAGCTTTTTGATGTGCTGCTGGATTCAGTTTGCCAGTATTTTATTGAGGATTTTTGCATCAATGTTCATCAAGGATATTGGTCTAAAATTCTCTTTTTTTGTTGTGTCTCCATCAGGCTTTGGTATCAGAATGATGCTGGCCTCATAAAATGAGTTAGGGAGGATTCCCTCTTTTTCTATTGATTGGAATAGTTTCAGAAGGAATGGTACCAGTTCCTCCTTGTACCTCTGGTAGAATTCGGCTGTGAATCCATCTGGTCCTGGACTCTTTTTGGTTGGTAAGCTATTGATTATTGCCACAATTTCAGATCCTGTTATTGGTCTATTCAGAGATTCAACTTCTTCCTGGTTTAGTCTTGGGAGAGTGTATGTGTCGAGGAATTTATCCATTTCTTCTAGATTTTCTAGTTTATTTGCATAGAGGTGTTTGTAGTATTCTCTGATGGTAGTTTGTATTTCTGTGGGATCGGTGGTGATATCCCCTTTATCATTTTTTATTGCATCTATTTGATTCTTCTCTCTTTTTTTCTTTATTAGTCTTGCTAGCGGTTTATCAATTTTGTTGATCCTTTCAAAAAACCAGCTCCTGGATTCATTGATTTTTTGAAGGTTTTTTTGTGTCTCTATTTCCTTCAGTTCTGCTCTGATTTTAGTTATTTCTTGCCTTCTGCTAGCTTTTGAATGTGTTTGCTCTTGCTTTTCTAGTTCTTTTAATTGTGATGTTAGGGTGTCAATTTTGGATCTTTCCTGCTTTCTCTTGTGGGCATTTAGTGCTATAAATTTCCCTCTACACACTGCTTTGAATGTGTCCCAGAGATTCTGGTATGTTGTGTCTTTGTTCTCGTTGGTTTCAAAGAACATCTTTATTTCTGCCTTCATTTCGTTATGTATCCAGTAGTCATTCAGGAGCAGGTTGTTCAGTTTCCATGTAGTTGAGTGGTTTTGAGTGAGATTCTTAATCCTGAGTTCTAGTTTGATTGCACTGTGGTCTGAGAGATAGTTTGTTATAATTTCTGTTCTTTTACATTTGCTGAGGAGAGCTTTACTTCCAAGTATGTGGTCAATTTTGGAATAGGTGTGGTGTGGTGCTGAAAAAAATGTATATTCTGTTGAATTGGGGTGGAGAGTTCTGTAGATGTCTATTAGGTCCACTTGGTGCAGAGCTGAGTTCAATTCCTGGGTATCCTTGTTAACTTTCTGTCTTGTTGATCTGTCTAATGTTGACAGTGGGGTGTTAAAGTCTCCCATTATTAATGTGTGGGAGTCTAAGTCTGTTTGTAGGTCACTCAGGACTTGCTTTATGAATCTGGGTGCTCCTGTATTGGGTGCATATATATTTAGGATAGTTAGCTCTTCTTGTTGAATTGATCCCTTTACCATTACGTAATGGCCTTCTTTGTCTCTTTTGATCTTTGTTGGTTTAAAGTCTGTTTTATCAGAGACTAGGATTGCAACCCCTGCCTTTTTTTGTTTTCCATTTGCTTGGTAGATCTTCCTCCATCCTTTTATTTTGAGCCTATATGTGTCTCTGCACGTGAGATGGGTTTCCTGAATACAGCATACTGATGGGTCTTGACTCTTTATCCAGTTTGCCAGTCTGTGTCTTTTAATTGGAGCATTTAGTCCATTTACATTTAATGTTTATCCGTTTTCTTGCTGATGATTATTTGGGCTGTTTTCTTGTTTTTAGTATTGTTACAGTTACTATGTATGGCTGCATAAAAGTGATTTAAAATATCATTTATGTTGCTCATGAATCCGCAACTGGGGCAGGGCTTAGTGGGGATGGCTTATCTCTGCTCCATTCAGCATTGGCTGGAATGTCTCCAAGTCTCGGACTTGGAGTCTTCTGAAGGCTCACACATTCATATGTCTGTTGGTTGATGCTTTCAGTTAGCTGAGACTTTGGCTGGAGTTGTTGGCCAGGCAATTCAAACAACCTCTTTAAGTGGCTTTGGTTCCCTACAGCACAGTGGCTGGGTTTCAAGTGCTAATATCCCAAAAAAGAAAGACAGCCAATCACAAGCCATTCTGCCTTCTGTGACCTCTCCTCAGAAGTCACAGCAGCACTTCCAGCATTTCCAGAGCATTTTCTTTGTCAAAGTGGTCATAGAGTCCTGCCCAGGATCAAGGAAAGGAGAAATAGACTTTACTTCTTAGTGGGAATGGAAGTTATAGAGGTGTGGCTATTTAAGCAATACATAATCTGTCTTAGCTATGATAAGCAAAGATGCCCTTCCTGAACATTTTTGTATGGGTCTCTGACAGTAACAAAAGTAGCTTATATTTTCTTTAATATAATTACTTATTTGCTAAGTGTGATGGTTTATTTTATATGTCAGTTTGACAGCACCACAGGGTGCCTTGATTTAATTTTGCTTGTGGTGTGTCTATAGGATTGTTTCCAAATGAATTTAACATTTGAATCAATGGACTCAATAAAGTAGATTGCCCTCCTCAATGTGGCTGAGCATCACTCAGTCCTTGAGGACCTGAATAGAACAAAAGGCAGAGTAAGGAGTAATTCACTGCTTAATTTCCTGCCTCACTGCTTGAGCTGGAACATCTTATCTCATGTTCTCCAGCTCATGGCCTGGGATTTACAGCATCAGCTCCTTTGGTCCTCAGGTCTTCAGACTCAGACTGAATTACATCACTGGCTTCTCTGGGTCTCCAGCTTGCAATTGGTAGATAGTGGGACTCAGCCTCCATCATCATGAAACTACCTTTGAAAAGATTATGACAGTGAGAGAAATCTAACATGGCTGGCTGTCCTCACTCATTCCTGGGAGTAGGCCAGGCTAACCATGGGAGGAATTTAGTTTATAGTTTAAAGCAAGGTTAATAAGAGCCCTTCCCAAAACTAAACTGCCTTTGTAAAACTAATGAAAGTACACAAGTTTAGGATTATGAGAGACACCTGAATTCTGCTAAGATATAGGCACAGTTAAACAATGACCAGTCATTGTTCCAGAGGTTATAAGATTTGTGACTTCTCCAATTGTTCATATAGATAGTATCACTATTGTAGAACCTAAGATTGGTCTTTTGAGATGTTTTTCAATCTTTTGCATTCTGGTAATTGACTAACCCCACCAGGGCACATGATGGTGGCCCCCTACTCAGAGGCAGACTCAGTGCACAAAGACCGTTTTCCACACCCCTGTGATTACATCCCCAACCAATCAGTAGCACCTATTTCCTAGTCCCCGTGCCACCAAACTATCCTTGAAAAACCCGAACCTCTGAGCCTTCAGGGAGCCTGATTTGAGTGATAACTCCAATTTTCCCATGTGGCCAGCCTTGTGTTAATTAAACTCTTTCTTTACTGCAATACTGTGTTCTTAGTGAACTGATTTTGTCTGTACAGCTGGCAGGAAGGCCCTGTCAGGTTACTACAATCACATCAGCCAGTTTCTTAGAACAAATATCTCTCTCTGGTGCATCTCTTCCGCCATATACACATGTATACATATATGTGTGTGTATGTGTGTGTTTCTCCTGCTGGTTCTGATTAATACAGGAAGTAATTGATTTCTCTGTGTGTAACCTGTCTTCTACTGCTGCTGCTCCTCCCACCCTCCATCACCCTTCTCACCCTGCTGGGGCTCCAACCCCTCACAGTTGGCAATCCTCTTGTGTGGACACCTTTTCATCTCTCCCAGCCTCTGGTTCTCTGTGCCTGGTCCCACTCCCACATGGATGTCCTTCTACCCTACTTGTGCTGTGACACCCTTACTAGGCCACTTCTCCCCTGGGATGCCCTCTTTTTCCTGCTTGGGCTCTGACACTCTACACTGGACTACACCAAGTTAAGACAATGGTCTTTACTGATTGCCATTAACATATCTTACTTTTGTGAATGGAATATGTGTGACTATATGAACAAATTTCTAGATTTCTCTCAGGGCCCTGAAAGGGGCCATGCAAGTGAATGACCCTTTCATCATAGAGTTATCTTTAGTCTTATTAATACTCCTTCCTGCCATAAACATTGTTAAAGAAGAAATGGTTGTGGCTCATACCTTCCGCTTCTCACATTACTTCTATGACATATTCATTTTGTGGTGCTTGATTCTGCACATACTTAGACCATTTATATATACAGTTGTCCATCAGTATCCATGGATCATTGGTTCCAGGACCTTCCTTGGATACCCGAATCCACAGATGCTTAAGTCCCTGATATAAAATGGTGTAGTGTTTGCATATAACCTATGCACATCCTCCCATATACATTAAATCATTTCTGGATTACTTACAATACCTAATATAATATAAATGTTATGTAAATAGTTGTTATATTGTAACATTTAGGGAATAATGACAAGAAAAAAACATCTATACCTGTTCAGTACAGACACAATTTTTTTTCCAAATATTTTCCTCCTATGGTTGGCTGTGTCCACAGATGTGGAACCCGTGAATATGAGGGGCTGACTGTGTCTGGCACTGCCTCAGAATGTCCTGTCATCTTGGATAGAAAACAACCCTGTTTCTAAAGTTTTTCCAGTTTACCATTTGAATATTTTACTTGACTTTTAACCATATTGTGAGTTAATTCAACATTTATTAAATACAAGGGCATTTTACTCCTGTGCTGATGCTATAGGGAATCACAAAGAAATAGATGGTCTGGGCTTTGAGTCACCTGTAGTCTTGTTAGAAAGTCAAGAATATTATTAACAGAAGCCTCTAAGGAAATAAGCCAATAGCCTAGAGGAAATATATTACCTTACACATATACATCAGGGTTCTGACAATGTCCTAAAAAAGAGATTTAACTAAAGAGAATTTCATAGAGAATTTCACATAGAGCTTTTATTTTTTTCCCCCAGAGATATACACAGACAATATACACAGACACACAATATATTTGGCTACTTGAGTCTAGCTCCACATGAAGTCAACACCAACTCCAAGCCTGAGGGGCATGAAAAGGAGGGAGTGTGACTAGAGCCTGGTGGCTGCATTGTGGACAAAGGCTGCCCAGCAGGAACTGCAGTCTTAGTTGGGGGTGCAGTCCCTGAAAGGATCACAGTGTCAAAGTCGAAAGAGACTCAGGGAAGAAATACCCTGGCACCTTTCTCTACTCACTGTCAGATATCCCAGAAGCCAGAAGGCAAGGGAGCCTGGGTGTGCAGTCCTTGTGGTCAGCCACCTCCACTCCCTGTACATAACAGTGCAGAAAATGTAGAGCATGGCTGTTGGGGGTGGGTGGAGAAGAACCAGCATTTCATGTTTCCTCATTTCTTTTTACCCTGTATATGAGTATTATAGTCCTGCAGTTACAAATTGTCACAAATGTAGTGGCTTAGAAAAACATAAACTTATTACCTTACAGTTCTTGAGGTCAGAAGTCTAAAATGGGTCTCACATGACTAAAATCATAGCAGGGCTCTGTTCCTTCTGGAGACCCTAGGGGAAATCTGTTTTTATGTGTTTTTCAGCTTCTAGACACTGCCTTTGCCCCTTGATTCATGGCCCTATTCCTCCATCTTCAAAGCTGGCAACAGGCTGAGTCCTCACATTGCCATATCTCTGGTTCTCCCTCTTTCGTCTCCCTCTTCCACTTATAAGGACCCCTGGGATTACATTGGGTCCACTTGGATAACTCAGAATACAAGGTCATTGGATTAACAACCTTAATTCCATCTGCAGCCTTCAGTCCCTCTATGCCATGCAACCTCACATACTCACAGGTTCTGGGGATCAGGGTGTGGACGCATCTGGGGGGATTGTTATTCTCCCTTCCTCACACTATTAGTTCAAAGAAATTTCCTAGGAATATTGTGACTCTGCTTTTGCCTCACAGTCTTGCAGGTAAGGCAATGATCAAGGGCCCAACTAACTACACTTTGAGGATTGTCACATACCTCCTCTCCTGGTGTTTGTTATTAAATGAAACATAAAGGTGTCACTAGTGGGGTGAGGAGAGTCATAGATCTGCAGGAGTTCCATTTGAACACAGTGTTGAATTAGAGAATTTATCGGCTGTTCCTTCAATTGGCACTCTGTGATGTTTCAGGTTCTGGCCTTAGGAAAAGATCACATGATAAGGCAATCCTCTTCAACAGGCATTCAGTCAAGTCTCTGAGGGAAGACCAGCCTATATAGTGAGTTATGTGTCTTTCCAGCCTGAGGGAAGGAAATCTGCCCTAACTTCTTCATATTTGTACTTTCAGGACTTAAAACTTCTTTACAAGTTACAGATTCATTTGAGGACTAAAGAAAATGCCCATTTTGCCCTGAGGGAGACTGGAGAGGCTGGTGGTAGCCTTTCTCTATATTCCTAACTGATGGTCCCTAAGCTGTCCAGGCTCCCTTAGGGCAACTGACTGCTTCAGATTGAAGCTCGACTAACTGGTGCATGCGTAACATCACACTGTGTATGTTAAAGTCTTCAAAACTTTATGACAGGCACCATAAAAATCAGCAGTGAAACTTTTAAAGCCCACTAAGGAAAACTGCAGAGCTGACTTTTTTTGTTGATCAAGAAAAATAATTTGTGGCCTATGAAGTCGAATTTTCCTGGCTAGTGTAGGTCTCCCATACTATAAATATGATATAGATTAAATGGAAACTGATTAGTATTTGCTGAATTATAGTATTAGGTAGTATAACCTTTTCTTCAGGTATAGCTTCAATGGAGGAATTACCCTGAGCCTTTGATTAGATGGGCGTTGGGAATTTTAAGAGGGCCCTGTAAAGAGTATCCTTTGAACAAACTGAGATTAAAGATAAAAGAGGAAGGCAAATGGAAGGTTAACTAGTATATCAAGTGTAACTCCTTTAGCGCATGTGATACATGGAATAGTGGTTAGAGCCTGGACTCTAGGACCACACGGACTACATTTGAATCTCAGGCATGCTGCTTCCCGGCTGTGTCATCTTAGGGAAAATTACTTCCACTCTCTGTGTTTCATTTTCTTCAATGTAAAATGAGGGTCACAAGAGTATGTCTACAACTGATCGCTGTAAGGATTAAATACATTTATATGTAAAGCACTTAAAGTTCCAAGAGGAGAAAAAAATGCCTGGTGTGTAGTAAGCAGTATGTATTAGCTATTATTGTTATTATTATTATTTCAAAGGGTAGATTGGAGGATATGGTTCTCTTGGTAGGAAAGTAATCCTACTATTACTGAATCCCAGAATTAATGAGATTAAACATCCTCTATCCCCCAGTGGAGTCATGGCAGTCCTGGACCAGGCTGGCCTTGACTGAGGAAGGCCTACTCGGGTGAAACTTGCAGCAGAGAGGCTGGGAAATTCCCCCCACTGCAGGAAGCTTGCTCTCAAGAGAACAAAAGAAAGTAGCTAAACTGAGCATGCTCTGTTTATTCTTCTCAAATTTACAGATAAGATGAGTTAGTCTATGTCCTCTGAGATGAAGTGAAAAAAGACAGGGCGGCCAGGAGTATTTGGAAAATACCTCCCCTCATAGAAGAAGAGAAAAAATGTTCCTCATGGCAGTTAATTTTTTCCATAGGATACTGCAAGTTTCCTTTTAATTGGAATTAATAAAAAACCAATTTTATCATAAGTGTAACATGGATTTTTGAACTTGCAACTGAAAAGAATTGGAGTAGCAGGCTTCAGGCTTAGAAGGCGCAGATATTTAAACATTTTGAAAAAACTCCGTTTCTTTCTTATTCTTGCTTGTCTTGTTCATGTTCATTTTCTCCTCTTGCCAGCAAATTTTTTTCACAAGGCAAGGAAGAAGGTCTTTTAACTCTGTGACACAAAAGTCAAGACCCCTTCAACCTGGAAAACCCTGAGCAGATTCTCTGATTGGTCAACTTGTCACATGCCTGCCTCTGAACCAATTCTTTGGCCAGGAGAATGGTCCGGCTGTGTCACCTAACCATCTCCCTGTGGTCAGAGAATAGTGTTTTGTGATTGGCAGCTCCACAAGAATCATGCTAAACTTGGGAACCTTTCAGCTATTTCCGAGGTTCCTGGGAGAGTCCCATGTCTTCCCCCCTCTGCTTGCATTGTACCTGGTGCAATATTGAATTAAGGAGTGAATAAATGAATGAGTGAATATTACTTGGCCATCTCTGACTCTATCAATAGTTTTTATATTTTAGGCTATTTGCTATCTATTTTCCTAATCTCTAAAATGTATTTTAAAATCTACTTTTCTGGATCTTTAATAAATAATTATAATTATAGCCTTCGGTGGGGATTTGTGGAAATAAAGAATATGCTTTCTAATATGTCTTTCAGCAATCAATTAATCATTAGGAACATCTCTGAGTTCCTGGAAATCTCTTAAATCAAGGGAGCCATTTGGCCAGATAAAGAGTGAGAAGAGGCCAATGTAGTTCAATGTATTTCAGAAACAATTGATTTTTTTTTTGAGAGTCTCACTCTGCCACCCAGGCTGGAGTGCAGTGGTGTGATTACAAACAACAGATTTTTAAAACTTATTTATATTTGAGTCTCACCAGCTTCCCATGTACTCTTTGTCCAAATACAGTTTTGTGCCATAAGATAAAATAATGTTCAACCTATTATTTGATAAGCAATAGACTATAATGCTTAACTTAAATCCTCCCTTGCAAATGGAAAGATTTTTTTCACTCTCTGATTTGGATGTAAGAACAGAGCCAGAAATTAAGAATGGCAGGGCAGGTGGTTTACTTGGGAACACAATCCTAGGGAGCAGGAATGCAAGGGAGGAAGTGAAATAACACAGGAGAAAATTTTGGCCACTGTTACAGGTGACTCTTCCTTCTGGGGACACTTATGAAATGTGTCTGGGAGCGCATTCTCCACTGGCCAAGGCTGGCTCCAAGGGCATTAATTTTTCTCTCATTCCTTATGTGTACACATGTGAGTTCCAAGTATGTTTTTCTGAGTAGCCCGCCCTGGGATGCCACAGAAATTCCAGATAGGAGGAAGAGGTATGCCATGCAGGCCCAAGCAGAGGCTCTGTTCTCTTGTCCTTGTTGAATCTGGCCAGACTGTGCTGCCCTAGTTGCCATAGCAGCAGCTGGAATAAGAGATGGAGCGGATCAGGAGGACTTGGAAGTGGAGCACAAGAGGTGTGTGATGTGCTGATGCCTTCGGCTGTACATTTCTCTAATGAATTTATTTAAAGTCAGCAGCCTGCCTCCTGACATCGTTAACAATCTCCCTCACGTTCTCACCCACAACTAGTGTATTAGCCAGGGAGTATAGTCTTAGGCAGGGGCTATGCATGGATCTGTTCTCAGAACTTCTTCGTAGGCTCTTCCCTGAAGTTCCCAGAATCTACTAACAGTTACTAATTTGCTCTTGTCTCTTCTAGTCTGTAGTAGTTGTGATGATTGATTTTATGTGTCAACTTATCTGGGCCTCAGTGACCAGATATCTTGTCAAATATTATTCTGGATGTTTCGAGAGCATTTTTGGATGAGATTTGCATTTCAATTTGTGGGCTTTGAGTAAAGCAGATTGCTGTCCATGATGTGGATGGGCCTCATTCTATTAGCTGAAGGTCTGAATAAATAAAAGGCTAACCTCCTTTACCGCTTCCAAAGAAAGAGGGAATTCCCTGGAAGACTGCCTTTGGACTCAAATTGCAACTGTTTCCTAAGTCTCTAGTGTTTTGGGCTGCCCATCAGATTTTGGACTCACCAAGCCTCCACAATTTCAAGTGCCAACACCTTAAAATCAACGTCTATCTATCTGAAAGCTTTGTAGTTCATTTGGAGAATGATTTGCCATATTTGCACACACACACATATATATGTGTGTGTGTGTGTGTGTGTGTGTGTGTGTGTGTGTGTATAGAGAGAGAGAGAGAGGGAGAGAGAGAGAGAAACAAATATATATATTTTCCAAGAAGAAAAAAATATAATTTTTTCCAAGAAGTATATTTTCTTGGAAGATTTTCCAAGAAGGACTGTGGCATGTTGGGTTGAGATAGAAGCTGATGTCAAACAAGGATGATAGAGGTAGAAATAAATAGAGTGATGTCAATTTGTCAATGGTCTGCTCTTCAGAGTTATAACTATGTTTGCTTCCTCTGGAGGAACCTGTAACTGCAGGGGCTCAGACAGAGAAACAAGGACTCATTTTATCCAAAGACCACTAAAGGACCTTCAACTAAGTCTATCTATCTACAGCTCCCTAAGACTGGCAGAATCCCAGTTCAAAATCATATGCCCCACAGGTTGCTGGCCACTGCTTCAGCTGTTAGCTTTCTAGAGATTATTTGTAGCTTTAGCTCCCATTCTGTGTTAGCTTGTAATAGCTTCACTGTATTTCAGATTTTACAGACATGTCAAAAATGGATAGGTCATGTTGCTTTTGGAACAGTTTACCAAATTCAGCTATTTTATCTGGGATATCCATAGAGACTCCTTCAGACAGGAGCCTGTGTACTTGGTAATGTTTGTTAAGCAAGTTGATAGAGTTGATGAACCCAAGCCGCCAATTCAGAAAGTCTTTGATTTTCTTTGTTCGCTTGGATGCAAGGTGACTTTCATCTAGAGCACACACAGTTTTCAGGAGCTTTAGAACCTGTGATTTCTGCAAAGTGGTTATTTCAACAAATGGCTTTGAGAGCCTGAGCTAATATGTCCTTTGACAAGATGGTAGGAAAACATATGCTGATATATGTTGGGGTCAGATTCAACTCTGTGAGGAAGTAACCTTCTTTGTCCGAAAGTCTACCTGGACAAAAGTATCTGTTATTTGGCCTATGGTATAATCATTAAAGAGTGGTGGCTTCAGAGTCAGAAGGCTGTGCTTGAACAACAGATGCATTTTGTGATCTTTGCTTAGCCCTGTTACTGCCGGAGTCCTCAGTTCCCTTATTTGTAAATTATAGACATGAACAGTACCTGCTCCGTTAGGTTGCTGCAAGGATTACAAGAGATAATGCACATAAAGGGATGCAGCAGATGTTCCCAGATGTTCTCAGTTCATGAAGCCCTCAGGGTCTCAAGCCAAAAGAAGTACCCAAGAGTTCCATTTATTAAGTAGTTAGGTCCATGTAACTTAATACATATTTTTGTCCTAACAACTTAGTGGCTTCTTTAAAAGATAATATATGTGCACTGAAATTAAAAATATACGTTTCATTCTTAACCACAGTTTCTTACCAATGTGAGGTATGTGTCTATTGGGCACTGATAAATTTCTCAGACAAAATCAGATTGGACATTGCTGCTCTCACTTCCTGTTCTACATTGATTTTCCAGCACCACTTGCTTTTTTATCACAGTATTTGTGGAACATCCAGCTTCACGAAGATTTAATGTCATCCAAAAGAATGTAGCATGATCTAATGTTGAAACTGTTAACTTCCTCCAATTAGTAGCTCATGCGGCATTCTGTAGATGGAGAGGATCATGATTATCATGTAAAATATCCTCCAGAGCTCCTTTAAGCTCACTATGATGACCTGAGGCAGGATACTATTTGACCACCTCAGGATGACACGGTGTCTGGCACTTTGGTGTCCCTTCTGGAGTCCACCTTTCCTACTCCAGTTGCATATGTTCTTAAAAGTTCTGGGCTGGGCGCAGTGGCTCACGCCTGTAATCCCAGCACTTTGGAAGGCCGAGGCAGGTGGATCACCTGAGGTCAGGAGTTTGAGACCAGCCTGATCAATATGGTGAAACCTTGTCTCTACTAAAAATACAAAAATTAGCCGGGCATGGTGATAGGTGCCTGTAGTCCCAGCTACTCGGGAGGCTGAGACATGAGAATTGCTTGAACCCAGGAGGTGGAGGTTGCAGTGAGCCAGGATCACACCACTGCACTCCAGCCTGAGTGACAGAGCAAGACTCTGTCTCAAAAAAAAAAAAAAAAAAAAAAAGAAAAAGAAATGTCTTCTGGGTGATTTATATGTATAACATGCCTTGTTGTGGAGGGATGACATTTCAGCAAAGACAATGACAGGCTTATGTAATCTGATTAAATCATCATTACTCAGTATGGGTAGCTGCTTTGCACAGCACCATTCTGGATGTCCTTTCTGTCTGTGTTGCACTCCTGAGAACACAGCATGAATGATGTCCCTGGGAGTACAGACTGGAGACCCTGGAGAATAGGGCTATGGGCATGTTGCTAAAAATTGCTATGGGTTTTCTCATTTTATCATTTAGAATACCTTAATAGGCTTAGGAGAGGCAATATAGCTTAATAATAAATTTGTTTCTGGAGGTTGTGTTAAAATCTTGGCTCTGTTGCTTAACACTGGTGTGATCTTGATAAAGTTGCTTAAGTCTTTATCAAGAACACTGGTGTGATCTTGATAAAGTTGCTGAATGTCTGTTTCTCCATCTACAAAACGAGTTGGTAATAGTCACCTACCTCACTGAATTCTCAGGAGGATAAGTTATTGAATGCATACGAAGTCCTTACAATAGTGCCCGACACCTGCTAAACATTAGCTTTTATTTGTAAGTACTATTATCTTTCTTTTATATATTATTATTTATAATAGAAAATTAAGGCTTTAGAGATATTAAATAGCTTGTCTGAGTTTTATGGCTGGTAAGCAGTGATGCTGGTGTTTGTCTTTTTCCCATTACAGTGTTCTGGAGGGAATGTTTTTCTCCAATTTGAGAGGGCTAAGTGTCACCTTCTAGATAAACAGTTATAACTTCAGGGTACCGAAATACCTTATTATTTAAACCCTTATGATTTAGGGAATGTATAACCCATTTCAAAGTCTGTTATCAGCTCTTTTTACACATAGCTCTTTAATTTTGCCAACCTGTGGCTCAATAGTAAATCAATACAACAATGTTGTATTATAACATTTCGCCATGACCAGCTTATTTCTTTACTTAAGGGAAGTCCAATGTCTAGTCTTGTACTTTCCTTTCGTGCAACAAGACTACCAAGGCCAGTCAAAAAATTATGGCATGTGCATATCTAGTTTCCCTTGTGTGTTTCCATCCATGCCTATCCGCCTTAAGAAATAACAGTGAATGATCTCATTTTACACAGTATCTTTTAACCAAATGGCTACACTGAAAAAATGGTAAGAGGATTTCAGACTTTTGGCTTGGAGGAGATAGATAGAAATATGCAAAGCCTGAGCCCTTTGGGCAATACCATGGATATGTTATTTCAGGTAGTCTTACCTGCAGAAAGAGCCTGAGATCCTAATGCTCAGGGTGGGACACTGGGACAGGGACCTGAAGGAAAGGGAAGGACAGAGAAGGAGGGGAAGAAGCAGTAGACTTTTTCTTTCATAATTAGCTGAGTCCAGCTTCATAGGCAGCCATTTAAAGGGGAGAAAACCCAAGAGAAAGGCTACTGACATTTACTGATTCCCTGTGCCAGGTATTGTGCTAAGCATTTTCACTTCTTAACCTTTTATGTTCCACAAAATAATACTGCAATATATATACTATTAAGCAGAATATACTGTTGAGGAAATCCAGAAAGCTCAAGTAAGTTGATTAAGATGCAGTGCTTGCTCACAAGTGATATAGCTGGAGTTCCAAAGAATCTCTGCCCCTGCATTGTGTTATGGAGTACTTGACATGGCTATTAAAAACGCTCCTATTTATGTTTGTTTTAATATAGCCAGTTGTGTGTAAATTTGCAAGAGTTAATTATGCTATGACTTCTTAACTCTGAGTTAAGTGACATCACATTGGTAGCTTGAAATCAGCCAGCATAGTGTCTCAGTCTTCTTGGGCTACAGTAACAAAACACCACAGATCAGTGGCTTAAACAACAGACATTTATTTATCACAGTTCCAGAGGCTGGGAAGTACCAGACTAGGAATTGATTTGGTTCCTGGTGAGGGCTCTCTCCCTGACTTGCACACAGCTGCCTTCTTGCTATGTCCTCACATGGCAGAGAGTGGAAGCAAGCTCAATGGTGTCTTTTCTTAGAAGGGCACTAATCCCTTCATGATGGTCCCACCTTTATGACTTCATTTTTCTTAGAAGGGCACTAATCCCTTCATGATGGTCCCACCTTTATGACTTCATTTAAACTTAATTGCTTACCAAAGGCCCCATCTCCAAATGCCACTGGGGGTTAGGGCTTCAGCAGGTGAATTTTAGGGGGAAACAAATTATTCCATAGCATGGTGGCAGCTTTAAATTGCATATTTACACTATGGAAATTGACAAACATTGCTTGACTTCCTGGAGTAATATACTAACCTTTTCCTTGGGATGATGCATAATAGTAAGGTTTGGGATGGTAGAAGGGTATGTTTCTATATGGTAAAAAAGGAGAAGGGCATCTGTGGAAGGGCACAAGAAAAAGAAAAACACTGGTGAATTATCAGGCAGATTAATTTTAGGAAAAAGATTTAGGAAAAAGCAGGGGCAAATGCTGCAGATGAAAGTTGAACAACTGAAAATTGATTCCCTTGAAATTATTATATAGGTGCTTGCATTTACCCTAGACAATCTTTGTGTATCCCCAGAGATATGTGTAATCTAGTTTGAAGACTACCAAAGAAAAGATCTAGTATTAAAAAGAAGAAAGACACGGTCCCTTTAAGTAGCTCACAGTGTAATGGGAGGGATAGATAAGGAAATAGACAATTCAAATAAAGTATAAATCATGTTACAGAGTCTCATCAGGTCCCTTCTACACGAGGTGAGAAGTTTGCAAGGCTCAGAGCATATATTCATCCACAGCATGTTACCCTTCCTTTGGGTCATGGTCAGAATACCTGGGATCCTGGAATTCTAACTCTGCACAGCCTCTTTCCTGGACTTGTCCTCCTGAGGACACTTGTGTGCACCTGCTAGGCCTGAAGGGTGGGGAAGGGAGAGCTGTTTGTGGGGAATGTGGGCAGAGGGTGAGATTGCAGACCGGGATATCTACATATGGACATGAGTCACCTGACGTGCTGGATGAAGCCAGGGGTGAGAGGATAAAGGAAGAGGACTCTGGGTTAGGGATGGCTCATTGTGTGCAGCCAAGTACTGGCAAAGAACATTGCAGAGCCTGAGAAGGCTAAATCTGAAACAAGCGTTTCACATTATGAAAGTTTATTCAAGATAAAAAAAGAACATATTTAATGGCTTGTTAGCTGGATTTATAGATTTCAAATATTTAGGTACATAATATGTGCACCTCCATTTCTACTCTTACTCTAGACCCCAGCAATGTTGAGGTGGGGAGTTTGGGGCAGCTACATAAGTTTTAAAGCATAATATTTCAGAGGAATAAAATAACCATTGAATTTCACAAAGATTAGGAGCAGTCAGACTAACAGAGATTAAGGTTGGAGAGAGGGAAACAAGAAACAAGAAACAGGAAAGGCAGGCAAAAAGTGATAATTAATTAATATGATGACGGTGAGAATAAAGAAGATGGATGGGTTAAAGAAATATTTAGGATGTATAATCTACAGAGCTTACTTGTGACATTCAATTACTATTCAGCTTAAGATACCCCAAAACCAGTTGCCTACTTTGGCAAGGATCTTAGGAGAAAAGTTGGGGCTTGAGCTACGAATTTGGGGGTCATAAGTGTGTGCAAGGGTTGTTGAAGTCATGGGTGGAGAGTGGGGTCCCTTGAGAGGTGTGTAAGGTAAGATGAGGAGAGCCCTAAGACCAGATCCCTGGGGTGCACCATTTAAGATACAAGTAGAGAGAGGAGAGACCTTGAAGAATGCTGAGAACAAATGGCTAGAGAGTACAGGAGAACCCCTTAGGCTATGGTGTCAGAAGCCAAGAGGGAAGCATCTTTAGAGGAGAAAGGTCAACAGGTGCAAATGCTGCAGAATTGCCACATAAAATACATACGGGATAGTGTCTACTGGATTTGGCGATATTTCACATTGATTTAATCTGCTCAGTAAATATTCTTAAATGATTATGTATTGGATATCAGGAATAAAGTAAATGTGTAACAAAAAAAAAGACACAAAATATTCACCACCATGTAGGACTGTTTTCTCTAGGATGTAAATATAGCCATGTTCTTCTAGTTACATTGAACTTAAATCATCATTATATAACCAGGTACTTGCCACTGGCCAAGAGCCTAGCACAACGTAAGTATTGTGGAGATGTTAATATCTGGAAGCAGGTTGACTTTTAAAGAAGGGGGAAATAAGATAAGGTAAAAACAGATGAATTTGTGGGCAAAATTTTCTAAAATGTCATGTCAATCAGTGACATTTGAATAATAGAACAGGAAGTCTAAAAAATTACTGAATTCTTCCCAATTAAGGAAAGCCAGAACCACTGCAGTCTTATACTACCTGCCCCTATTTTACTGGAAAGCCTTATGGCATGCTTGCTTTAATAAACAAAATGCTACCAAATAATACCTCAACTGAAAGGGCATCATGATTATCATATCAAAATCATTTGGCCAAAGAGAGAAGAATCTCAACAAGTATTCCCCGAATCTGAGAAATAAACCTGTTCCCCTTTATGATAGTGTGCTCCTGGTGTTGAATTATGTGTGTATTTCTGCCTCCAAATCGTGGTGCCTGCACTTCTTTCTGAACTGCTATTCCCAGCCAAACCAAATACCACGCATCCTCCACAACCTGCAAAAATCCCACTTCTTCCAAAACTTCTTTTCCAGGCTTGCCCTCTGATGGTATATTCTGCTCATTTGGCTTTCCTCATCGACTGCTTTTTGATATCTTGTGAACCATTACCCTACATTAGTCATTTATTTGGACTATCTAATCTCCCTTGTCATCTTCTCTCTTTCCCACAGTACCTATTACTGTGGTTAGGAGATTCTAAGAAAATATTTTTCGAAGGAATATATGATCAGCACAGGACAGTAAATATGCCAAATGAAAGGTGTTCTTGCATAGGCGACATGAACAAGGGCTACTTGTTCATGTCTTAGACATGAATAATCAATGGAATGTTAGAGTCAAAAGGGGCCTGGTCTAGTTCTAAGGTCAATTTCTGACTTTAGTTCAATGTTTGGAGTGATCATGTTGGAAGAGAGCTTTGAGGCATGTCCTTTATGTCTAGGTAGGTGGAGCTTTAGGGACTGGGACAGTCAGTTTCCAGCCTCTTGCTCTCACATGCATTGCTTGCTCCTCTTTGTGCATGACGGATAAACTGACCTTGTAAACTGCATTTTTCAGGCTTCCAGCTGAGTTCAGCTAGGAAGAGGCTGATGGGAGATTGGAGGGTGGGAGAGAGGAGCCAGGGTATCTCACCCTTGCTCTAATATTTCCGGGAGTGGTTCTATCTCCTTCATGACTCCATATCCTGCTGGACAAGCTGCTGTGGCTCCAGTTTTGCTGGCTTTCGGGATCTGACAATCCTGTGTCCACCCTTGAGTGGTAGTGGTTTACTGTGTTGCTAATCTCTGGGTGCCTCACTGATTCCTATTTGGTTTTCTTAAAAAACATTTATAGGAGGCCATTGATTTGGACTGTGCTTCTGTACTAGGTCCAAGTAGGCCAAACCAAATGGTGTCACTCATGCTAAAGAGTTCCATGTCACTAAGCCGAAATGAAATTGTTTGTCTGGTCTTCCCAGGAATCAGGAAAGAAGGAGGGATAAACAGACGGAGAGAGTAGCCAAATTCCCAAACCAGCCAGTCTTAGCCAATATGACAAGGAAGTTCCCTAGTACCCTCTGCTATAACCTTTACAAGAGAAGTTACTTTGAAATGACCGAACTGTTTTTGTTGTTGTTGTTCCTTGTTTCTGCTTTCTTCAGCCTTTTCTTTTCTCTAAATACTCACTGCCTGTGTTGCAGAGAAGAGCTCTCTGAACCTCTCCTGGTTCTGAGGGTGGCCTGACTCATGAATTGTTCTTTGCTTAAATAAACTCTGTTATATGTGTTTTGTCTGAAGTTTTTCTTTTATCAGCTTCTAAATTATGCCATCACCGAATAATCAAATTTCTTTTATCAAATTCCCTTGTTTGAAATATGTGTTATATATTTCAAAGGTGAAGGGAGGTTTGGAGAAGAAGAAAAGCACAGAAAAACGAATGGTCTCTTCAAGAAAGAAATACGGGAATAGGTTACTGAAAACAACACGTGCAAAAACATTGACAACAAATGTGAGACTTCACTAGAATTACCAGCAGAAAAAAGATTTTATCGTTGGAGTAATTTGAGAATCGATTTCTCTGCCTGAGCTCAGTGGAGCCAGAAAGGAGACAAAGGAGAGCTTGTGATCTGATGGAGATGAGCTGGGAAAATTGACTTTGGCACTTTGGCTCGGGGAAGGAAATGAACCGTACATAAGCAGTAAAAAGGGAATCAGCTGCTACTTGGATGAGTCTTGATTTTAACGTGGTGCCACTGACAGGTCTTTGACATCGTGGGAAATTTCTACCTACACAAGATTGGCAATGCAGTGGACTGAATAGCCATGAACAATTATTGGTGACAGAGCAGAATTTCCAGATTAGCACCCTTTTGCCTTATTTGTTTATAAATCACCAGTAGATACATTTCTTTCATAGAAAACCTCCTACATCTAAAGATGGTCTTTAGGCTGTGTAATTTCCCTACCGTGGCCAATTTCAGTGCCTGTATTTTTTTTTTTAATGGAGCTATGAGTTGATGTTCCTTGAACTGGAAAATGAGAGTATGCCAAGGGTCCTAGAGACCATACTCCTAGATAAAAGACAAAAATATTCTCATGAAAACAGCAACAACAACATAAAAGAATCTAATTTATCCCTTTCTCTAACCTTATTTTTTCAATCAAAGCTAAGGCTGTAGAAAATTAAAGCAGATTCCTAATCTGAAGAAGGATACATCACAGGGTGATTTGGAAAATGTAGCCAAGGAGATCAAATCTGGGAACAGGCTGGTTTCCAATTAGTTGAAAGCATTTAATCTTTGCAGATTTTCTAGGAAATGCCGCCTAGACATTGGTTCTTTCAAATCCTTTTGTTTTCTGGTTTTCCTAGGGTTGAGAGTGGTTTGCTGGTTGGATTGGGATCAGGTGGACTTTTGTGATGTAAATGGAATGTTAGTATCCTGCCAAAGGCAACCTTTGCATTATTTGATGACATTTCCTCAGGATCCTCCAAAGGAAGTCAGAGGCCCCCAGACTTCCACATTGAATTGGGGTGGCACCATTTGTTCACATTTTGAGGGAAATCAGTCTTTGCCCCTTAAGCCAGAGCTGTTCCGGTTTTTGGACACTGATTAGCAAGGAACTTTCCAGAAATCACATCTTGTTTTGGTATTTTGCTTCTTTCTCTTATTTATTTAGTTTTTAAAGGCTTCATTCAAAACCTAGATGAGGTGGTATGTGCCTGTATTCCAGGCTACTCTGGAAAATGAATGGTCTCTCCAAGAAAGAAATATGGGAATAGGTTACTGAAAACAACCCGTGTGAAAACACTGACAACAAATGTGAGACTACTACTCTGCAGGCTGAGGTGGAAGGATCACTTTGAGTCCAGGAGTTCTTCCCTCCTGGGACCATGACTCTAAAAAAAAAAAAAAAGAGAGAGAGAGAAAGAAAGAAAGAGAGAGAGAAAAAAAGATAAAAAGAAGCTCTATTCAAATGCTTCACAAACTTCTCTTTTGACCTCTTTTGACTGAATTTTTATAAGGGAGGTGTATACAAATATATGATTTTCTATATATCTTACATAAATTTCTTTTTCTAATTAACTTTCAACCTGCAGTGTGATTTCAAATACTAATACAAGGCTCAAGACCTTACTAATAGCAGCAGATTTCCAATTTACCAATAATTTGGATTTGTATATTATGACATGTCATGGATTTCAGGAAAAAATATTGCATAAATCCTAAAAGAACAGGGACCCAGGACTGTAGATCAATGAAAGTGGAAGTGCTGAGGGCATTGTGTTTCCATCCTTCCTTCTCTGTGTGCTTGCTCTGAGGCTGGAGGCTCTGGGCTAGGCAACAGGGGTCTGGAGCTGAGGCTCTTAGACAATGGAAGTTCATAGCAGAGACAGAAAACAACTACAATATCAATTGTTTCCCTTCTTAAAGTCTCAGTTTCTTCATTGCTTACATGGATCCTTGTGAAATAATTATAATAGTAATAATAGATAACATTTTTTGAGTATTCCTTCCTTGCAGTATTTTAAGCATTCTTCACGTATCAGCTTATTAAATCTTCCAAATAATCCTACAACGTAGGTCCTTCTGTTCTGCCTCCTCTCTCTTGTCTCTCTCATTCCCAAATCTCTTGAATGCTGACTACTTCTCTGCAGAGTAACTCCTGGTCTCTCAGTTCGGTGGAGTGACTTTAGGTTATTTTTCATTGTGGGCAATGGCTTCTCCAATCCATGTAATTTTCCACAGCTTACCTGTAAGTTTGGAAAGGGAGTAAGCATGCAGAACCTCCCCTTACTAGCAGCAAGTCCTCAAGCATTCTTTTTAAGGGGCTTTGTGTCCAAAGAGGTGATGAACATACTCTTGGATTTTGTTATCTATTGTCTATGGAAGTGCCCTGAGTACTATATATAACTGTAAATGAAACTCAGTTTGCAGCTATATATCTTACAGGCCTACACAGCATTTAATCTCTTTTCATCTCTTTTAGGAAAGCTGTGCTTTGAAAGCTCCCATCTCTCAACACGCCATCCATGGCCACACAAGCTGTCTGCCCACCAGACTGGGGTCTCTTCTGTTGAACAGAAGGCTGACCAAAAGCTGACCCAGCACAAAGCCCAGCTTTCCACACCAACAGTTACTATTAGCTAGGCTCTCAATTACAGTATCAACTTTCTGAAGGAAGACTAGAAAAGAATCACTCTCCTCATTTCCAGATATATCTGAAACAAGGGCACAGTGGTAGTCATTAACCATAAAGATAAGGTTAATTTGCTTTCCTTCTAAATCTGAATGCTAATGTAACCATTTAAATAGTGCCAACAATGGAAATAAACACAAGGCTGAGTTAAACCACAAATGTACAGGCCTGTATCATTTGGCAAAACATAAGGGCTAGCGGTATTGAAATCACAGCATTAAAGCTGACATGTAAAAACGAATTGTAGGACTATTTGGGGCCAGCAGAGCAATTTATCAAATGGTACCAAGGGGACCCTAGAGATAGGAATGTGTCTTATTTGAAATAAGGAAATACAATGTCGTAACATTACTTAGAAACTGAGTACTTGAAATTCTTCTAGCCCAAATCTCCTCTCTTGTACTCCACATTCTGCACGTTTTTGGAGTTTTGAGATGTAGGTTGGGAAGAACTCCCAAAGTGCACATGAGTTGCCCAGAGGGAAAGAGAGGAAGGTGATGTGGTGGGAAGCCAGTAGGAAATGGCTCTGCCCTTCAACCTGCCCTGGGTCACTGCTGAAGAATAACAGGTCCTTTCTTCTGCCTGGCATGTTTTCTACACATTTTCGTAACCCTAAATTATATGCTACTCTTAATCCTACACGGTGGAAATGGACAATGATTTCTAGAGGACTTCTCTGCAAATAAATGAACGATATATGTGTGTTAAAACACAGCATTCTGCATGAAGCTTCATACACCTCAGTGTGAACCGGCCTAGTTCCTGTGCTTTGGCCAAGTGCTTGTGCAGTCTACCATGTGTAGTAGGGGTGTTGTGTGGTGGTTAGTGTAGCTAGTAGGAATTGTGGTGATGATATTTGGGGCCAATCACTTGCAGTTGTATAGCTCCATGCAAAATGTTTAGTTTGTCTCTACCTCAGTTTCATCATTTGTAAAATGGGTGTGATGATCTCTACTTCATACACACTCTACTTAGCCTAAGAGAGTGTGTGTGTTTATCTATTTTACTTTCAGTATGTCTAGTAATTATTAGTTCTCAACAAATAACTGTCACACTATTATTGCTGAAAGCCAGCGCTGCCCCATAGACTTAGAGAATCTGGGGGAGGACACAGGATATTTATCTATGAAACAGTGAGTAAGCAGGGCTTTTTTTTTTTTTTTTCACTTTCTCAAATTGAAAGTCATTTCTCTCATTTTCATTTTCCTGTGTCGGTTTGTTTTCCTAAGGATGGATTGCTGGGCAGCCTGCATGGTGCTCTTGTAGGCACAAGACTAGAAGTGGAAGACCTAATTATCTTCCCATTTCTTGTTGGCTTACCTTGGTCAAGTTCCTTAACTCTTTGGAGTCTCCATTTTTTTTAATCTATAAATTGAGAATAATACCATAGTTCTCTATTTGTGAAGTCCAAAGAGATCATGAAATACTTGTTTCCTGCAATTTATTATAAAGCATAAGGCTTTATTATGTTGTGATCATTTATGAATGTGTCTTGCTTCTCACACTAGACAGAAAGATTCAGAGCATAGTGACTTGAGCAACCAGTTTTCAAAAGCTATAAGTTAATGAGGGAAACCCACTGTAAAAATTACAGCAGAGTAACTATTATTAGATAGGCATTTCTAGTCCACCGTTTTGTCCATTGAGGCTTGTTGCCTTTTTCCATATAAATTGTTTTGATTTTTCCAAAGAAAATCCGACAAAGGAGAAAATGGATGGTTGGTATTATCAGGGAGAATTTCCAAGATCCAGGACTAGGAAGGGCAGACAATCAACAGTAATGACAGGCTCAAGGTACCCTCTTACTGGGGTGAGTTTTAAGTTATGATATTATATGGGGTACATTTATCCTCCTGTTCTCAGCACAACAACAACAAAAAACCCAAACCAAAACAAAGAAAGGAAAAAAGCAACCAATCACCAACAACTAACCAATAAACAACTCCCCTAGTCAAAATCAGAGAAGCCAAATACGAGTAGTTTTAAGTTGCTGCTCCTTGGATGGCACAGAATTAAATCCCTCTGATGCTTAGGTCAAGAGTGTTCAATTACGGACAGCCACAGTCTGGGACTCTGATGATGTGTATTTGGTGCCCTCACACTGGGCTCCCAAGAGAAACCAACAATGCTTATTGAGTAACTGTAGTATAGTCCTGTAGAGACTAGGGATGAAGTTTCATTCTTTCTTATTACCACCTCCTGTGATCCTAACAGGGATCCTTATTTGGGGTAATCTAAATCTCAAAGTTGATTAGTTCTTTGGAGTGATGTTTTGTTAGGATGTGTAAGGGTTCTTGTTTGAAATATATAAGCAACAGTTATTTACACATAAGATCTAAGACATGTACAAACAGTATGTTTGCCTTTAGCCACATTGCTCAGGAAAACTATTAACCATTGTTAAATATACAGTTGCCCATGTAAGAAGCCTGTTGATTACAGATTCTGAGAGACTACCCTTGTGACTTTGATTGGGACTCATATTTGAAACCATAGAGTCTTAAAATGCCTTCTAATAAATAGATCTACTGGATTTGAGTACTTCAGTGTATTAGTCCATTCCCACACTGCTAATAAAGACACACCTGAGATGGGGTAATTTATAAAGGAAAGAGGTTTAATTGACTCACAGTTCAGCAGGGCCTCAGGAAACTTACAATCTTGATGGAAGGGGAAGCAAACACGTCCTTCTTCACATGGCAGTAGCAAGGAGAAGTGCAGATTGAAGAGGGGGAGAAGTCCTTTATAAAACCATCAGATCTCGTGAGAACTCACTATCATGAGAACAGCATGGAGGTAACCATCCCCATGATTCAGTTACCTCCCACCAGGGTCCTCCCATTACACGTGGGGATTGTGGAAACTACAATTCAAGATGAGATTTGTGTGGGGACACAGCCAAACCATATCACCCAGTTTCAGCTGTTCTGTAAAACATGAAGCCATTCCTCTAAGCTTCCATCCCCAGGCCTTCCAAAGTGAATTTCCTCAACACTGCTTAGTTTTTAATTTAAAGCACATCATCCCAGACATACTGTCTACTCAGTTCTTGCTACATAATGTGATAACTTAATTTTTTATTTATGTAGATTTTGTGAGTAAAAGGACCCAGATGACCGTGGTTAAAGAGCATACCTGAAAGATCAGTTTCAATAAAAATGACAGAATGGATTAATATGCAACAAAGGGTAGCTGAACAGCTACTATATGCCCAAGGCAGTGGTGGAGAATTTCACATTATCACACTTTAGCAATCTGTGAAGGAGACATTATTATTTTTGCTTTACTGATAAGAAATATAAGGATCAAAAAAGTTAGGTAACTTTTCCAGTGTTACATTGCTGGTTAATGACGTAGCTAAATTATTAAATTTTATCTTGAATCCACTGTTTCTGGAGGAGACAGTTTTATTTTTTATTTTTTTTGCTTTTATTGTGGTTTTCAAGAAGCACCTCAGAGATTCCACCTTGTCATTTAAGCAGTACTTGAGGGACTTAGATTGATTGCTTCAGGACACTGTGACTAGTGAGAGACATATGCAAAACTACTTACATTATGATAAACTTTTCAAATGGAGAGTCTACTTTGTGGCTACTTTCAATCTATATTTTAGAAAACAATTCTTTCTGTTTGCCTTCTACATATTCCTGTATATTTGTTCAGCAGCAGGGCAGATTCTTATAAGAAAGGCAATCATAGATTAGCTTTTGAACTAATCAATAAAAAAATTTCAGCTCTAGTCCGAAAGACTATCATGATTTAATTGTAGATAAAATCCAGCATGCCTAAATGAGGCTACCTGATTTCTTTTTTTTTTTTTTTTTTTTTTTTTTTTTACAATGTGAGCAGCTGTTTTTTTGGTTAACTGATTTTTTTTGGAAGAAAGTGTATTATCATATGATGAAGAATTTTCTTCAAAAATGGGATAATTTCCTTCAACAGTTCTCTAATATATATAATGTTTAGCAAAAGTAGCATCATGGGACAAGATACTTGTATTTAAAATTCTATTTAAAAGGCTCTGGAGATATTTCCTGCAATATTTAATAAAACTTTTAAAATTAAACCTACATACTGTTTGCTTAGTTAAGAGTGCTTTTCTATTTTTGCATAATTTAAGACACTGCAAGAAAAATAAGATTCTTGAATCTGGAAAATAAATTCCTTTCTCTTGAGCCAGTCTCATTTTGGTGGTCAAAGTGCCTTCCTCATTTCCCTTGTGATTGAACACCAAAGGTGTCTTCAGGGTCATCACTCTATGTGGGACATTAAAGGTCACATGTATATAAATAGAGAGCCAAAAGCTTGTCTAAGTGTTTTAGGAAAGTTCAGAGTCTTTCCATAGGCTAATTTATCATAATTTCTACTAAGTCTCACCAAATGAGAGAGCACAATGAATGAGGATGAGAATCTGACAGAAGTGTAAGCCTGGTCTGGGCAAAATTGTGAATTTAGCCAAGTTTGTCCTGGGTTCCCCTCCTTTCTCTTTTCCTGCAGTCCCTACCCACTGAGATCAGTTACCCTGTTGCTTAACATTGCCCCAACATTCTTCCACTGAAAAGTCTTACCCTGAGTGAAGCCCAACTTTTCCATCTCCTTTTGTCCAACAGGAATCTTACATGCATTGAATACCTTCAAGTCAGATACTCGATATTGTTTTATCCTTTCAAAAACCTCAAAGTAGTGTCAGAGGACATAGTTTCCATTTTATACACAAGGCTCATATATATTAAACCAATTTCCCAACTCATATCACTAATGATTAGTAGAACTAGTGATATGGATCCAGGTATGTTTGAGTGACATCTCATATGCTTACCACCATAAAATGCTGCTTCCCAGTCTAATTTACCAGTTTAATTTTTCTACTTCTTTAGAGGCCAGCAAAGTGAGAACAACTCACAAAACAGCTCCACATAAGGTATCAATGGCTGATATCATCAGTGGGAGCATGGAGGAGGGCCACCATTTGTCTGCAAGTATTATAGTTCTTCCTCCTGAGGTCAGCCATTCTTGCCCTTGGGTGATCCTGCCCTGGTAATGAGCCTTGATCTCAGGAGGTGAGCTTGTGGCCCTTCACCCAGGGAGAAATTTCATCTTCTCACTTGCCCCTTCAAGGGTTGTTATTTGTTGAACATCCTAGCTCAAATTATATTCCTCTCTGATAATCTTCATATGTTAAAAGTAGACTTAAATACCCTAACCCAAGGGATAGAATTGTGTAGATATTTTAGGCACAGGACAAGGGAAACAGCACTTTTGTCCTGGTGCTCCACCCTGCCTACCAAGCCCATCTCCTCCCAAAGAAGTGACCTACATCACTTGCATACAGAGTCGGCCCTTGCATCTTCCTCGAAGCATCATCAAACCTAATCTCCCTGTATTAGTCTTCTCATGCTGCTGATAAACACTTACCTGAGACTGGGTAATTTATAAAGAAAAAGAGGTTTAATGGACTCACAGTTTGACATCACTGGGGAGGCCTCACAATCATGCAGAAGACAAAGGGAGAGCAAAGGGACTTCTTAGATGGTGGTGGGCAAGACAGAGGGAGATAACTTGTGTGGGGAAACTCCTTTTTATAAAACCATCAGATCTTATGAGACTTATTCACTATCATGAGAACAGCATGGGAAAGACCCACCCCCATGATTCAATTACCTTCCATCGGGTCCCTCCCACAACATATGGGAATTGTGGGAACTATAATTCTAGATGAGATTTGGGTGGGGACACAGCCAAACCATATCACTCCACCCCTGGACCCTCCCAAATCTCACGTCCTCATATTTCAAAAGCAATCATGCCTTTCCAACCGTCACCCAAAGTCTTAACTCATTTCAGCATTAACTCAAAAGTTCACAGTCCAAAGTCTCATCCGAGACAAGACAAGTCCCTTTAGTAAAATCAAAAGCAAGTTAGTTACTTATTCGATACAATGGGGGTATAGGCATTGCGTAAATACAGCCATTCCAAATGGGAGAAATTGTCCAAAATGAGGAGGCTACGGCGCTGTGCAAGTCCAAAATCCAGTGAAGCAGTCAAATCTTAAAGTTCCAAAATGATCTCCTTTCACTCTATGTCTCACATCCAGGTCATACTGATATAAGAGGTGGGTTCCCATGGTCTTGGACAGTTCCACCCTTGTAGCTTTGCAGGGTACAGCATCCCACCTGGCTGCTTTCATGGGCTGGCATTGAATATCTGCAGCTTTTCCAGGCACATGGTGCAAGCCGTTGGTGGATCTACCATTGTGGGGTCTGGAGACTGTGGCTCTCTTCTCACAGCTCCACTAGGCAGTTCCCCAGTGGGGCCTTTGTGTGGGGTCTTCAACCACACATTTCCCTTCTGCACTGCCTTAGCAGAGGTTCTCCATGAGGGTCCTGCCCCTGCAGCAAACTTTTGCCTGGGCATCCAGGCATTTCCACACATCCTCTGAAATCTAGGTGGAGATTCCCAAACCTTGATTCTTGACTTCTATGCACCTGCAGGCTCAACACCACATGGAAGCTGCCAAGGCTTGGGGCTTGCACCTTCTGAAGCCATGGCCCAAGCTGTACCTTGGCCCATTTTAGCCATGGCTAGAGTGGCTGAGATGCAGGAAACCAAGTCCCTAGGCTGCACACAGCAGGGGGACCCTGGGCCCAGCCCACGAAACCATTTTTTCTTCCTAGTCCTCTGGGCCTGTGATGGGAGGGGCTGCCATCAAGTAGCAAATTTTCCGAACTTTTATGCTGTGTTTCCCTTTTAAAACTGAATGCTTTTAACAGCACCCAAGTCATGTCTTGAATGCTTTGCTGCTTAGAAATTTCTTCTGCCAGATACACTAAATCATCTCCTTCAAGTTCAAAGTTTCATAAATCTCTAGGGCAGGGGCAAAATACCACCAGTCTTTTTGCTAAAACTTAGCAAGAGTCACCTTTACTCTAGTTCTCAACAAATTCCTCATCTCCATCTGAGACCACCTCAGCCTGGATTTTATTGTCCATACCATTCATTATCAGCATTTTGGTCAAAGCCATTCAATAAGTCTCTAAGAAGTTTCAAACTTTCCCACATTTTCCTGTCTTCTTGTGAGCCCTCCAAAGTGTTCCAACCTCTGCCTGTTACCCAGAGAGGTTGGCTGCAGAGGCCTCACAATTATGGTGGAAGACAAAAGAAGAGCAAAGAGACTTCTTACATGGTGGCAGATGAGAGAGAGAGAGAGAGAGAGAGAGAGACAGAGAGACAGACAGAGAGAGCTTATGCAGGCAGGCTTCCTTTTATAGAACCATCAGATCTCGTGAGACTTATTCACTATCCTGAGAACATTATGGGAAAGACTCACTCCCATGATTCAATTACCTCCCACTGGGTCCCTCCCATGACATGTGGGAATTGTAGGGTCTACAATTCAAGATGAGATTTGGGTGGGGACAGAGCCAAACCATATTACTCACCCAGCATCAGAAATTAAGTGTAGAAATGTGAATGTGGCAAAGACAGTTAGTATGAGCTAAATATTTCCTGTGCTTTTCTAAATCACCTCAGTTCCCTGCAGTTAAGTTCAGACGATGTGACCAGTTTGGGCCCATAGGCTATGAATACAAGCTAAAATTAGTGTTCTTCCTCTATCTCTCACGCCCTGCTTAAGGAAAGGTGGAGAAACCTAGATCCCTGAATTCCCACATGAAGGAGCATGAGCATGGAAAATTTGTCCCATCCACATCAGACTTTTCCTGAGAGAGAAAAGCATCTTTGCTTTGTTAAGTCACTGAGATTTTGAGGTTTGTTACTGGAGCCTATCATGTTCTGGAGAAAACAGGGTGATTTTTGTGTGAAATGTCCTCCTTATTCCAGGTTATCTGCTCTATGAACTGACCTTGCAGAAACAGACGTTATTTGAAGGAAAATCCTGCCTACAAATTTGGAATTTGTTTCAGCTTCACAATGGCAGTCTTCGAAAACCTTCAATCAGCAGTCTAGCTTATATTAATATTTAGGTTATTGAGGCTATTGAGTATTGAGGAACAAAATTAGTTGCAGTCTTAGAGTATAGGTAATAACTATCATTCCCTCATAGATGCTGTGATTTTACCCATTCCTGCAGATAGCTGGCAAAGGCTGATGTTTGACACGTAATGCAGTATTGCAGACACTGCTTTTCCATGTTGAAACAGAGTGGATGATAGAGCTGCTATTTAATGACAGATGCCACTATGGCCTGTAATGGGTAGTTCTGGCTTTGGCACTAGTTTCTCTTCTTTCTCAGGGATTTCCAGGGTTAAAGTAATAGATATTCTCTGTATTATTCTTACAAAAACAAGAACAAAACAATAGATCACTATAAAGGGAGTTTACAACATTGCTCCCAACCCTCCCTGGGCCATTTGGCCAGGACATTCCTGTGTGTTTGACAGAAGGCTCTGCCTGCCTCTCTCAGCC